>NC_000011.10:118384545-118687576 GCF_000001405.40 Homo sapiens | reverse complement strand
ATTTATCCCCCAGGGCATCATTAAAACAATTGTAAAATCAGCTGGCAATTAGTGGAGTTTAACTGCTGGATGTGCTCAGGGAAAGAGAGGAAGGGAGCCCTGCCAAGACCACTGTCACCCCAGAGTGGCTGTAGCCATCCCCAAAGCTGTGTCTCCCCGAGGAGCAACCTCATGGGCTTAACACAGAGGGTGGGAAATAGACCAGGACCATAATTCAGCCAGTTGCTCCCCAAATACACAAATGAACAATAGCACGCTCTGGGTAGAGTGTGGTGAGGCAGCCAGTACCCAGCATTGCTACAATATGTTATCTAAAATGTTTGTTTTCCTACAAAAAATTACGAGACACACACAAAAAAACAGAAAAGTATGACACACACACACACAACCAGGCAAGAGAAATTGTCTTATAGGAGTGACCACTAGGCTGGGCACGGTGGCTCACACCTGTAATCCCAGCACTTTGGGAGGCTGAGATGGGTGGATCACCTGAGGTCAGGAGTTCGAGACCAGCCTGGCCAACATAATGAAACCCTGTCTTCTACTAAAAATACAAAAATTAGCTGGGTGTGGTGGCGGGCGCCTGTAATCCCAGCTACTCGGGAGGCTGAGGCAGGAGAATCGCTTGAACCCAGGAGGTGGAGGTTGCAGCGACCCAATATTGCACTGCTGCACTCCAGCCTGGGCAACAGAGCGAGACTCCATCTCAGAAAAAAAAAGTGACCACTATATACTAAAGAAAGGGTATCAATAAACAGATGGAAAGTATTAAAAAGGGCCAGGGGGTATAGTGGCTCACCCCGGTGGTCCCAACATTTGGTAGGCTGAGGCAGGCAAATCACTTGAGCCCAGGAGTTCAAAACCAGCCAAGGCAACATAGTGAGACCCCATCTCTACAAAAATAAAAAATTAGCCAGGTGTGGTGGTGCACACCTGTAGTCCCAGCTACTCAGGACGCTGAGGTGAGATTGCTTAAGCCCAGGAGGTGGAGGCTGCAGTGAGCTGTGATTGTGCCACTGCATTCCAGCCTGGGCAACAGAGCAAGATCCTGTCTCAAAAATCATAATAATAAAAAAATAAAAATTAAAAAAGGGCTGGGTGTGATGGCTCACACCTGTAATCCCAGTGCTTCGAGAGGCCAAGGCAAGAGGATCACTTGAGGACAGGATTTCAGGGCCAGCCTGGGCAACATAGTGAGCTGTAATTTTTAAAATTAGCCAGGCATTATGGCACATGCCTGTAGTCCCAGCTATTTGGGAGGATGAGGTGGAAGGATTGTTTGAGCCCAGGAGTTCAAGGTTGCAAGGAGCTGTCATTGAGCCACTGCACTCCTGCATGGGTGACAGAGGAAAACTCTGTCTCTAGAAAATAAAAGAAAAAGAAAATACAAAGAGAACCGGCCAGGCACGGTGGCTCATGCCTGTAATCCCAGCACTTTGGGAGGCCAAAGTGGGAGGACCACCTGAAGTCAGGAGTTCGAGACCAGCCTGGCCAACATGGTGAAACCCTGTCTGTACTAAAAATACAAAAATTAGCTGGGCGTGGTGGGGCATGCCTGTAATCCCAGCTACTGGGGAGGCTGAGGCAGGAGAATTGCTTGAATCCAGGAGGCAGAGGTTGCAGTGAGCCGAGATTGTGCCATTGCACTCCAGCCTGGGCGACAGAGTGAGACTCTCAAATTAAAAAAAAAAAAAAAGAACTAAATGGGGGTTTCTTGTTTCTGGCTTAGGGTGTAAGGAGTGTGGCAACTGTCACTCCATCTTAACAACAGTAAAAAGCTGAATAAACAACACCCGCAACTCTTCTTAGATCTGTCAGAGAATTAAGGTCACAGAGCAAATTAAGGTCACAGAGCTGCCTCCAAAACTGGAGACAGACAGGCAGATCCAGAGAGTCACAACTTACCAGAGTAGACACCTCCACACTGGGTTTCTTTTACCCAGTACTGGTTTGGTTTCAAGAAAAAACTAGAAGTCTTACTAAAAGGCAGAAAATACCACTTGAAGCGACAGAGCGAGTAACAGAACCAGACTCAACTATAGCGGGGATGTTGGAATTATCAGGCCGGAAATTTGAAACAACTATGATTAACATGCCAAGGGTGCTCATGGAAAAAGTAGACAACATGCAAGAACAGATAAGTAATTTAAGCAGAGGGATGAAAATTCTAAGAAAAAAACAAAGAAGAAGTACAATGAGGAGAAAAAAACACAAAGGAAGTGCCTTTGATCAGCTCTTTAGTAGACTGGACAAAGCTGAGGAAAGAATCCATGAACTTGAGGATATGTCAATAGAAACTTCCAAAACTCAAAAGCAAAGAGAGGCAAGACTGAAACAGACAGAACAGAATATCCAAAACTGTGGGACAATGACAAAAGTCATCACATATGCATTAATGGGAATACAGAGCAAGAAAGAGGGAACTGAAGATACATTTGAAACAATAATGAATGAGAATTTCCCCAAATTTGTATCAGACACCAAACCACAGATCCAGGAAGCTCAGAAAATACTAAGGAAGACAGATGCCCCCCAAAAAGAAGAAAAAATCAACACCTAGGCATATTATATTCAAATTGCAGAAATTCAAAGATAAAAAGTCTTGGAAGAGGGCAGAGGAGTAAAAAAAACCTTACCTATGGAGGACCAAGGATAAAAATAACACCAGACTTCTTAGAAACCATGCAAGGAAGAAGAGAGCCATGTGAGATATTTAAAGCATTGACAGAGAAGAAGACCCCACCAACCTATAATCCCTAGAATCTCTTTCCTGCAAAACCATCCTTCAAAAGTGATGGAGAGGCCAGCACAGTGGCTCATGCCTGTAATCCCAGCCCTTTGGGAGGCCGAGGCAGGCAGATGGCTTTGAGCTCAGGAGTTTGGGACCAGCCTAGGCAACATGGTGAAACCCCGTCTCTACAAAAAAAATACAAACTTTAGTGGTGGCACATGCCTGTGGTCCCAGCTACTTTGGGGGGCTGAGGCTGGAGGATCACTGGAACCTGAGAGGCGGAGATTGCAGTGAGCCGAGATAGCACCACTGCACTCCAGCCTGGGCAACAGAGCAAGAATCTGTCTTAAAAAAAAAAAAAAAAAAAGAAAAGAAAAGAAAGAAAAGAAAAAGAAAAAAAGGAAAAAAAAAGTGATGGAGAAATGAGAACTTTCACAAGCCAACAAAAATTGAGAGAATCTGTAGACCTGTCTTGCAAGAAGTATTTAAAAAAAAAAAAACTTCTTCAGAGAAAAGAAAGATGATATAAGTTAGAAACTTTGAACTACATAAACAAGGGAAGAGCTTTAGAGAAGGAATAAGTGAAGGTAAAATAAAAGCTTTTACTTTTCTTATCCTTAGTTAATCTAACAGATAATGGTTTGTTCAAAATAAAACAGGGCATTTATCCAAAATGCTTGATACCAGGAGAATTTTGGATTTTGGATTTTTTTTTTTTGAATTTTGAAATATTTGCAATATACTTACTGGTTCAAAATCCCAAATCTGATCATCCAAAATCTGAAATGCTTCAGTGAGCATTTCCTTTGATCATTATGTCTGTACTCAACAAGTTTTGGATTTTGGAGCATTTCAGATTTTGGGTTATCAGATTTGGGGTGCTCAATCTGTAATAGCAACTGTGTATTCAACGATTCTAGTTTATGGATAAGGGAACTGAATGACAGCAATGATAGAAGGGACAGGAGGGAGAAGTTAAGACTACTTTGTTATCATAAGGTACTTGCACTACCATGAAATGTAGTGTTATTTGAGTAGACTTGGTTAGTTGTAAACATATAATACTAAAAAAAGAACTGCTGGAGGCCGGGCGTGGTGGCTCATGCCGGTAATCCCAGAACTTTGGGAGGCTGAGGTGGGTGGATCATGAGGTCAGGAGTTCAAGAACAGCCTGGCCAATATGGTGAAACCCCATCTCTACTAAAAATACAAAAATTAGCCGGGTGTGGTGGTGGGCGCCTGTAGTCCCAGTTACTCAGGAGGCTGAGGCAGGAGAATCACTCGAATCCAGGAGGCGGAGGTTGCAGTGAGCCAAGATCATGCCATTGCACTCCAGCCTGGGTGATAGAGCAAGACTTCGTCTCAAAAAAAAAAAAAAAAAACACTACTGGCTGGGCATGGTGGCTCATACCTGTAATCCTAGCACTTTGAGAGGCCAAGGTGGGAGGATTGCTTGAGCCCAGGAGTTTGAGACCAGCCTGCGCAATATAATGAGGTGTTCCCCCAGAACAAAGCCAGTCTGCATAATGGGCAGAAGATCTGAATCACTATAAACCTTGCTTAAAAGAAGACATACAAGTCGCAAACAGGTATATGAAAAGGTGCGCTACATAACTGATCATCAGAGACATGCAAATCAGAACTACAATGAGATATTATCTCACTACGGTTAAAATGGCTTTTATCCAAAAGACAGGCAATAACAAATGCTGGTGAGGATGTGGAGAAAAGGAACCCTCATATACTGTTGGTGAGAATGTAAGTTAGTACAATCACTGTAGAGTCATGTGTTTTTTTAAAGAACATTGGCTGGGCACGTTGGCTCATGCCTGTAATCCTAGCACTTTGGGAGGCCAAGGCGGGTGGATCACCTGAGGCCAGGAGTTCGAGACCAGCCTGGCTAACACGGTGAAAACCCATCTCTACTAAAAATACAAAAAGTAGCTGGGTGTGGTGGTGGGCGCCTGTAATCCCAGCTATTCACGAGGCTGAGGCAGGAGAATCGCTTAAACCTAGGAGGCAGAGGTTGCAGTGAGCCAAGATCATGCCACTGCACTCCAGCCTGGGCAACACAGCGAGACTCCATCTCAAAAAAAAAAAAAAAGATGTTTAATTTTATGTGTCAACATGGCTAGGCAAAGGTATCCAGATAGTTGGTCAAGCATTATTCTAGATGTTTCTGTGAAGATATTTTTTAGATGAAAATAACATTTAAATTTGTAGACTTTGAGTAAAGCAGGTTACCCTCCCTAACTTGGATGGGCCTTATCCAATCAGTTGAAGACTTTAATTTGAAAAAGACTGACCTCCCCAGAAGAAGAAGGAATTCTCTCAGCATGCTGCCTTCAGACTTGAACTGCAGCTTCTTCCCTGTTTCTCCAGCCTGCCAGCCTACCCTAGAGATTTTGGACTTGCCAGCTACCTCTCAAACTCTCTCTCTCTACCCCCATCCCCCATATATGTATTGTTTCTGCCTAATACGGTCCAGGACCAGATGGCTTCATTGGTAAATTCTACCAAACATTTAAAGAATTAACAATCCTTCTCAAACACTTCCACAAATAGAAGAGGGGCATATTTCCTAACTCATGCTATGAGGCTAACATTACCCTGATATTAAAACCAGATAAAGACATCACAAGAGGGCTGGGCATGGTGGCTCACACTTGGGGAGAAACACTTTGGGAGGCCAAGGCGGGAGGATCACTTGAGGCCAGGAGTTCAAGACCAGCCTGGGCGACACAGTCAGATGTAGTCTCTACAAAAAAATTTAAAAATTACCCAGGCGTGGTGGCATGCACCTGTAGTCCTGGCTACTCAGAAGGTTGAGGCCAGATGACCACTTGAGCCCCAGGAAGTCGAGGTTGTGGTGAGCTGTGTTCATGCCACTGTATTCCAGCCTGCTGGGTGATGGAGCAAGACTATGTGTCCAAAAAAAAAAAAAAACAAAACAAAACAAGGAAAGAAAATTACAGTCAAATATGCTCTATACATATTGATGCAAAATTCCTCAAAAAAATACTCGCAAGCCAAAACCAACAGTTTATTAAAAGGATTAGACATCATGACCAAGTGAGATTTATCCAAAGAATGCAAGGGTGGTTGCACAGCATTGTGAATGTAATAAAAGGAAATTGAATTGTACACTTAAAAATTGTTGACCAGGCATGGTGGCTCACACCTGTAATCCCAATACATTGGGAGGATGAGGCAGGAGGATTGCTTGAGCTCAGGAGTTCCACACCAGCCTGGACAACATAGGGAGACCCAATCTCTAAAAAAAAAAAAATTATTTTTAATTTAAAAATTAGTTGGGCGTGGTGGCATGTGCCTGTGGTCCCAGCTGCTCAGGAGGCTGAGGTGGGAGAATCCCTTAAACCTGAGAGATCAAGGCTGCAGTGAGCTGTGATGGAGCCACTGCATGCCAGCCTGGGCAACAGAGCGAGACCCTGTCTCAAAAAACAAAGCAAACAAAAAAAACAATGCCAGCTGCCCACATTACTGGGTGGAGCTATCTGAACCTTTACTAGTTCAGAGTGGTGCCTGATTCATGAGTCATTTCTTTGCTTGAATAAATGGTTAAATTTAATTTGTCTAAGGTTTTTCTTTTTAATAGCAGTAAACACTGCTCAGGTGCCACAACTGACATCCTTAACTGCAAACCTAAGTCCTTCAGGAGAGGTCATGCCTATCATTAAACTCCATGTGCCTTGCCCACCCCCTGTCCCCTGTCCCTTCAGCTCACCTTCCATATGTTGAGGGGATGAGCCTCCTAAAGTAACCGAATCTGCTTTTTTTTTTTTTTTTTTTTTTTTGAGACAGAGACTTACTCTGTCGCCCAGGCTGGAGTGCAGTGGCATGATCTCGGCTCACTACAACCTCTGTCTCCCGAGTTCAAGCGATTCTCCCACCTCAGCCTCCTGAGGAGCTGGGATTACAGGTACCCGCCATCATGCCCAGCTAATTTTTGTATTTTTGTAGAGACGGGGTTTCACCATGTTGGCCAGGCTGGTCTTGAACTCCTGACCTCAGGTGATCCACCCGCCTCGGCCTCCCAAAGTGGTGGGATTACAGGCATGAGCCACTGCACCCAGCCTGAATCTGCTTCTTAAGCTCACAAACTTCTCTGCTGGTTCCACTTTGGGGAATTACAAGGAATTACATTCCTTGGCTTGGCAAAGACCATTTCCAGACTGGTGCCAACATGTTCCTCCAGTCTATCTCAAAACCCTTCCCTGCATGAACACCAAGTTCTCTGCAGCTAGGCTGAGGGGTTTGCTCTTCTCTTCACATGCTCTGCATACATTGTAGTGGTCTCCAGCCCATTTCCCTTGGCAAACTCCTATGCGGTCATCAAGACTCATTAGGACTGGCGCAGTGGCTCACGCCTGTAATCCCAGCACTTTGGGAGGCCAAGGCGAGCAGATCATGAGGTCAAGAGATTGAGACCATCCTGGCCAACACAGTGAAACCCCGTCTCTACTAAAAATACAAAAATTAGCTGGGCGTGGTGGCGGGCACCTGTAGTCCCAGCTATTCAGGATGCTGAGGCAGGAGAATTGCTTGAACCCGGGAGGCGGAGGTGGCAGTGAGCTGAGATCACGCCACTGCACTCCAGCCTAGCGACAGAGTGAGACTCAGTCTCAAAAAAAAAAAAAAAAAGACTCATTACAAATGACACACTATTGTGGGTCTCCCTTAGTCCTCCCCAGACAGAATGGTTCTACTGTCCTGTGCTTCCGCTGTATCTCTTGCAGATAACAGTGAGAGGCCCTGAATTTCACACCACACCAGGGACAGGATCTTGAGCCATTCCATTTGAAATGTTAAGGGAAATGGTAACTCTCTGAGGTTGGTGGTCTTGGGGCCACCCAAGGAACCTGGCATCCAGGTTACAGGTGTGTGGCCTCGACTGTGTCCCTGGCCTTTGGGTGCCCACTCCCCACCCCCACCACCATGCTCTGAGGGAAGGGCCTGAGCCATTGGCACCAGCTGAGACTGTGAAATAGAAGAGGCAAAGTAGAAGCAAGGGAGGTGGCCACTGTGCCCTGAGAGCAGGAGGGGCAAGCGGGCCACACACAGACCAAGCACACGTCCCCTCAGGTGGCCACGCCTCAAAGGCTGGACTTTGGCCGACTTGGACAGGCAGGTGAGCCAGGCTGTGCCCAGCAAGCCGAAGGTGCCTGGGCTTGCTCATTCAGTCACAGTCACAGCCACCATGCCAGGGAGGACCTGGGAGCTGTGCCTGCTACTGCTGCTGGGGCTGGGACTGGGGTCCCAGGAGGCCCTACCCCCACCCTGTGAGAGGTAGGGGTGTGGGGAAGGCAGCAGGGGAGGATGGCAATAAGAGGGAGGCTGGGATGAGATCTCAAGCTCTGGGGTCGGTACTTCAGAGGGAAAGGAAGAGATTATAAAGGAAGGAAAGAGTAGGGAAGAGAAGAAAATGAGAATTCCTATGTAGCAGGCTCTGTGCTGGGCACTGCACCTGCAGTCCGTTTTTTTTGTTGTTGTTGTTAGAGTCTTGCTCGGTCGTCCAGATGGAGTACAGTGGCACCATCTCCACTCACTGCAGCCTAGACCTCCCGGGTTCGAGAGATTCTCGTGCCTCAGCCTCCTGAGTAGCTGGAATCACAGGCATGCACCACCACGCCCAGCCTGTCATTGATTTTTACCAAAATTTTCCACCGTTGGAAGGGACATTAGGCTTGGCGACTGTGCTGGGAATACAAGCGTGAGCCACCGCCCCCTGTCGGGACCTGCAGTCCTGATACCAGACGCAGCTGCCAGAGCCTGGCCTGAGGTCCAAGAGCCTGCTGGCCAGAGCCCGCCCTCCCTTCCTCTCCTCCTCCAAGCTGCCCCTTGAACTGTGCAGGCCTCTTCTCAGGATTGTTCTAGCAAACTTTCTGCTCCAGCTTCCTAGTCTGGGTGTGAGAGGCAGCCTAAGGGCCTGAAGACAGCACTTGGGCTTGAGCCCTGACCCTCATATTCTCTCTGTGACCCAGGGCAGGTCAAGGCTCTTTCCTGAGCCTGAGTTTCCATCACCAGGGACAGAGATGAGTGACCCTGTCCTGTCTCCTGGACTCAGGCGATGTCCACCCTTCGTTCCACATGGATTTATGGAGCTGTGGCCACATCAGCCACTTTACCAGCTCCTGCAAGAACAATAATAATAGAAGAAAAACAGCTGGGCACGGTGGCTCATGCCTGTAATCCCAGCACTTTGGGAGGCCAAGGTGGGAGCTATCATCTGAGGTCAGGAGTTCGAGACCAGCCTGGCCAACATGGTGAAACCCCATCTCTATGAAAAATACAAAATTAGCCGGGCATGGTGGCGCACGCCTGTAATCCCAGCTACTCGGGAGGCTGAGGCAGGAGAGTCGCTTGAACTTGGGATGTGGAGGTTGCAGTGAGCCAAGATCATGCCATTGCACTCCAGTCGGGGCAACAAGAGCAAAACTCTATCTCAAATAATAATAATAATAATAATAGAAGCAAAACAGTAACAGAAGCACAGTTTGAAGTAGAGAGAAGTTAGGGCCCGCTGGTGTGGGTGAGCAGAGGGTGTGTTAGAGAGGATGGGGAGGGACGGTGTCTCTGAGGAGGTGATGTGTAAGCAGAATTGTGGCAGGAACCATTGCTGAGCTGATCTGGGAGAGGACAGTCCAGGCATGGAAAGGGCCATGCAGAGGCCCTGACGCACTGTTCAGGGATTGGGACGAAGGCCTGTGTGATTGGGGCAGAGTGGGAACAGGTCCGGGGAGAGCGGGGCTCCAGGCAACAAGGTTTGGGCTTGGGTTCCAGTGGTTAGACTAGAGACAGAGACAAGGGGTTCAATAGAGGGTGTGTGTTACAGGGAGAGTTGACAGTGCTTGCCCATGACAATTGTGGAATATAAAGGGGAAAAGTGTACCTGGGATAATTAATAGGTTTTGTCCTGAGCAATTGTAATGAGGACTTCAGAGAGGCTGGGTGGTCCAGTGCTTTGTCAAGCATTAGGCTGTTTGCCAAATGTAGGGGAAGATGACTTTACTGGTGTTCCCTAAGACCAACCTCAGGCCAGTGATTCACTAACACTTCCAAATGGTTATACCATGATTATGGTTTCATTTTTTTTCTTTTTTTGAGACAGAGTCTCGCTCTGTCGCCAGGTTGGAGTGCAGTGGTGCAATCTCGGCTCGCTGCAACCTCCACCTTCTGGGTTCAAGCGATTCTCCTGCCTCAGCCTCCCCAGTAGCTGGGACTACAGGCACCTGCCACCACGCCCAGCTAATTTTTGTATTTTTAGTAGAGACAGAGGTGTTGCCATGTTGGCAAGAATGGTCTCAATCTCTTGTCCTTGTGATCCGCCTGCCTCAGCCTCCCAAAGTGCTGGGATTACAGGCATGAACCACCGTGCCCAGCCTTGATTATGGTTTCTTACAGTGAAAAGATACATGTTAAAGCCATCAAAGGTGAAATATTCTAGGGCCAAGTCCAGGAGAAAATAATCTCAATCTTCCAGTTTTTCCTCTCCCAGTGGATTTATATGGACAGGACTTGATTTTTCCAGCAATAACATGTGACAGCACGCATGAAGTATTGCCAATCACAAAAGCTCACCTGAGTCTTGGTGTCCAGTGTTTTTATTGGAGGTCAGTGATGAAAGCGTGGACTACCTGTGTGGCTGACCTCAGTTACTCACTCTCCAGAGTTCAAACTGATACTGGGCGGCCAAAGGCCCCTGCCACAAATCACATTATTAGCATCAAATATCTGGCATGGCCCAAGGCCCCAGAAAAACAAAGACTTATCAGGCAGCATATTTTGGTAATTTAAATCTCATCTCTCAGGGCTGGTCACAGGCCAGAATTTTCTCTGAAATGTGCAGGGTTTGAACACAGCAGACCTGCTGAGTCAATCCTTTCATGTATAAGCCACTTCTTGTATAATGAGGAATTAGTTTCATTTTTGTCTTGGGTTCCTCCAAAGTAACCTCTAAGCTCCTTGGAATCTCCCAAGTGATAGGAATGTCTGTTATTAATAGTGGTCCCTGATTAGTGTTTTTTTGTTGTTGTTTTTTTCTTTCTTTTTTTTTTTGAGACAGCAATCTAGCTCTGTTGCCCAGGCTGGCAGTGCAGTGGTGAGCATTTTGGCTCAATGCAACCTCTGCCCCCAGGGTTCAAGTGATTCTCCTGCCTCAGCCTCCCAAGTAGCTGGGACTATAGGCACGCACCACCACGCCTGGCTAATTTTTGTATTTTTAGTAGAGACGGGGTTTCACCATGTTGGCCAGCTGGTCTTAAACTCCTGACCTCAAGCAATCCACCCACCTTGGCCTCCCAAAGTGCTGGGATTACAGGCATGAGTCACTGCACCTGGCCTGATTGCTTTTTGAGACAGGGTCTCACTCTGTCACCCAGGCTGGAGTGCAGTGGTGCAGTCATGGCTCACTGCAGCCTCAATCTCTCTGGGCTTAGGTGATCCTCCCACCTTGGCCTCCTGAATAGCTAGGACTAGGTGTGTGCCACCATGCCTGGCTAATTTTTGTATTTTTTGTAGAGATGGGGTTTTGCCATGTTTCCCAGGCTCTTGGTAGCTTTTGTTAATGAGGTGACTTATGGTGGGTCCCTAGACAGCTTCTGCTAACAAGACGACTCCACATGAAGGCAGGCCGTGCCAGAAAGGCCAAGCATGTGTGTAGAGGGTTGGGGTTTTGGTCCACATGATATCAGCCCAACTTCTCAACCTTCAGGGAGGAGAAGGGGCTGGAGATGGAGTTCAATTACATGATCAATGATTCAATCAATCATGCGTATGTCATGAAACCCCAATAAAAACTCTGGACTTCAAAGTCCTGGTAAGTAGGCTGGGCACAGTGGCTCATGCCTGTAATCCCAACACTTTGGGAGGCCGAGGTGGATGGATCACTTGAGGCCAGGCATTTGAGAGCAGCCTGGCCAACATGGTGAAACCCTGTCTCTACCAAAAATGCCAAAAATTAGCAGGGTGTGGTGGTGCATGCCTGTAATCCCAGCTATTGAGGAGGCTAAGACGTGAGAATCATTGACCTGGGAGGTGGAGGTTGCAGTGAGTTGAGATTGCACCACTGCACTCCAGCCTAGGTGACAGAGTGAGACCCTGTCTCAACAAACAAACAAATAAAACAAATAAATACCAAGTCCTGGTTGGTGAACACATTGATGAGCCAGGAGGGGAAACGTCCTGGTTCCATGGGGAAAGGACACAGAAGCTCTACATTCAGGGCCCCCCTAGACCTTGCCCCATGCACCCCTTCATTTGGCTGATCCTGGCTTGTATTCTTATAATAAAACTATAGCCCTAAGCATAACCGTAAGCTTTTCTGAGTCCTGTGAGTTGTTCTAGCAAATTATCAAATCTGAAAGGGTTATGGGAACCCCTACATTTGTAGCCACTTGGTAATAAGTGCAGGTGGCCTGGGGACCCCTGAACTTGTGGCTGGTGTCAGAAGTGAGGCCGTCTCACTCAGGACCGTGCCCTTAACCTGAGTGTGGATTCTGCACTAACTCCCGATGGTTAGTGCCAGGATTAAATTGCAGTATTGCAGTTGGTGTCAGAAAATGTGGATTTACTAGAATGACCCTGACTCACTGAAACATATGGGTTGGGAAAAGAAAAGTTGAAAGGGCAGGGGATGAGAAACCTTTCATTCTCGAGTGGATACAGGGTCACCCATGGTGTGAAGAGCAGTCATGCTGCAATCAGTTACTGGAGGTAAAAGTTACCAATGGAAATTAGAGGTGATTGATCACTAACTTTTGGGGAGTTGACTCATGTGCATAGGGAAATGTATACTAAGAAGAAGAAAAGCAAATATACAATCCCTATAGACTTTTATCTCTAATAGCCAAACTGAAAGTAAAAGATGGGCCATGCTTAGATTCTGGTCAGTGGAATTACAACCTCCAGTCCTGCACTGTGGTACCAAAAACACCTGCTGAAGTCCTGATGGGCACTGCAATGAGATTGAGAGAATATAAAAATGCAGCCAGGTGCAGTGGCTCACGCCTGTAATCCCAGCACTTTGGGAGGCAGAGGTGGGTGGATCATCTGAGATCAGGAGTTCAAGACCAGCCTGACCAACATGGAGAAACCCTGTCTCTACTAAAAATACAAAATTAGCCGGGTGTGGTGGTGCGCACCTGTAATCCCATCTACTCAGGAGGCTGAGGCAGGAGAATCACTTGAACCCAGGAGGTGGAGGTTGCAGTGAGCTGAGATCTCGCCATTGCACTCCAGCTTGGGCAACAAGAGCGAAACTCCATCTCAAAAACAAAACAAAACAAAACAAAAAAGTGGTATGCGCTTGAACAGGTTTTATGTGGAGTGGTTGCATCTCTTCTACCTGAATGTATTACAGGGATGGATATTGTATCTGACCAGGAAATATTTCCACTACCTAGTATTGTAAAACAGAAGGTATGGAAATCCACTCATCAAGCAATATTGATTAGACATTCCAAATGGGAACCAATAAGATTGCCCAAGTCCACAGAGATTGTTAGCCTTCTCTGGAGCATAGACTGGACTTTATAGCAAAAGTCTTAGAGCACCTCCTGGCACGAGTGCTGAGACTTTGGACTAGATAATTTCCATGTGAGAGGTAATTATTAGCTTGCTATCAGACATTATTTGAAATTGCCCCTATGACTGAAGGATGTAAGATAATCTTGAAACCTGAAATACCTATAATATCTTGGGGAAATGCTCACAGAGAGTGGGCAGGGCCCAGAAGAGTTCCATAATGAAATGGAAATGGCTGGATCAGGAACAAGCTCCTGGGGGAATGCAGTTACTCAGTGTATTCAAAAGCAGAGAGACTCTTTTCCCCTAGGACTGACTTTGGACCCACTCAAAGAGTTGTTAGATTCTATTGCCAATTGGACAGTGCCCTATTGACAGCTCTCGATTGACCAACAAAGCTGTTTGGCTTATGGATGGCAGTCCCAAGGTGAATGAACAGCCTATTGTTTGGAAGGTTGTTACTCTGATCAAAGAAGGCAAAAACAAATCAGCTCTGTGGGTTGAATTGCATACTGTTTAGGTTTTTACTAACTCTTGGACAGTGGCCAATGGCCTGGCCATATGGTCAGGCGGAAGGACAATGGGAACCTTGTCTATATGGAAATCACAACAGGAATTTTAGGAGTGCATTAAAGCAGGTTATGTTGATGTCCATCAGAAGGACCCCTTTCCAGGATCAAAAGGAACTGGGGCAACAAGCAGACATCCCTGCGTGCTCACCTGAGGTGGCCACGTGTGTTCATGAAATAAATGGACATTGCAGGGCAGCAGCCATGCAGAGAAGAGCTGAATTTAGACTTAGTCCTGTTTTCCCGCTGAGGCACAAAATGCCAGTAAGTACTTTTCTGTCTGCCAAAAAGAGAAAGACCGCACATGGCTGTGGGAAGATGACCTTGGAGGGAAGGCCCTGCACATACCTGGCAAGGTGGACTGATGCTGGTAGGCCTGGAGGGCTACCTGGGTCCTGACAAGAGTAGACACTGATTCTGGACTGGGCTTTGCATGGCCAGTGGTAGATGCAAATGCTCAAAATACTGACACTGTAAAAGGGTCAGAACAAAAGATACTCCACCAATTTGAACCACTGAGTTACATTTCTTCAGATCAAGAAACACTTTCATCTTCAGAGGAGTGGTTCAATAGAGAACTGGGATGGGCAGTTGAAGCATGTGCTATCTAAAACAGCAGGGAATAAGGGTATGAAGGTATGAAAGGCTGGCTTACATGCCTTCACAAGTATGTGCTCACACTCAACGCAAGGGGGCTCAAGGGTTTGTCCCTATTAGATAGATTCTTCTGCTTTTCTGGAAGTTAAAGGGAAGAGGGGCTGGGAGACAATGACTAACAATTCTTCCAATGTGGTATGACTATACCATTTTCTTTTTTCCCTACATTAAACTTTCTTTTTCCCAGCTGATTCAGTGGTTCCAGTAAATCCCAGTGGTCCCAGGACTGCAGATACATAGGATAAGAGTAGTTTACACACCACAGTTCTAGTGTTATTATATTCTGTGTTTTTTCTGTGTGCTTACTATTACCAGTGAGTTTTGTACCTTCAGGTGATTTCTTTTTTTTTTTTTTTTTTTTTTTGAGATGGAGTCTCGCTCTGTCAACCCAGGCTGGAGTGCAGTGGCGTGCGATCTCAGCTTACTACAACCTCCATTTCCTGGGTTCAAGCAATTCTCATGCCTCAGCCTCCAGAGTAGCTGTGATTACAGGCATGCACCACCACGCCCAGCTAATTTTTCGTATTTTTAGTAGAGATGGGGTTTCTCCATGTTGGCCAGGCTGGTCTTGAACTCAGGACCTCAAGTAATCTGCCTGCCTCAGCCTCCCAAAGTGCTGGGATTATAGGCATGAGCCACTGAGCCCAGCGATCATTAACTTTTTTTTTCTTTTTTTTTCTGAGACAGTGTCTCACTCTGTTGCCCAGGCTGGAGTGCAGGGGCGAGATCTCAGCTCACTGCAACCTCCACCTCCCCGGTTCAAGCGATTCCCCCACCTCAGCCTCCTCAGTACCTGGGACTACAAGTGCGTGCCACCACACCCGGCTAATTTTTTTGTATTTTTTGGTAGAGACAGGATTTCACCATGTTGGTCAGGTTGGTCTCGAACTCCTCAAGTGATCATCCCGCCTCGGCCTCCCAAAGTGCTGGGATTACAGGCGTGAGCCACCATGCCCGGCCCAGGTGGTTTCTTATTGCATGTTAACATCCTATTCTTTCTGATCGAAGTATACTCTTCAGTATTTCTTGTAGGACTGGTCTGGTATTGATGAAATCCCTCAGCTTTTGTTTGTCTGGGAAAGTCTTTATTTCTCCTTCATGGTTGAAGGATATTTTCACCAGATATACTATTCAAGGGTAAAAGTTTTTTTTTCCTTCAGCACTTTAAATATGTTAAGCCATTCTCTTCTGGATTGTAAGATTTCCACTGAGAAGTCTGCTGCCAGACTTCTCACCAGTTTGAACCACTGAGCTCCATTGTATATTATTTGTTTCATTTCTCTTGCTGCTTTTAGGATCCTTTCTTTGTCCTTGACTTTTAGTTTGATTATTAAATGCCTTGAGGTAGTCTTTGGGTTAAATCTGCTTGGTGTTCTATAACCTTCTTGTTCTTGGATATTGATGTCTTTCTCTAGGTTTGGGAAGTTCTCTGTTATTATCCCTTTGAATAAACTTTCTGTCCCTATCTCTTTCTCTACCTCCTCTTTAAGTACAATAAGTCTTAGATTTGCCATTTTGAGGCATTTTGATTGTATTTTCTAGATCCTGTAGGCATGCTTCTTTGTTTTTTATTTTCTCTTGTCTCCTGATTGTGTATTTTCAAATAGCCTGTCTTCAAGCTCACTAATTCTTTCTTCTGCTTGATCAATTCGGCTGTTAAAGGACTCCGATGCATTCTTCAGTATGCCAATTGCATTTTTCAGCTCTAGGGTTTCAGCTTGATTCTTTTCAATTATTTTAATCTCTTTGTTACATTTATCTGCTAGAATTCTGAATTAGGACTGCAGATACAAATGCAAGAAGCAGGAATTATTCCTAAGCAAAAAAATATAACTATATTCTTAAACTTTTATGTGAAAATTCCTAAGGGTCTGATGGGGCAGGTTGTGCCTTCACCTTATCTAGCAAAAATGGGGCTAACAATAAACACAAATATATTGCCTACTGCTCAAGATAGCTTACTAGTTCTGTACCTATGTAAGCCTGCCCTATATGAATGGGAGTGGACTGAAGGAGAAGCATTTACAAGACAAGTGTTTCTACCTACAATCTGGATAAATACAGTGGCCTAACCCAATGTCCTTTCCAAAGGTGGAAAAGTTTGGGTATAAATGGAGAGAAAGAGGTGTAGTAGCTGGGAATAAATGAATGAATCCATGCATTAATAAGAAATGCAATGAGGGAAGTCCACTATTACATTAATGCTTAGAAAGAAGATCAGAGAAAAAGATGATACCGCCTCTTCATTCAATTATACTTGACGCCTGAAAGGGTAAAGCCATATTTTGCCAAGACCACTCCTGCTCTGGAAGCTGACAGGATCAAAGGGGAACCTGCCAGCCTGAGTGGCCTTATCCTGGGAGACATTTTGTCATATGATCTGGTGATGAACTGGACTAATTATTAATGACAATGGGACTCTAGTAATGTGTGAACATCTTTTGACTCTTATTTTTCAGGTTACTTCTACCATAATAAAGCACTGGCATTGTTGGCAAGATTATAATTCTAATATTGAGGGTCACATGTATTGGGGAATTGAGCTAAAAGCTCCTATCTCTACTTCCACATTAGCTCCTCTAAATTTTCGGCATATTCATGTTGATATTATCTCTTTGTCTGTTATAAAAATGCTATCCCAAATGCAGTTGCTCAGGAAAGCATAATTGTTTTGCTACAAGGGATCTACGGGTAAAGGCTAGGGACTGGACTGTTGTATAATAGAGTTTGTCTGTTCTTTGACCCAGGTTGCTGGGTAGTAACTTCTAAGCTCTTGGAATTTCCCAAATGATAGGTGTGTCTTTGGTATTCATGGTGAGGCTCTAGATGGATTATACTAACTAGCTGACTCAGGACGAGGACTGGACATGCCAGAAAGACCAAACTGTGTGTTTGGAGAGGTGGGGCTTTGAGCCAAGTGATATCAGCCTGACCTCCCAATCTCTGGGTAGGGGAGTGGAACTGGAAATTGATTTCTTTTTTTAAATAAAAAGTAATACCTTACATTTATTTAATATTTAAGACATTTGAAGCCCCTCACTTAATCTTTTGTTTTGTTTTGTTCTTTTTTTTTAATTTTTGGAGGTACATAGTAGGTATATATATTTATGAATTACATGAGATATTTTGATACAGGCATGCAATGGGTAATAATGACATCAGGGTACATGGGGTGTCCACCACCTCAAGCATTTATCCTTTGTGTTACAAACAATCTGATTATACTCTTTTAGTTATTTTTAAATGTACAATTAAATTATTTTTGACTACAGTCACCTGTTGTGCTAGCAAATACTAGGTCTTATGCATTATTTCCATTTTTTTGTACCATTAACCATCCCCACCTCCCTGCGACTCCTGCCACTATACCACTACCCTTTCTAGCCTCTCCTAATCGTCATTCTACTCTCTATCTCCATGAGTTCAATTGTTTTAATTTTAAGCTCCCACAAATAAGTGAGAACATATGAAGTTTGTCTTTCTGCGTCTGGCTTATTTCACTTAATATAATGACCTCCAGTTCCATCCATGTTCTTGCAAATGGCAGGATCTCATTCCTTTTTATGGCTGAATAGTACTCCATTGTGGATATGTACCACATTTTCTTTATCCATTCATCAGTCGATGGACACTTAGGTTGCTTCCAAATCTTGGCTATTGTCCATAGTGCTGCAATAAACATGGGAGTGCAGATATCTCTTCAATACATTGATTCTTTTCTTTTGGTCATATATCTAGCAATGGAATTTCTGGATCATATGGTAGCTCTATTTTTAGTTTTTTGAGGAAACTTCAAACAGTTCTCCATAGTGGTTGTACTAATTTACATTCCCACCAACAGTGTATGAGGGTTTCCTTTTCTTCACATCCTCACCAGCATTTGTTATGACCTGGCTTTTGGATAAAAGCCATTTTAATAGGGATGAAATGCTATCTCATTGTAGTTTTGATTTGCATTTCTCTGATGATCAATTATATTGAGCACCTTTTCATTTGCTTGTTTGCCATTTGTATGTCTTCTTTTTTACTTCTTTTCTTACTTAAGGGAATGTATGTCTGCTTTTGAGTAATGTCTATTCAGTTCTTTTGCCCATATTTAATTGGATTGTTAGTTTTTTTAATAGAGTTTTATGAGCTCCTTATTTATTCATTCCGAGATGGAGTCTTGCTCTGTCACCCAGGCTGGAGCACAGTGGCGCAACCTCTGCCTCCCAGGTTCATGCAATTCTCCTGCCTCAGCCTCCCGAGTAGCTGGGACTACAGGCATGCACCACCACGCCTGGCTAATTTTTGTATTTTTAGTAGAGATGGGGTTTCACCATGTTGGTCAGGCTGGTCTCGAACTCCTAACCTCAAGTGATCCGCCTGCCTTGGCCTCCCAAAGTGCTGGGATTACAGGCATGAGCCACTGCGCCCAGCCCATATGAACATTTGAACATTTTAACAATATTGATTCTTCCAATCCATAAATAATGAACATGGAAAATCTTTTTTTTTTTTTTTTTTTTTTTTTTTTGAGACAGAGTCTCACCCTGTTGCCCAGGCTGGAGTACGGCAGCACAATCACGGCTCTGCAACCTCTGCCTGCCTGGGCTCAAGCGATCCTGCCACCTCAGCCTCCCAAGCAACATGGTGCATGCCACCACGCCCAGCTAATTTTTTCATTTTTTTTGTAGAGACAGGGTTTTGCCACCATGCCTAGCCAAGGTTTGCTAGTGTTTTGTTGAGGATTTTTGCATCAATATTCATTGGTGATACTGGCCCATAGTTTTATTTTTTTTTTTTGATGTGTCTTCATCCTGGTTTTGGTATCAGGGTAATACTGGCTTTGTAGGAAGAGTTTGGAAGTATTCCCTCCTCCTCTAATATGTCTTTTTCTCTAAATGCTTCTCCTTGTTAAAAGTAAATTTGTAGGCTGGGTGCGGTGGCTCACGCCTGTAATCCCAACACTTTAGGAGGTCGAGGCAGCTGGATCATCTGAGGTCAGAAGGTTCAAGACCAGCCTGGCCAACATGGCGAAACCCTGTCTCTACTAAAATACAAAAATTAGCTGGGTGTGGTGGTACACGCCTGTAATCCCAGCAACTTGGGAGGCTGAGGCATGAGAATTGCTTGAACCAGGGAGGTGGAGGTTGCAGTGAGCTGAGATGGAGCCACTGCACTCCAGCCTGGGCGACAGAATGAGACTCAGTCTCAAAAAAAAAAAATTTGTTAGGGATAAAAGACTTTAAGGTGATAAAAATAGGATTAATAAATTCAGCTTGTTCCATGATGGGGGAACTTATCTCCCTTAGAGCCTTTTCTATCTCATGGGCCAATGTTTATTCCACCATGTATGCTGTTGCCATTTTGTATTAAAGGCCTGAGTGCTGTTAGCATACATGTTTTGTACCCAGAATTTGTGAGTTCCCCATAGTAGGGTTCGATGAGTGGACATCACACCTAGGTGTAATTAGTTTGAGTATGCCATAAGGCCTCCCATAGCCTTCCTTGTCTCAGTATGGGGCTGTTCCCCAGGAGAATTTGGACAAATCATGGGATGTCTACTGCTTTAATACTATAAGAAACCCATTTGGGCTGGGCATGCTGGCCCACATCACAGTAATCTCAACACTTTGGGAGGCCAAGCCGGGAGGATCACTTGAAGCCAGGAGGATCACTTGAACCCAGGAGTTCAAGACCAGCCTGGGCAACATATTGAGACCCTGTCTCTACAAAAAAAATAGAAAAAATTAGCTGGATATGCTGGCATATGCCTGTAGTCCCAGCTACTCAGGAGGCTGAGGTGGGAGGATTACCTGGGCCTGGGAGATTGAGGTTGCAGTGAGCTGTGATTGCATCACTGCATTTCAGCCTGGGTGATAGAGCGAACCCTTGTCTAAAAAAAGAAAAAATAGGCTGGGTGCAGTGGCCCACACCTGTAATCCCAGCACTTTGGGAGGCTGAGACGGGCGGATCACCTGAGGTTGGGAGTTTGAGACCAGCCTGACCAACACAGAGAAACCCCATCTCTATTAAAAATACAAAATTAGCCGGGCGTGGTGGCACATGCCCGTAATCCCAGCTACTCGGGAGGCTGAGGCAGGAGAATTGCTTGAACCCAGGAGACAGAGGTTGCGGTGAGCTGAGATCATGCCATTGTACTCCAGCCTGGGCAACAAGAGCAAAACTCCGTCTAAAAAAAAATAAAAATAATAAAAAATAAAATAAAACTTTTTTCTATTCTGTTTAACAGCTTTTCATCCACGAAAACAAGGGTGATCTGCATTTGTGCATGGAGCTCATTGGGACAGGCTGGCCATGCTGCTGCTGTATTTCGCTCATTTTAACTGGAGACCTTTCTAAGCATTCAGTGATCAAGGTTTACAGTTACACAGTGATTAGTCTGCCATGAGTTGTAAATCACACAATCCAAAGGCCCCAAAAAGAGTAGTTCCTGGAAATTCCTTCCCAAATGGTATCCTTCGTAGTAGATGTAACCTGAAAATTAAGAGTCAAAAGTCTCTGGCGCATTGCTAGAGTTACATCCTGTTGTCAGCAATTAGTGCAGCTCATCATCATATCACATGACCAAATCTCAGAGCAGTGCCACTCAGGTTTGCAGGCTGCCATTTGACCTTGTCAGGGCCCAACAGCAGGAGTCGTCTTGGCAAATGCATGGCTTCCCCCTTTCAGGCATCTGGTATAATCGTGCTAAGAGACAATCTTATTCTCTTGTTTCGAGTCTCTCCAGACACCAATGTGATATTGGATTCCCCTCATTGTATAACCCATTTACTCATTCCTTTACCCTCAGCTACTATGTCTCTTCCTCACCATCTGTCATTTATTTATTTTTTTTTTTTGAGATGGAGTTTTACTCCATTGCCCAGGCTGCAGTGCAGCGGTGCAATACCGGCCCACTGCAACCTCCACTTCCTGGGTTCAAGCAATTCTCCTGCCTCAGACTCCCAAGTAGCTAGAATTACAGGCACCATCATGCCCAGCTAATTTTTGTATTTTTAGTAGAGACGGGGGTGTTGCCATGTTGGCCAGGATGGTCTTGATCTCCTGACCTCCTGATCCACCCGCCTTGGCCTTCCAAAGTGCTGGGATTACAGGCGTGAGCCACCGCGCCCGGCCTATCATTGATTTTTACCAAATTTTTCCACCTTTGTAAGGGACATTAGGCTTGGCCACTGTGCTGATCCACATTGCCAGCAGTAATAGTAGTGTTGCAGGTGCCTCGCCCTCAGTCTGCTCCCATGCATATAAGGAAGAGTTACAAAGGTGCGGAACTAGTGGGCTATCTTGACCACTAGGCAATACAGCTGCATTCACTAAGAAGCCAAATTTAGCCAGATGCTGTGAAGCCACAACACACCCCATCAGGCCCTTAGTAAATCTGGCATGAAGGTTTAAAGGTACAGTTGCAGTTTTTTCTTTTTTTGTTTTTTTTGAGACGGAGTCTCGCTCTGTTGCCCAGGCTGGAGTGCAGTGGCGTGATCTCGGCTCACTGCAAGCTCTGCCTCCCGGGTTCACGCCATCCTCCTGCCTCAGCCTCCTGAGCAGCTGGGACTACAGGCACCCGCCACCATGCCTGGCTAATTTTTTGTACTTTTTAGTAGAGACGGGGTTTCATCGTGTTAGCCAGGAAGGTCTCGTTCTCCTGACCTTGTGATCCGCCCTCCTCGGCCTCCCAAAGTGCTGGGATCACAGGCGTGAGCCACTGCACCCAGCCAGTTGCAGTTTTTTCTTTGAGAATTGTCCCTTCTTCTGACACCCACATTTGCAGTCCTAGTCGTGGGGCCACTGTATTGGGTAGGAAAAAAGTAGTTGAGATGATGTGGGAACAAATCATATAGTCATACCAACAACTCCGCCCTCCCTCTTCCCAGATCCCCCAGAAAAATTAGGGGAATCCAACCAATGGAGACCTCCCTTTGCTCCTCTCAAGCTGAATGTGAGCACACACTTTTTTTTTTTTTAAAGACACAGTCTTGCTTTTGTTGCCCAAGCTGGATTGCAGTGGCGTGATCTCGGTTCATTGCAACCTCCACCTCCTGGGTTCAAGTGATTCTCCTGCCTCAGCCTCCCAAGTAGCTGGGATCACAGGCACGTGCCACCACATCTGTCTAATTTTTGTATTTTTAGTGGAGATGGGGTTTCACCATATTGCCCAGGTTGGTCTCGAACTCCTGACCTCAAGTGATCCACCCACCTCAGCCTCCCAAAGTGCTGGGATTACAGGCATGAGCCACTGTGCCCGGCCAGAGCACACATTTTTGAAGGTATGTAAGCCACCCCTTCATGCTTTTATCTCCCTCCCCCACTGTAGACAGCAAATGTTTCGACTCTCTTTTCCAATTTTCTATCAAAGCGCTACTCTGAGGACGGTATGCAACACCGTATGTCCATTTGCTGTGGTATTGCTTGGCCCATTGTTGGACACTAGGTGCTGTCAGTTGTGTTCTTGGATCTGAAGAAATGTAACTTGGTGGTCCATATTGGTACAGCATCTTCTGTTCTAATATAGCATCTTGTAGTATTTTGCACATTTGCATCTACGACCTGATATGCAAAGCTACTTTAATGTGCCCCTTACCTTTCCATAGGGTTATGCCCCAGGTGGGCAACACTTTAATAGTTCAGTTTTTCACTGCCCATCTGCCAGGCCATTGGCTACTGCCCATAAGTCAGCAAAAACCCAAACACAGGGGCTTTTATCATTCGATTCTTCTATCACTGCAAGGAAAACAGCATGCAATTCAGTCCACTGAGGTGATTTGTTCTTACCTTCTTCAAAGATTTTCCATCCTCAGTCAGAGTGCAAAGGCCTTCCAAACAAGGTCTTTCTACCCATAAACCAAGCAGCTTTTTGTTGTTCAACCAAGAGCTGTTCATAGGGCCCCTTCTATGTGGCACTAGGATCCATCAGCTCCTCGGTGCTTCCAAAGTTGGCCCTAGGGGGAAAGAGGCTTCCTGCTCCTGAATACCATTAGCACCTCCTTGCATTCCCTGAGCAGCAGACTCCTGAATAAACCATTTCCATTTTATTCAGGAACTCTTCTGGGCACTGCCTTCGTTACAAAGTGTTCCTCTGACATCACCCAAGACATTATGGGTATTTCAGGTTTCAGGATTATTTTGTGTCCTGCCGTCATGGAGGCAGTTTCAGGAAACACCCAAGAGCCAGCTAGTAATTGTCTCTCAAATGGCCTATACCATACACCGCCTGGAAATGTTCTGGCCCAATCTCAGCCATCACCACTGAGTGCACCTCCCAGGTTTCTGCCATAAGCCCTTCCGATCGAGTCTACACAGGGCCATTGTACAGAGAATTGGCCACACCAGTATGATTAAAGTGCTAACCTCCCTTTGTCCACCAGCTATTCTACACCATCTCAAATTAGCAACCAGTGTGGGCTCAGGCAGTCGGACAGGTACTTTACTGCCCAAAGACCCTACTTGTTCCCTCAGCCCTGTATGTCACTCCAACCCACAAACTCCTAACACACACACACACACGCACGCACACACAGCCCTTGTCCAGTCCCAGGGAACATGCCTTGACCAGTCTACCACAGACTCTAGCCTTCTCTTCTGTCCTAATGGGGTGGTGGTGGTGACCTGACCTGCTCCTATCCCTGTCTCTGCAGTGAGATTTACTGCCACGGGGAGCTCCTAAACCAAGTTCAAATGGCCAAGCTCTACCAGGATGACAAGCAGTTTGTGGACATGCCACTGTCTATAGCTCCAGGTGAAGCACCTAGGGCTGAACGTCCTCTCCAGAGAACCTTCTCTCCAAAGAAGGCAGGGGGCAAGACCAAGTAGAGAGGCCCCTGTGATTAGGGAGTGGCTTGTGACACCCTGCTGACCCCTCCCTGCTGCCTGCTCTCCAGAACAAGTCCTGCAGACCTTCACTGAGCTGTCCAGGGACCACAATCACAGCATCCCCAGGGAGCAGCTGCAGGCGTTTGTCCACGAACACTTCCAGGCCAAGGGGCAGGAGCTGCAGCCCTGGACCCCTGCAGACTGGAAAGACAGGTATGACTCTGGAAGGGGAACAAGAGAGGGTTCCTTCCAACTGAGCTGCCTCCTTGAACCCTGTGGGGCCTGTGTTCTTTCAGCCCCCAGTTCCTGCAGAAGATTTCAGATGCCAAACTGCGTGCCTGGGCAGGGCAGCTGCATCAGCTCTGGAAGAAGCTGGGGAAGAAGGTATCAGCGTCCTGGGCCTGCCCAAGGCCTGACCAAGGGAACTGAAGAGAGGAATGTGCCTGGGGCCCACAGTGTCTTCGGAGCACAGATCAGGTTTCCTTTCCTGAGAAACCAGTCCCTGGCCCCTGGGTCCCCAAATAGAGGCCCTCTAGAAAGAACTTCTGAGGTCAGAAGGGCAGCATCTACTTCTAACATCTCGCCTCCTCCAGGAAGGCTCCCTAGCCTCCCCAGGAAACCCTAGCCTGCCCTGCCACCTCCAGGCTGCCCAGCACTGCCTCTGGCACCACTGGGTAGATGTTCACTGCCTGCTGGGCTCTCTCCTTCCCTGAGCTCCTGGGCCAGGCCTCCGTCTCAGGAGGAATCAGTGCTACTGCTGCGTGGGGCCAGGCCCTGTGTTCAGCCCTGTCCTGAGCTACTTTGCTCATCCACATCCCCTCACCTGGGGAAAGGGTTTGGGGTTTTATCCCCACCTGGCTCAGAGAATGGGGGTGATGGGCCAATCCTCTGGGCCCGGCTGGGTGGTGGCAGCAAGGATGGGGAGTAGAGCGGAAATGGGGGGCTGGCACCCCCCTCACCCACCCAGCCCACCCTGGGTCTTCGTAATGGCCACTGCTTGGTGGATACCTGCCCAGTGCCTGGCTCAGTGGTCGGGTCTTCTACCCGGCACCAAGTTGAGCTGGGACTCCCAAGGCCGGCAGGTGAGGGATGAGGACCCCAAGGCTCCCAGCGGCCAGGCCTTGATTACATGGCTGAGTAGCAGTGGAGCCAGCGCTGAACCCAACTGCCTGGCTCCAAAGCTGTGACTCCCGGGGCCTCAGATCCCCCAGCTGCCTGTAGCCTCTGCTTCCGTGGGGATTCTAGGCTCCCCTTGCCCTCTCTCCCGACTCCAGATGAAGCCAGAGGTTCTCAGCCACCCTGAGCGGTTCTCTCTCATCTACTCAGAACATCCCTTCATTGTGCCTGGCGGTCGCTTTGTTGAGTTCTACTACTGGTGAGCGCCCAGGCCCAAGAGACCAAGGGGCCTGCAGGACTGGCAGTGGTGGAGAAACCCAGGGCCAGCAGGGTGTCTTCAGCAGGGCAGAGTGCCCCACTGGCTGGTGTGCAGGGCAGAGGGAGGCAGCAGGGTGGTGCCTAAGCTGCCCCTTCCCCAGGGACTCCTACTGGGTCATGGAGGGTCTGCTCCTCTCAGAGATGGCTGAGACGGTGAAGGGCATGCTGCAGAACTTCTTGGACCTGGTGAAAACGTGAGGGGGGCCAGGCACCTCCAGCCTAGGTGGGGAGGAGAGGCAGGTGTGCCACGGGCATGCAGCTGGATTGCCTTGGTGCCAGTTGCTGGGGAGAGGGCATCTCAGCAGGCCTTCCCCTTGGCAGCTATGGGCATGTCCCCAATGGTGGGCGCGTGTACTACCTGCAGCGGAGCCAGCCCCCACTCTTGACCCTCATGATGGATTGCTACTTGACTCACACCAATGACACCGCCTTTCTACAGTGGGTACCACCCTCCCTGTGCTGCTCTGCAGACCCACCCATCCCTCAGACCTCTCAGGGCTGGGGATGGGCAGCACGCCTGGGCTGAGGTGTTGTCTGCTTCACTCCAGGGAAAACATTGAAACACTAGCCTTGGAATTGGACTTTTGGACCAAGAACAGGACTGTCTCTGTGAGCTTGGAGGGAAAGAACTACCTCCTGAATCGCTATTATGTCCCTTATGGGGGACCCAGGTGAGGAACTGGGCAGCCCACCCCTCAATCTCTTACCTGCTCACTCTGGTTAGAGCATCACAATGCCCCGGGCAGGAGGAGGAGTGACTTAGCCTGGCCTCTCAGATGGTGACACCGAGAGCCCTCTGCAATCCTGGGCTGTGGGGCCCAAGGGCAGCTGGATCAAGATGGCTCAGCCTCTTCTTGACCACAGAGGGGCTTAGTAGCTACTAGTGCCAGGCTGCCCACCTCTCCTCTTTGCCAGGCCTGAGTCCTACAGCAAAGATGTGGAGTTGGCTGACACCTTGCCAGAAGGTGAGCAGCAGGAGGGTGAGGGAGGGCTGGGGGCAGGGCAGCTGCACACCTGCTGTGTCAGGCTCTGGTCTCCTGTCAATGGCTGCCTATCCTGCAGCCGGGACTGGCTGGTTCCCTGCTCTGTCCTCACAGGAGACCGGGAGGCTCTGTGGGCTGAGCTCAAGGCTGGGGCTGAGTCTGGCTGGGACTTCTCTTCACGCTGGCTCATTGGAGGCCCAAACCCCAACTCGCTTAGCGGCATCCGAACAAGCAAACTGGTGCCTGTTGACCTGAATGCCTTCCTATGCCAAGCAGAGGAGCTGATGAGCAACTTCTATTCCAGGCTGGGTGAGCACCCCAGTAGGGAAGGGAAAGCAGGGAGCTTGGTTTCCTGCTCAGGCTTGGCAATAGAACTGGAAGTAGGACCCTTGTGTGACAGGCCTTCAGCAACTTAGCCTGTCGAGCCCCGCCCTAGTGGAAGCCTGCACTCACATTTGCGTACCAGACAAGAGAACAAACGGAGCCAACCCTAATCCTCTCTTCCTCCCTTTCTTACTGTGAGGGTCTCTAGGGTCTGTGAGGGGAACCCTAGTCCACGCATCCAAAATCCTTCCACTCCCTCTCCCTCAGACAGCTGCCCTTGACCCCCTAAGAGCTAGGGGAATCCACCCAGCCAGTACCCTTGGGAGGATAGACCCTGGAGACCCTGGGGACAGATCAGCTCCAGTGGTTCCCTGGGAGCAGTGCGGGGCCATAGGCCAGAAATGTGGTGGGCTCCAGATCGGCACATCCCCTTGGTCATCAGGGTGTCTCAGCCTTTGCAGAGAAACACAAAGCGGGGAGGCTAA
The DNA here is from genome assembly GCF_000001405.40 of Homo sapiens. Lineage (NCBI taxonomy): Eukaryota > Metazoa > Chordata > Mammalia > Primates > Hominidae > Homo > Homo sapiens. The sequence goes on along the minus strand of NC_000011.10, from coordinate 118,660,038 downwards.
AGTAGAACCACGAAAAAAGCCTGGGGCAGCAGGCAGGGCACTGGCTGCTGGCTCTAAAGGCAGCACTGCCCCAGGGAACGACTCCCAGGCCACGAAGTACAGAATCCTGCGGTCGCAGCGCTTGGCCGCCCTGAACACAGTCCTGTGGGATGAGCAGACCGGAGCCTGGTTCGATTACGACCTTGAGAAGAAGAAGAAAAACCGGGAGTTTTACCCATCCAACCTCACTCCACTCTGGGCCGGGTGTTTCTCTGACCCTGGCGTGGCGGACAAGGCTCTGAAATACCTGGAGGTGAGGGCACAGCAGGTGGCTCGGGTCCACTGCAGGCAGCACCGCCCCCTCCCGACCCTGAACAGGACCTGCAGGGGAGGGCGCTTCCTCCGGCTATGCCCCTTGTCCCAGCCTGCGGGTCCCACCAGAGCCACCGGGGGGCAGCTGTGAGCCGAGAAAAGAAGAGCCAGGAAGGGGACGTCTGGCTTCCCGCGGGGTCCAGCGTCCTGTCCTGGCTCCCAGTCCAGCCCCACCCACAGTCATGGGAATGTCTGGGACCTTCTAGGACAACCGGATCCTGACTTACCAGTATGGGATCCCGACCTCTCTCCAGAAGACAGGCCAGCAGTGGGATTTCCCCAATGCCTGGGCCCCCCTGCAGGACCTGGTCATCAGAGGTAGGGAGGCAGGGCTGACACAGCCAAGGACCCTTCCCAGGGTGTAGAGGTGGGCCTCCCTGGTGCTGGGGAGGCATGAACAAAAGACACAAGAGGCCCCGTATCCTTTCTCTCGCTCCTCTGCTCTCCTGGCCTCCACTTGACACTTATGTCCACCCAGCCTGTCCAGTGCAATCAGTCCTGTTCGCCCTTCAAACCAGGGCCGTCGATTAAGGGCAGTTTGGCCTGTGGTCTCAGGAAGGAAGTCTTAGGGCCCAGGCCTCTTTCCCTCCTTGGGGAGAGTAGGGTGCAGCCACTGCTCTGTCTGGGATGGGAGACCTGGAGGTTGAGTCCTGCCTGCAATGGGGTCTAGGCCTGGCCAAGGCACCTTTACGTCGGGCCCAGGAAGTGGCTTTCCAGCTGGCTCAGAATTGGATCCGAACCAATTTTGATGTCTACTCGCAGAAGTCAGCCATGTATGAGAAGGTGAGCTGGCCCAAGCCCTCCCTGCACCCCCAGGCTGTCCCAGTGGCCACTCCTGAGCACTGCAGGGGCTGCTGGGCAGGCAGAGCAGCTTCTCCCCAGGGGCTCTGGTTGTTTGTTGTTCCTGGAGCTGGGGGGCAGTACCTGACATACAGCCCACCCGCTTGTCCCCAGTATGACGTCAGCAACGGTGGACAGCCCGGTGGGGGAGGAGAATATGAAGTTCAGGTGAGCAGGCCAGGGGTGGGCTGGCCAACACCAGGGAACTCCTGAACTCTGCTGCTCATGACCCCCGCCCCAGGCCTCAGTGTGCTCACCTGCATGTGGGCCCGGGGGAGGAGCTGACTGGTGCTTCCTGTACCGCTGGGGTTAGGCAGGGCCAGTGCCCCTGGGGAGAGAGCCCACAGCCCCCACCAAGGGTATGAGGCTTCCCCAGAAACTGGCCCCACTGCCCTGCCTCTCCCAGGAGGGATTTGGCTGGACGAATGGCGTGGTCCTGATGCTGCTGGACCGCTATGGTGACCGGCTGACCTCAGGGGCCAAGCTGGCTTTCCTGGAGCCCCACTGCCTGGCGGCCACCCTTCTGCCCAGCCTCCTGCTCAGCCTCCTGCCATGGTGACAGCCCTCCTCTCCTCACCTGGCCCCAGCTCCTGCCCCATTAAACCTCTGCACCAGTTCCTGCCTTCCCCTGCCTCTTCATGCCCTCCTACCTCCCAGCCTGTCCTCAGAGCGAAGTGGAGGGCAGGGTCACGACCTGGAGGTCATGGGTAGGGGCCTAGCTCCCTCCTGGAACCTTGAATAGGGTGGAAATCCTGCTCTGGAGGGAAGACCTATCCCCAAGTGCCTCAGCGCCAAGCCCCACACCGGCCTTCCACTCACTTCCGTAGTCCAAAGGCTTTATTGTTCTGCTGAAATGCTTACAAATACTGAAAACCCCCAGCCTGGGCCCAGGCAACCAAGGGCTCAATGCTGGGAAGGAGAGCAGGGGAGGTGGGCTTAGTGTTAAGGCGTGAAGGGCGAGGCCAGACAGCTGGAGGCCTGGTCCTCCACTCTCCATTTCCATCACCCTTCGGAGGCTGAAGGAAGGGCGGCGGCACCACAGGGCCCTTCCCCTCTGCTGCATCATCTCCTGCTCAGGCTTTCTCTCTAGGAGCATTGGAGGAATCCTCTTTCCCTGTCGGAAACTCAACACTGTACAGAACTCCAACCATAACCCTTCTAGCTTCCTCTCCCAACTGCATCGCTCCTCCTCTGTTCCATAGATCCCCCGGCTTCATCCCTTCTGGCTCTAAGCAAGGCACCAGTGGAAGGGAGAGGGCTGGACTGGGGGGCTGGCAGCCTGTGCATCAGGGCTGAAGACACAGGCAGGGGGAAGGAAAAAGGTATTCAGTCCCTTCCCCCCAGCATGAGATGCCCAGGGGCCTGGGCTGGAGAGATGATGGCACGTACCCTCAGATGGCCCACAGCTGAAGCAGTGGGCTGGGCCACAGAGCTGCAGCAATTAGTATGTAACCATGGCAATGAAGCAGTCACTATGGTAACCATGGTGATGAGTCTGCAACTAGGGGATGGAGCTGGGACCTCAAGGTTGACACTTGAGATCTCTGGCCCTTGAGCAAGGTAATAAAAAGTATAAGGGAAAGGAGAACAATGGGGCAGAGCGGGGTTTGAGAAATGGGAAGCGGGCCGCCTGAGCTATTACCCCACTCTGGATGTGGCTCTGCTCAGCCCCCAAAGCCCCTGGCAAAGGGGTCTGAGGCAGGAGGGGATCTTTGGCAGCTTATGGTACCATAATTTGTCTTTTAGAAAAGAGAAAACAGGCTGGGGAGAGCAGGTGTCAGGTCAGAGCTGAGGCCCTCTCTGTGACAGCTCCTCAGCCCTGGCTGGGCCTGGGGCAGGACCCTAAAGGGTTACTGCAAGTTCTGGGCTCCCAGGAGGCAGCAAAGCCACCTCTACTTTTCTTCTTCTGGCTGGTTCTTCAGGAGGCCAGAGCCCAGAAACTCACAGGACCAAGCTCCTTACAGAATATTAAAGTCTTCTTATACAAAAGCCCCAGTTGTGCTCTGCCAGGAGGCCCACGGCAGTTAGTTCATGAACTGAGTGTAGCCCTCAGCCCCTGTGACAATGACATCCATCCAGATACGCATGGCCTCTGCAGATGGGGCCACCATGTAGTACAGCCGGTCATGGGTCTTTACGCAGAAGGTGAGGGCTGGGTTCGGGCTCTGCCAAAGGAAGAGAGGAAGGTCTAAGATGGGGCTCACCCATGCCCAGGAATATTCTCACCTGCCTCCCTATCTGCCCTTTCCCCTCCCAGCCCCTAGAAAGCCCTGGAGCTTAGTCCTAAATAGGTCCAGAGCCTAGACCCTACCAGTCCATGTGAGCCCCAGGCTGAAATGTTCCCTTCTCACACCACAGCAGTCCTGGGCTCTCTAAACTCCCTGGACCCTGACAGAGCTATACCCTGACAAGGGGGGCACTGGTCCTTGGCGCCCCAGGTTCAAAAGTGAGTATCAAGAGGATCAAACACAAAGGCTTTTCCAGTGAGGACCAGAGTTTCCTCTCAGCAAAACAGCGGCAGACAGAAAAAGCAACAAGTAGGATGCCAGGCCCTGGGACCCCAGAGGAGCAGAGATCAGGACTGGGGTGGGCACCAGAGGGCTGGGGGCAGGAAGGCTGACTTGCACTAGGGAAGCAGGCCCCAGCCTCCAATATCTCCTGTTTATCAATTTCTCCCTATTAAATCTAGTCTTTAAGGGTCCCCTCCACCCCTTCCGGCCATCCCTTCTCTATCACCAGACCCCCATGGGGTCTGCTGTCATTTCCAGGAGAGGGAGGCAACAAGGAGAGAGAGGCACCCAAGCCCACAGGAGCTTCTTGCTCTTTGCAACCTGCTTTCTGCTCCTCCCTTGGGCCTGGGGGAAGGGAGGGGGATGAAGGGGAGGTCAAGGGTCAGGGATGAGTGGGGTACAGGAGGTGTTAATGTGCTGGTTACAGCTAAGTGGGGAGGGGTACCTCAGTCACCATAGTGAAGCGGAAAAACCTCTTCTGGGAAGGGGAGAGGGAGAAAGGAAGAGAAAGTTGACAAAGAGAACAAGGACTGGGTTGGAGCCTCTGTAGAGGGCAGGCTGGAGGCCTTTGCTCCCAGAGCCCCACCAGGCCACCCCTTCCCCATGGCTGTCCCTCTGGCCCCCCTCTGGTGCCCTCCACCCCTGACCTTGGCTGCACTGCGCAGGTGGTCGTAGTACACTTCCTCAATGGCCTGGAAATAGATGACTCCCTTCAGCTTCGTCTCATGCTTGTCTGCAAAGCAAGTAAGGGTGGGCTATGGAGCCGGTCACACTTCAGGTCTAGCTCCATTTACGTGGAGCTCCATGGCCTGAGCTTCCAAATCTGGGAAATGGGGTGAAGATCCTAGTCTCCCAAGACCCCCAAACAGAACCCAATACAGAATCCTAAAGATATGGATAATGCTCAGCCTCACTCATAATCACAGAGAAATACAAATCAGAACTCCACTGAGATACCACTTCTCACCTACCCCAATGACAAAAACATACAACAAATATACAGCACACTTTTGGCAAGTCTATGGTGAAGGAGGCAGTCTAATGACATGTGGGAGTATAAATTGGTAAAACCCTTATGAACAATTTGGCCATGTCTATCAAAATTAGAAAGGCATTTATCTTTTGATCCAATGCTTACATTTAGGAGAATTTCTCTTTCACATATACAAAGTAACACACACAAGATTATTAAGTATAGTATTGTCTGCAGTCACAGAAGATTGGAAACAACCAAAATATCAATCAAGTGGAGACTGGTTAATAAGTTAGTGTGTGTCACATCATGGAAGACTAAATACAGCTGTTAAGTAAAATGATATAGGCCAGGCATGGTGGCTCATGCCTATAATTCCAGCATTTTGGGAGGCCGAGGAGGGTGGATCACCTGAGGTCAGGAGTTCGAGACCAGCCTGGCCAACATGGTGAAACCCCGTCTCTACTCAAAATACAAAAATAAGCCGAGTGTGGTGGTGCATGCCTATAATCCCAGCTATTCGGGAGCCTGAGGCAGGAGAATCACTTGAATCCGGGAGGCGGAGGTTGCAGTGAGCTGAGATCACGCCACTGCACTTCAGCCTGGGCAAAAAGAGCAAAACTCTGTCTCAAAAAAAAAAAAAAAAAAAAAGAGAAAGAAAGAAATATCTGATACAGATACAGACTCAGAAATAAGTCTATAATTTATATCGAGATATAATGTCTAGATATAGATAAATTTGATATAAAATGATCTCTAAGACACATTAGGAGGTAAAAAGAATGTACTGTATGCCACCTTTTGTGCAAGAAAAAGTATTTGTTTATATTCTCCTATAGAAACTCTATAAGGATACACAAGAGATTTATAAAATTAGTTACTGTAGTGGGTGGGGCATAATTCTCAATTTAAACCTTTTTATATATTTTTTATTTTTGAACTATATGAATACTTTTACCTATTTTTTAAAAAAAAAGATAGGAAGCACACTCCCTTGATGTGTACAGAGCAGTTAGCATATACATATAGCATATAGCCTCTGGAGGTCAGAGGTGGCAGGAAAGGGGCAAACTACCTGAGCAGAGGTGACCATTCAGTGAGAAGGGGCAGGATCCCTGTCAAGGGAAAGCACAGGGCCTGGGCCAACTTGTCTGTGGCACTGCTCAGATGCTACAGCTGACATCCTTAACAGTGAGCCTGCGTCCTACAGGAGAGGTCACGCGAATCACTAAATTCAATGGTGCCGGCTGGAAGTAAGTTCCTTCCCGAGTGCTCCTCCTCTCCCCGACCTCTGCAGCTTGGTAAAGGCAACTTACGGACTGCTGCCAACATGTCCCTCCAGCCTTGTATCATAACCTTCCCCTGCATGAGTCCCAAGTCCTATCTGAGCTTCTCACTGTTCCCTTAATAATACACCCTGTATGCTGGAACTATCTCCTCCAGCCCATTTCCTTAGCAAACTCCTAAATGATCTTCAAGACCCATTGCAAAATGTCACCACGACAGTGCACAGTTGTGCTCTCCTGTGTTCCCAAAGCACAGATGCTCCTCTGTATAGAACTTATGCTGAATCTGAATCCTCCTTTATCCATTCCATGGTCTACCTCCCCCAACACAAACAACTATGTGCCTGGCACACAGTAGGTACCCAATACTGAAGGAATGAGTCCTAGACACTGGGATTCAGAGAGAAGTCAGAGACCCTTCTCTTAGGAAACTACAATCTCACAGTGAGGAAAATACAGACACACAGCTATGTAAATAGCTACTAAAGGCATGGCTAGGAACCCCATGAGACCACCTACGCATCACAGGTTGTCATGAGTATTAAATGAAAGAACACATTTAAGGTATTCAGCACAGTGTGTGGCACATAACGTGGCACTGTTATTATATCATTACACTCCTGGATTGATGTCACATGGAAAAACAGATGCTGGATAATGCAGGGGTTCAGAGGAGGGTGGGAATCACTCCTAGTAAGGTGGGGTCAGGAAAGGCTTCCTAGATATAATACGTAATCTGGACTCCATGCAATGAGGGGGTTTCTATCGAGTTGGCAGGAAGAGGGTCCAAGCGGAATAGGCAAGGCACCCATGGCCCTTATCCAGCCACAGGCCCATTTCTGACATTTCCTCCTTGGTAAAGGACCAGCCCTGCCTGGCTCTGGGCCTGCTCAGCCCTCCAGCTCCTGTTCTCTCCCATCCCTTCCTTCACAGGAAATAGTAACACACTCCTGCCTCCGCTTCCTTACCACCCACCTATCCTCAATCTTGTGCAGTCTGGCTCCTGGCCCCATGCACAGCAGAAAGCCTTCTCTTGACAAGCTCCCATCCCTGAGTCTAACAGCCTTTGGGCCACATCTTTCTTGGCCTTCCTGCAGCATCCATCACTGCTGGTGACACCTCCTGCTTGTGAATGTCTGCTCCTTTGGCTGGCTTCCTTCCCTGTTTCTGCTCCCATTTCTATTCCTGCCATCTGAACTTAGTCTCCTTTTGTTCCACAGGCGCTAACTAAGGCCACATATGCCAAGCACCAGCCCAGCACCTGGCATGTGGTTAGTGCTGGCTTCCTGTCTCCTGCCCCTTCTCCCTCTGCTGGTCTCTCCTCTTTCTCCTTCCCCACACGGGTAGGCCTGCCCCAGGGTTCGGCCCTCTCCCTCCCCTCTTCTCTGCTCTGCAGTCTGACTGCCCAGGTTCAGTCTTATCTCTGTCTCTTAGGAGCTGTGGGACCTTGGGCAATTTACTTAACCTCTCTGAGCATCATTTTCCTCATCGGTAAAATGGCATAAAAATAGTGTTTCCCTCATAGGATTATTTCAAAGATTAATGAGATGATGCATGCAGAGTGCTTAGCACAGCGCCTGGCTCATGCAAGTGCTTGATAAAGGTGATCTGCTATTACTATTATTCCACCTGATTCAACTATTACTCCACCTCTAATCCTGACCATCCTCCTAAACCTAGATGTCCCAGAGGCACTTCAATCTCAACATGCCTAAAATGGAACTCCTTTCCCCAGGCATGTTTCTTCCTCTCCAAAGTCCCTAGTCCCTCTACCTTCCTGGCCCAGAGAGAAACATGGGACACCTGTGCTTCTGGTCCTCCTGCCTCCTCAAAACACCCAAGACCCAGGGTGGTCAGGGAAGGTTTCTTAGAGGGGCCAGCAGGTGATCAGGGACCAGGTTAGGGGGGAAGTGGGCACTCCAGACCTGAGCATCTCTGGCACCAAACTCTGCAGCCCTTTCCCCTCTTCTGAGCTCCTAGCAGGATTGCTCTTCCCAGCTGTGTGGCTAGGTGAGGCTGTGTGACTGGCAGACAGCCCCATCTATGACTTCTGGACAGAAATGATGTGTGTCACTTCCCAACTAGGACATTTAATACCAAGGCCGGGCTCACTTAAGCCTCTCTTTCCCTCTGCCACTGTGGCCAGAAATGTTCCCAAAAGCCATGCTGAAGCAAAGACAACGCTGATGCACAGCAAAGCCCCCACCAACTCACAATGTGCAGTCGACATGTATTGGGCATAAGGAAGCCTAGTACTTGTAAGCCACTGAGATTTCCTTTTTTTTTTTTTTTTGAGACGGCGTCTTGCTCTATCGCCAGGCTAGAGTGCAGTGGCACGATCTCAGCTCACAGTAACCTCTGCCTCCTGGGTTTAAGCAATTCTCCTGCCTCAGCCTCCCGAGTAGCTGGGACTACAGGCGCGTGCCACCATGCCCAGCTAATTTTTGTATTTTTAGTAGAGACGGGGTTTCACCACGTTGGCCAGGATGGTCTCAATCTCTTGACCTCGTGATCTGCCCGCTTCGGCCTCTCAAAAGTGCTGGGATTACAGGCATGAGACACCATGCCCGGCCTTTTAATTTATTTTTTTGAGACAGAGTCTCACGCTGTTGTCCAGGCTGGAGTGCAGTGGCGCAGTCTCGGCTCACTGCAACCTCTGTCTCTTGGGTTCAAGCAATTCTCGTGCTCAGCCTCCCGAGTAGCTGGGACTACAGGTGCATGCCACCACGCCCAGCTAATTTTTGTATTTTTAGTAGAGACAAAGTTTCACCATGTTGCCCAGGCTGGTCTCAATCTCTTAGCCTCAAGCTATCTGCCCACCTTGGCCTCCCAAAGTTTTGGGATCACAGGTGTGAGCCACTGCACCTGTCCAGCCACTGGGATTTTATGACTTCTTGTTACTGCAGCATACCTTACCTCCTCCTGACTAGGGTATAACACAGCATCCCACGCTCCAAGTGGGAAAAGTACAAGGGAGTTCCAGGGATGGGAAACTAGGCTAGATGCTGGAACGGAGAGAGCTGAGAGAGCAAGAGGGTCTAGTCGGCCTGTTCCTGGGCTATCCTGAGCACTCTTTGGCACTGTTCAACTGCTTGTCTTGGAATCTCTGATGGAATTTGTCCAAGGGGGAGTTCCCAGCCCAACTCTGACCATAAGACCCCATGCTCCTGCAGTGCCTGGATGTCTCCTATCAGCATACCCATTGTGCGTGGTTATCACTCTTGTCTGCTTCCCTGATTATAAGCTCCATGAGAGCGCTGTGGCCATCTTACTCATCACCAGAGCCTAGAACAGTGCCTAGAACTTACTAGATGCTTAGTAACATTGCTGAATGAAGGAATGAATGAATGAACACAAAAATGGAGGTGAACCAGGTACATTGTGTACATTTTCAGGGAAGGAGGGCAAAGCCTAGCCCAAGACTCTGGTCCCCTACTTGGAAGCTTGGCCTCCTTCTAGAAGACCAGCCGTCCTGGGTAACAGAGCCCAGGGATCCTGGCTGGCCCCCAGGGTGGCCTTGTGGGAACTCACCCACATAATAGGAAAGGGTGCGCTTGAGCCGGTCGAAGACAAACCAGCGCTTCTTCCATGATTTAATCTTGCCGCCCATCTTGACCAAGTAGCCACGGCAGACCTGGTAGGAAGCAGGAGTAAGGAAGGACCCAAATATGCAGCCCTTAAGCCTTAAGTGTGTGCCATCGCCTGTGCCTGTATTCATGGGGGATTGTCCCCAACATCTCCTCAGGCCAGCACACCAGGTCCTGGGACAGAGATCTGGTTAGGTGAGGGTAGAGACTGACGCCACTATTCCAACGACCCAGGAGGTGCCTCTCACCACGGGATTCTCCCTCTCCCCAGCACCCCAGGGCCACACACGCCTTGTACCTTGCTGCTGAGCACCACGTGCAGGCAGGTATCAACACCATGGCCCGATGACTCAATATGTGTCTTCAGGTCAAAGTCCTCCTTCCGGATTGGCAGGTAGCGGGTCAGGGGTCGTGCCTGGGAGCAAGAGGGAGGGTCAGGAGAGTCTCCTCTCTTCCCTCATTATTCCCCTGTCCAGGCCCCTTGGCTTCACTTCTAAACCCCAACAGCCTGACATCACACCTCCCTAACCCATGGCGGTCACTGTGGCTCCACAGGGCTTATGGCAAAAGTGGAGACCTACCATGCCTATGTTGACTCTACCTAGGGCCGGGCAAACTGCGAAGTCACTCTGTGCCTCAGTTTTCCCACCTATGACCAAGACACGGCATCTTTGTCTTGCCCTGCCCCTCCTTTCCCTCCTGAGCCAAAGAGAATACAGCAAGAGGCCAGATATGAACGTGGTCTGGGAAGAAAAGCCCAATAAGAAATCTAGTTTCTGACTTCGCATGGGACCTTGTTTGGGTCACATCCCTTCTCTGGGCCTCAGTTTCCTTCCATGTAAAACGCCGGCTTTGAACTAGATAATTACTAAGGTCTACTCTACCTCTGATACTAACTAGAATTCTCAGTCAACCGGAATATTTTTCTACTCTTCCTGTCCCAGAAGAACATTAAAATGGCCAGGAAACATCATATATTATTTAAAGAAAAAAACAAAACACACGACCCCACAGATAGCTGATTCTACCCATCTCCCACACCAGACACCAGTGGCCACTGCAGCAATGCCTGAGCCCCAGGACAGGGGCTAGAAGAGAGACTCCCAGAACAGTCACTGACTGAAGCAGGAAAGGGAAGCCAAGCATTTTACAAATATTCCAACCACGGGGGTAAAATTCACAGAGCTTCTTTTTTCTTTTTTTTTTTTCCTGAGACAGAATTTCACTCCATCATCCAGACTGGAGTGCAGTGGCATGATCTCGGCTCACTGCAACCTCCACCTCCTGGATTCAAGCGATTCTCATGCCTCAGCCATCAGAGTAAGCTAGGATTACAGGTGTGTGAAACCACGCCCAGCTAATTTTTGTATTTTTTGTAGAGATGGGGTTTTGCCATGTTGGCCAGGCTGGTCTCTGAACTCCTGGACTCAAGTGATCTGTGTACCTCGGCCTCCCAAAGTGCTGGGATTACAGACGTGAGCCACTGTGCCCAGCCCCTTCTCATTATTTCCCAAACCCAATCCAGATGACCTATCCCTTAGGATTTATTTTGTTGCACTGTAGGAAATGAGGGAACTGTGATCACTGCTTGGGAAAGATTCCAGGGGACTCCCAACCTGGGGAAGCCTACTAATCAGAAGGGACAGGCTATCTAAGTCCTACAGATTCTCATGGGGGGTTGTGGGAGTTAGGATTTGGGACCAGAGACATGGGCAGATTTCCCAGCCCAAACCAATTTCTCCTTCTGCTTTCAATTGTTCTGCTCAAGTCTCCTGTTTAAGGAGAAAGGGTAGGGCTGGCTTTTGGGCAAGGAAGGATTTCTGTCCCGAAGAGAAACTAGTACAATTCTGTCTTGGAGATGTAAACCAAAAGTCAGAGTGAGGTCATCCACTGATGGTGGGGACTGGAGCTGAAAGGTCCTGTGGGGTGTGGGCCAGCACACCCTGAAGTTCCACATGCAGGAGGGGCAGCAGGGGAAGCAGACGGGAAGGTGCAGCGCAGGCTCATGAAGCGGATCTGAGGCCCTGGAGAGAGGCCAAGGGGAGCCACTCTGATTCTTGACTACCAGCTCCCATCTCTGGGATGCCTGTCCAGACCCTCTTCTCTGACCCCGGATGTCTGCAAGGTGGCCTGCCACATCCTTACAACCCACTACCCCAGCACACAAACACACACACACACACACACACACACACACACACACACACACACACACACACACAACTTGAATAGTCCTGGTGGGTCTGTTTTGGGGTCAATGAGTCCCAGGTAGAATTCTGCTAGTATTAAGCCAACAGCAATCTTTTCTGGAGTAGAACAGGTTTTACAGCCCAACACAGAAACCCTGGGATCTCCCCACTTCTCTACAGCCCTCACCGTCAAACCAACCACCACTGTGCCCCACTGCCCATTCACCTGGGAAAATTGTTTCTCCCGCATCTTGACCTCCTTCTCGACCAGCTGCTGCCTCCGGGCACTCTCACTCTGCAGCCTCCGTTCTACCTGCTCACGCCTCCGCCGCTCCTCCTCCAGGGCCTGCCGCCGCAGCTCCATCTCCCGCTCCTGCCCCCAAAGCCAAGGGGTCAGCACCTATGGCCATCCTCTTCCCCCCACTGGCCCTCTTCACACCTGGGCAGGGCTGCAGGAGGAATCCACCTCAGGGTAGTCTGGCATGAGGAGGCATCATCTTCAAAGCCCACCCTCTCCAAGAGCCCTGGCTGGTTAAAGAGAAATGCTTTAAGCATGACTGTCCTGACTTCAAACCCTGGCCCCGCTACCACTATGGGCTCTGTGATCCTGATAAAATCATTTAAACTTTTTTTTTTATCTCGCTCACTGCAACCTTCGCCTCCCAGGTTCAAGTGATTCTCCTGCCTCAGCCTCCCAAGTAGCTGGGATTACAGGTGCCTGCCACCATGCCCAGCTAACTTTTTTGTATTTTTAGTAGACAGGGTTTCACCAGGTTGGCCAGGCTAGTCTTGAACTCCTGACCTCAGGCGATCCGCCTGCCTCGGCCTCCCAAAGTGCTGGAATTACAGGCGTGAGTCATCGCACCCAGCCATTTAAACTTTTTAAGCCTCAGTTGCCTCATCTGTGAAATGAAGTTAAGAATGCCCATTCCTGGAATTATAGTGAAAATGAAATTAGATCATGTAGATAAATGCCCATCACTGATTCCAGTTGGAAAGCACTCAAAAAATAAATGGGGCTCTTACAATTGTATCTGAATCCTCGCAACATGGGTTATCTAGACAACTTTTTTTGACAGCTAATATATAGTCCTTTCCCAATCACTAACTGAAGGCCTTCTGAAACTTCAAATTAGAAACATTTGCTATTGAACTTCAAACTTTATGGGAAAAAAGTGACTAGAGACTAAGGTCAGAACTGAACTTATAAAAGCCACTATAAAAGGATTTTAGAAGTCATTAAAACAAATAATTAAATACAGAGCATGTCAGTGATGCTTTATATGTCTTAATTACTAATAAAGACCTCCTATACCATTAACTCCCATTTACTATTTCTTCCCAGCTCAAAACTTAGCAGAATCTCCTTTCCCCACATTTGCCAGGAGATGCTTATACATTTGCCATATTCAGACATAAATAAGATAGGAGGCATTCTTTTCTGGCTGGTCCTCCATTCAGACTGTCAGTATCTGTTTTTTATTAAATCCCTCAAACTGCTGACCTTACTCTCTGCGTCCCACTCTCATCTCAAATATGCAGAGTGCCTCCAATGGTGGACACAGAACAGCTTCTGCAGATCCTTTATTTATCCTCCTTCCTAGGCACACATTTCATCAGCCTGCCTATGCCCAGGATAAACCATGGGTCCCTCTTTGCTGAATCCCAGCTCCGTGCCCAAGTGAAGGAGCTGTCAGCCCTCTCTGCTCCCAAGGTTCCCCTGCCAACACCTCTACACTGACTTGGACATCTGCCTCCTCTTCTGGTCTATACTTCACTCATAGTTCCTGCTTTTCCTAATCAGCCCCAAGAGGAATGGCCTGCCATACGGGTAGACAGGAATCAAAATTCCTGTAGTTGCCAAAAAGTCTACAGAAGTAAACATGCAAAAACTGGAAGTTTCCATACAGGAAATTATTGGTTAGAGAATGGTTACTATGCTGCCTTCTCTGTTCCTAAGAGCTATGAAGTTGTAATCAAACCAAGCCTCCCTAAGCCTGTTTGAGGAATACAACCTTTTTTTTTTTTTTTTTTTTTTTTTTTGAGACGGAGTCTCGCTCTGTCTCCCAGGCTGGAGTGCAGTGGTGCGATCTCGGCTTACTGCAACCTCCGCCTCCCGGGTTCACGCCATTCTCCTGCCTCAGCCTCCCGCGCAGCTGGGACTACAGGCGCCTGCCACCACGCCCAGCTAATTTTTTGTATTTTCAGTAGAGACGGGGTTTCACCGTGTTAGCCAGGATGGTTTCGATCTCCTGACCTCGTGATCCGCCTGCCTCGGCCACCTGAAGTGCTGGGATTACGGGCATGAGCCACCGCGCCCGGCCAGAATACAACCTTTTAAAACATTTTCTACCCCAAGGGAATGTGGCAAGGCTAATGTGGGTGGAAGGGCTTGGGGTGGAGCACAGGCCCTTGACATGCAGTAGGTAGCTCTGTGCCCCAACACCTTCTGCCTCCCCGATCCAGGTCAGACTCACCCTCGACTCCATGAGCCGGTTCTTCTCTGCATGAGCCTCTTTCAGCATCTTCTCCATCTCCTCGATCTTCCCCATGTCCAGACCACTCGCGCTGGGGAGAGAAGGGGAAGAGGAAGTGCATCAAGGAGCTGAGGCGGTGGCTGAGGGAGGCTGCGGGCCCAGGCGTCGGGTGTACCTGGACATGTTGTCAGGGGAGCAGGCCGAGTTGCCCCCGGTGGAGATGCTGGTCTCCATGCTGTCAGAGCTCTCCAGACTCAGCGTATCATAGGCGTGCTCACCCTCCTCCCCACGCTCCCGCCCCGCAGGCAGGTGGTGTAGGATAGAGTGGTGCATGAGAGGGGGGAAGCCCGAGGGGCCCGCTGGGAAGGGTGCTGCCCCGTGAAGGGCATCCCACTGGCACTGTGCCTCAGCTGCCGCTTTCTGCTTCAGCTCAGCCAGTCGCCGCCGCTGCTCTTCAATCACTTGTTGTCCTGAAGGAGAGACAGATGGGAGTCACAGTGGGCTCCCCACGCAGCTAAGGAGCAGGCCACTGGCAGCACAACACACAGAGGGAGGGGCAAGCAGGGAGAGGTTAACACAGAGCAGCCCCCTCTCCCCGCAGCTTCCCTAAGGCCCCTGCAGCTCCAGGCCTGGCTGCTCTGCCAATGCTTCAGTCGCCTGCACAACCGGCCACAGATGCACAGTCTGGCTTCAGTGCTCTTTCGCACCCTGAGTCCATATAGGACACCAAACCTACCCAAGTAGTGCTGGGGCAGCACGACAGCCAGTTGGCTCCAGCTCACAACCAAGGCCTAAGTAGGTCTAGGCAGGATACATGCACCCACCCTGCCTGCTGGAGAAGGGAGAAGGAAGAGATGGCAGAAACCCCATGAGCACCCAGACTGCCAATGCAGACCCCCCTGCAATGCAGAAGCAAAAGCAACAAACGCAAGAAAGAAGGCAGGGGAGACACGGTAGAGCACAGATGAGGGCAGAAGAGAGGCCAGCTGGAGGGGTGAGGCCAGCAGACACCCCAACCCAGCTCAGCCTGGGACCCTGCCTGCAGGCAGTGGGGACCTGGGCAGGACACATCATGCTGATGCCAGGGCAGGGGCTGCCTGGCCAAAGCAATGCCCTCTATGACCAACGTTCTACCTGCTGGGTCGTCGGTTGGGAGGGGCTCGGCGGGAAGCGACTCGACTGGCGTGGGGGACCCCAGGCAGAGGGTACGGTAGAGACACAGAGGGGGTAAGAGGAGAGAGAGGCACAGACATGGGCTTTCAAAACAACCAAATTGCACACAAGCAACAAGGACTCCTGGGTCCCCAGAGCCAATATCTCAGGCAACCATTTCTAGAAGTCATCAAATCCATCCCCTCCCTCCAGAGAGGGCAATGTCTAACCCGACTCAGGTCAACAAGCAGTTCCCTTATTGGCTAGGCTCTCTAGGAAAGATGTCACAGCCCCCTAAGCCCTTAGTCTCCTGCCCTGAAGGCTTTAGATAAATATCCAGGAAGCTCTTCTTTAGGTACCCACTCTAAATCCTTTCTGGTCTTGCCTAGATCCCAATTAAAGGAAAAACATCCTGTGAAAGGTGTGAGCATAGAGGAGGCATGGCAACTACCCAGGGTCCCCTCAGGAGAGCAGGTGGGCTGGCGGGGCAGTCACTCACCCTTCTGCTGCAGAGCTAGTTGGCGCTTGGTCTCGATGTCCTGCAGTGTGGCTGCCAGGTTGCGAGGAAGGCTGCCCGTGCCATTCTGGGTGAGTAGAGCGCTCTGCAGAGGAATGGAGAGTTCGGACCTGGGCTCAGAAGGCCCTTACCCCCATTCCCAAGGTCTTGGCCTCTCCCCAGGGTGGAAGTCTCCATCCCCAGCCACATGTGCAGCCCCACCCACTGTCCTCAGACCTTTGGGGAGGGGCTACGCCCCAGGGTAGCCACGCTGAGCTGGGAGGAGGAGGAGGAAGAGCCAGAGGAGGAGGGGAGGGGGCCGCTGCGGGTCCGGGGAAGGGGGCTGGTGGCCTCGCCATCCATCTTGGAGCGGTAAACCTGGAAAGAAAAGATAGTGCCCAGTGATTCCTGGCTCCCCCATTGGCCACCTCCCCCATGTCACCTAGTCTGCTGTGATCTGACGTACCGCCCTGGCACTAGGCCTCTGAGGCCTTCTGGCTCTGACAACAAGCCTCCTGAGCCAGCCCAATGGCCAGATGCTATTGGCAGCTGCCAATTCTCCTTTCCAGGCTGTTCCTCCCTGGGCCAATCCCTAGCCCAACCCTGGGTCTAAGAAAAGACCTGTAAACAGACCCATGCAAGGATTTAATGTCAGTCAGGCAGTTGTGCAGGAGACCAACTAGAAGCTGGGTTCCCTCTGGTCCTAGCTCTGCCACTAACAGGCTGTGTGACCTTGGGCCACACACCTCCCTACTCTGGGCCTTGGCTTCCTTATCTGCAAAAGAAGGGGGTAGGACTAGACTAAATAATGGCCAAGCTCCCCTGCAGCACTAGCATGTGGTGAATATGGCCTTTAGTGTCACAAACCCTGACGTGGCATAAGCTCTGCTACTTCCTAGCTGTGTGGCCTTGGAGAGATTACTTATCTTCTCTAGGCCCCAGTGTTTCATCTATAAAATGAGTTAACTTCATCTACCTCAAAGGCCTATGATGATGATCAGAGAATCAAAACACGTTAAAATCTCTAACCAGCTGGGTACACAGTAGAAGTCTTACATGATCAAACTCCTCCCCAAGGAAACATGAAATTTTAGCTGAGGTCACAGTCTTACAGATGCAGTGCCTTCACTCAAGGGGTGATCTTAAATGGTCAATCTTAGGCACTGCAGCTGGTCAGTGGAGGAAACCTGAGGAGAAGACTAGCCCAGCCCCCTTTCCCACCCCATGGTCAGTTGCTTGCTGCAGGTTCAGGTAGGCCCACGCCCTCCATGGCAACTCTGAGGAGGCTTAGGCTGTCACTTCAGAGTCTTTGCCCTTTGTTTTCTGCTTCCAAGTGTCACTGCTGGAGAGACCAGGAGAACAAAATACTGGCAGTTCTTCCCAGGACACACTAGTTCCAGTTGCCACAGGCCCAAGAGCCTGTCAGGCCCCCAGACTGGGTGAGAAGCTCCAGGTGTTGGGGGCTGCCAAGCATAGGCCAGACCCACAGCCTAGCTCAGCACAGGGCACCAAACAGATCCCAAACTGACCACAGCTCCAGAATCCTCTTCCACCAGACACTCAATCAGATAGTTTTAGACTATGGAGGCTGGCCCCCCGGTTGCCCACATGCCAGGATGGCTGCCCAAGGAGTGACCCTCTCAGGGCCCAGAGGTGCCCTCATTGCCCTGACTGGGCTGACGCCTCCACTCAAGGTGGTACTGTGTGGCTGATGGATTGGCAGGAGGTATCAGAGTGGACAGGTGCAAAGGCTGGGGAGGACGGGCAGTGAAGGAGGGGTTACCTGCAGCTGACGGGAAGCTTTGGCGGGCAGAGGCGGGGGAGAAGAGTGAGGGGAGGCTGCAGCGGGGCCAGTCCCCAGCCCGGCCATCAGCTCCTGGTACCACTGCTCTAAGTCTACAGCAGGGAGCAGCAGCTTCTCCATCTGGAGGTGGGAATGGGGAGGGGAAAAGGGGACAGGAGGGGAGGATGGAGAGGAAAGGCCAGGAAATAAAGGGAAAGGAAAAGGCAGGAGAAGGGAGAAAGAAGAAAGAAGAGGAAGAAGGAAGGGGAAGGTTAAAAAGGAAGGCCACATCAGGGAAATGGACAGGAAGGTGAAGGAAGAAGGGGAGGAAGGAAGGGAGAAAGGAGAGCATCAAGAAAAAGAAGAGAAAAACAGTGAGACAACAGTTGCCCTGAATGTACTAAGGGCAAAGAGAAACAGTCAGGGTACAACTTCCAGACCACAGACATGTGCTACACCAGCCATGAAACCAGCCACCAGACAGAGCCTGCAGGCACTGGGCACTCCCCTTGGGCTGGCCCAGAGCCAAGAGGCCAGGTGAGCAGGAGCAAAACACACACAGAGCACACCAGTCATGGGTGGGGGTAGCAAGAACTCACAAACCACCAACCTTAGGTGAAGGCGTGATGGAAGCGAACGAGGAGGAGGGCAGCATGGGAGGAAGGCAGGTGGTGGGAACCAGGTCCCGGGAGGCGGAGGCCCAGGGAGAAAGGCCTGGCACAGGGGCTGGGGGCATGGGCGAGGTGCCCCGCATCACCTTTAGCTGCTCAAGCATCACGTACTTGGAGCAAGGCCAGACGCAGGAGGGAATATAAGAGGTTAATGGAACCAGAACACATGAGATGGCCCTACCCACAGGGGAAGGGAGGGAAAGGGCAGAAAGTACAGAGCCTGCAGCCTAGGAAAGCCAGAGTCCTCTCAACTCGACACCCTCATCCTAGAGCAGAAGGCGTGCCCCTCCCCAGGCCATAGGAGCTAAAGAAAGCTCCCAAGGCCCCAGGGAAAAAAAGAAACCACTCCCAACCTCCCCTTATGCAGGCTGCCCTTCTCCCTCACTGTCGAACACAGACCCTTCTGTCCCCCTAGCTCCACCCAGGCCCAAGGGGGAATCTAGGCCATCCATAAAGAGGTCCTTGGGCATTGGTGGGCACCCTCGGTGGCTGGTACCTCACTGTCAGGCAGGGGCTGGGCGAGCACACTGGGGGAAGTGGCAGAAGCATAGGGGTCCAAGCGGGAACACAGCTGGAAAACTTCTGCCAGGGTCACATATTCCTGGGGTGCCCAGTAGAAGGGGTAGGGGTGGGCAAAGAAGGGGTTAACAGGGTTCAATAAGGTGCCCAACACCCCAAACTCCATGCCAGGCCACAGGGCCATCACTCCATGTCAATACAAAATCCAAGGCAGGGGTAGGGTGCCTGCTATGCCCATAGATGGCTGCAGGGAGTGACAGAGACCAGAAAAGGGCAGCAGAACCAACTGTCTGAAGGCTCCTCCTGCCCTCCACTCTTAAAGAGCCACTTTGGCATCCAGTCCTGCCCCAAGCAGACCCTGAAGGCCCATGCCTGAATTCGCCCTGGGCTGGGGGCAGGCAAAGAAGCCCACAGAAGGCCTTCTAAGAGTTCACTGAGGATCAGAACCCAGCTTCCAGAGACCCCCTCCCCGTCCCCAACAACCTGGCAGTCCCCAGTGGGGCACACACATGCAGCATTGAGCACCAGTCACACCATTCCCCAGGGTCCCCTCACACCCCATCAGCCTGGACAGGAGCTAGAAACAGGTGGGGGAAGGTGGAGACATCACCAGGGCCTGAGCAAGATGGGCTGTGAGAAAGAGGCCTTAGCAAGAACAGCTAAAAGCCTAGCAGAAAAATGGGCCCACTGCCCAAGGTGAGTCCTTGGAAAGATGCCAACACATTCAACTGTGGGTCGGGAGGATAGGGACTGTCGTATTCATCACCTGTCCTTAGAAACTGAGCTTATCTGGGTGCTGGGAGCATGGTAGACCTCCACAATGCATGCTGAATCAAAGCGCAGGATCATAAGCCTGCTCTACCCAAGGGGCCCATCCAGGCCTAGCTCTAGAACCAGGTTGTCCTCTGGGGTCATGGAAAAGGAAAGTCAGTCAGAGGGTCCAGCATGTTGTGAGAACTAATGAATGGCATGCAGAATTATATTCTGCATGGCAAATAAATATGCAATTCAATGGGCTGCACAGGCACTCTATGGAATGGCGGCATGGCATGCTCGCACACACTCTCCCAAACTCTGGCCAGCCAAGAAACTATCACCACATGCCCTTCAGCTAAGCCCTGGGAGGAGCTGTAGGCAGGGGCTCAGCGGGCAGGCAGACAGGCAGTGGGCAAAGCAGAGCACGCAGTTAGCTGTGATTACCTCTTGTGCTTTGGGGCAGAGAAGAGTGGAAGCAGGTGGGGTTAAAGAGACAGAGGAGGCCCCAGCCTGAGAAGACCCTGGGAAAAGGCCCAGAGCCTTAGTCCCCAGCCCCATCTCTGAGGACTCGGAGATGAGCAGCTCGGCCTACAGAGAGGGGACATGGTGAGGGGCTGCATCCCTCACACTTGGCCCAGTTCCCCACCGCAGGCCTAAATTGTTTGTGTAGTGAGGCAGGGAGGGAGGGAGGGAGGGAACGAAGTTGGTAAACCAGATATGTTCTATTTGGAATTCACACACCAGACATACAGACTTGGGGAAGAACCACTTAAGGGGCCTCAATATCCTCTTCTGAGACAAATGCCTAACTCAGGACTGAAGCCCAAGAGCCCCAGGATCAGCACCCCTATATCCCTATGCTCCCCTTCAAGGTGAGTCCATCCAGCCCGGCCCCTACCAAGCCTCTGAGCTGTCTACCCACCCAACCCAGGCCCCTGAGTCCCCCCACATATATTCAGCCACCAAAAACAGTGAAATCTGTAGGCTCCTGGGAACCCCAGAGGCAACTAAACAGAGGCAGCTGGCAGCCATGGAAAATCAAATCCCAGAGCTTGGGGCCATTCCTCCTCAAATCTCTCCCATTCAGGAAGATGCCCCCACACAACCTCAGCTACTGGGGTGAAAGTGCCATGTGTTACTCAGAGCCTCCCAGGACACGCCTTGGGCCTGAAGCTGGGGCTAATCCAATCATGATACCTCTTTGAGGGTCGATGTGGTCTTCGGGAAAGGCCTGCCCCCTGTGAGTGAGTGGTATCTCCTTTCCAGCACAGTCAGCTTCTCCTTCTCCTGCGAGCCCAGAATGGCAGAGTCAAAGAGGAGTGGGAGCCAGGAGACTGTGTGAGGGGGGCCCTGTGCTCCACCCCAGCACATTTACACCCCAGTCCTTCTGCACTCCCCTCCCACTTACCCTACTCCAAATCTCCCGGCCCAACCTCAGGGACCCTACCTTTTGCAGCAGCTGTAAGGAGGCATTCTTGTCCCGGGCCAGGCGTTCTGATTCCTGCACGGCCTGAGCCCGGATCTGCCCAGCCTGACTGTCCAGGATGGCCAGGCGCTCCTAAAGGAGATGGGGTGGTTGATCAGGCCCTGGGGAGACAGGGCTGAGCCCAAGGTGAGAACTAGCTGGCTCTCCTGCCCAGACACTCAAGGCTCAGGTGAAGGGGATCAACCAGCTCTTCTGCTTGGCCTCAACTCACCCTAAGAAAACAGGCTGCCATGTGGGCTCCTTCCCTCGGGCCTCCCTCCCTCCCTTGACCAATGACCCCTGTGCCATTAGGCACACCACTCAGATCCTCAAATCTCCCTTCCCTTACCCTACAACCAATGGGTCCCAAAGCCTAGAGACACTCCATCTGCCTCATTCTCCCTGTCCCAACCCCACTTGCCACCACCCAAATCCAGGCCCTCTGCTTCCCTGGTCTGGACCTTCTCACCAGCCTTTGCTTCCACTCTCTCAACTTCCTGATCCACTCCACACTGTCACAAATATCTTCCTAAGATGACTTTGAGGTTTGTTTGCTTATCTGAATTTTCTAATCTTTCTAAAAAGAAAAATTACTTTCTAAAAAGGAATATTACTTGAATAATTTTTTAAAAATCCACAAGTAAGGTCAGATCATGCCTCTCCTCAAAATCTTTCAGTGGCTCCTCATTACACACAGGATAAAGCACAAACTCCTTACCAGGCATTCGGGGCTCCCGAACCCTTTGCAGCTCCCCTCCCTCTTACAGCCTCCATGTCCTTTCAGCTCAGCCACACTGTACACTCAGCTGTGTAGCTGTAAACTCTCAGGCCTTTCTTATGTCGCTTCCTTAGGCCAGGAGAGCTGTTCCAATCTTCTCTACCTATCAAGAGCTTACTTATCATCTAAGACTAGACCAAATGCTATCTCCTCTCCAAAGCCTTCCTTGATTGCCGATTTCTTTGCTCCTTCCTCTGTGCTCACATTCTTCTGTATCACCATCTGCCTTTATTATTGTTATTTGTGAATATATCTGTTACCACCACCACCAGCCTGCCCCAAACGTAAGATCCACATTGTCTTTTCTGTCTTTATACCCCCAATAGGGCTTTTAGAACAGTACCTGGCTCAACAATCATGTGCTAAAAGGAAATGAAAAGATAGTAAGTAAGGGGGAAGGATGAGAGATGGGAAAAATGGGCTGGGTTAATCCCAGGAGGGCTTCCTGAAGAAGGCGGCCTTAAACCACCATCTTTAGGAACAAATCATGGGAAAGGAAGAGTTAAAGAAGGGAGATGTCCTAAATTTGGGGTCAGTCCAAGAAAAGACCAAAGTAGGCTGGCCGGGCGCTGTGGCTCATGCCTGTAATCTTAGCACTTTGGGAGGCTGAGGAGGCTGGATCACCTGAGGTTAGGAGTTTGAGACCAGCCTGGCCAACAGAGTGAAATCCCACCTCTTCCAAAAATACAAAAATTAGCCAGGTGTGGGGTTGGGGGGGCACCTGTAATCCCAGCTACTTGAGAGGCTGAGGCAGGAGAATCGCTTGAACCTGGGAGGTGGAGGTTGCAGTGAGGTGAGATCACACCATTGCAACCCAGCCTGGGCGACAACAGCGAGACTCTGTCTCAAAATCAACAACAACAACAAAGTAGGCTAGGCAGTAATCCTCACCGCAAGAGCTGCCATCTACTAAGAACCCATTAGGAGCCAGGAACTCTGCTAAATGTTTTGCATTTGTTACGTAATTTAATAAGCTCCTTTATGAGGCAGGTGCATTTATACCCATTTTATAGGTGAGAACACCAACATATTTAGGAGCTAAGATCTCTTAGCCAGCTAAGTGGTAGAGCACGGATTAGAATCATCTATTGGACTCCCAGACCAGTACTCTGAGTCACTCTGAATCAGAGTGGAAAGGGCAGGGGAGCACAGGGCACCAGGGCAGACAGAGCCTAGGGTGGGACACTAGGGTCTGAGGATGAAAGCTGGATAAGGTTCCTAAGGAGGAGCATGGGGAAGAATGTGACACCCCAGGTCCTAGGGGCTGAGCTCCGGTTTCCCAGGAGGCAGGGTGGGTGTGGGAAGAGGAATCCACTACTGCCAAGCCCTCCCAAACTCCCTGGAGCTTATACTCACCAGAACCCCAAAGGGATGAGATTAGCTGATCTACAGCTCCCTACCGCATTCCCTCCAGAAAGAAAGAGGAAGAGGCTAGAGAAGTGCCCGCCCCTAGCCTCAGTGCAGTACAGTCGAAGGAACGTGGGATTTGGGCCAACAGGCCTGGGTTCCAATTCTGACTCTGAAGCTTATATAATGGGAGGCTTTGGGCAAAATGTGTAGCTTCTCCTACTCCTAGTTTCCTTGTCTATAAAATGGGAATAACAGCACTTGTCTTGTGATACCGTCCTAAGGACAGCATTGAGGTAATCCAAGGAAGGCTCCCAGCAAGGTGCCTGACACACACCCATGTGCTTAGGTGTGTCAATTTTCTTCCCTCCTTTCATCAGTCAGTCTTACATCCAGAAAGTGCGTTTGTAAGACAGCAGCTCAGGGAGAGAAGCATGGGATCTGGACTCAAGGAAAGTCCAGCAGCTCCCCACTTACCACCAACCCCAGGCTAACCAGCAAATCCCCTACGTCACCAATTTTAGACACCCCTCCCCAATCTCACCACCCTCACTTCCCCCACACTAACTCCAGCCAAGCAAAATGTACATGCATGTGTGCATGTGCATGGCCACAAGCTTCAGCCATAAGGGTGGAAGCTGCTTGAGCCATCCTCTCCAATCCCTCCCTCACCTCTTCCCAACCCTTACTAACACATACCTCCTCCCAGCTTTACTCCCCAAACATACACAGTCACCTGTGCCACCATCCTGTGGTCTGGCTGAGATCAAGAGCAGGTGATCACAGTATCTAGCTAGCGTGTCACAGCTGGCCAGGCCACAATACCCAATAACCCTTGTTTTATAGCTCAGCCAAGGCAGGGCTGAGCCATGGCTGGAACCGAAATGAATGCCCTTTCTAGGGCCCCTAGCTGGCTCTAATATCCAGATCTCAAATCTTTCTGTGTGTCCCAGCACTTCCACCAGACAAGAGCTCTGCAAGCACAGGGGCAAGCCTCCTCCTCCTCCATCTTTCACCTTCCTGCTGGGCCAGTGCCAAGCTCTGAATGGGAGCAGAATCCACTTTCCACTGGAAGACTGAGGGGAGTCAGAGCTTAATAATAGTTATTCTTCACCGAGTGCTCATTACAATCACATCCTATTCTGTCTTTACATCTTGTTTAATTCTCACAACAACCTGTTGTAATTCTCATTTTACAGACAAGGAAATCCAGGCACAAAAGACGAAGTTAACTTTTGTGAGGTCATTGGGATTCAAACCCAGGTCACTGGCCTCCAACAGCACGCAGCAGGGAACGAGGTGGGGCACACCTTCCTCTTGGCGATGCTGCGGAGCAGCTCAGCCTTGCTCCGGAGCAGCCCCTGGCCGGCCAGCTCGCGCTCCTCCTCCACGCGGCTCTCCCGCTCCAACTGCTGGAACTCCAAGTCCTCAAAGAGCTTTGTCTCAGTCTCCAGGGCCTCTGCCTCCTTCAACGACAGTGACAAAGGGGGTTGGGTGGTGCTTGCAATGCCACTCTGGGCCTGGAAGACCAGGCCACAGGGGCATGCGTTGTATGGGGCTGGACCCGGGGAAATTGGGTAAGAAACCTGCCTCCCCCCAGCTCCCGCTGTACTTGGCCTTGCCCTTTTGCGGGCATCATGGCCTGGAGCGCTGATTCCCCAACCTTCCCGGTTCCCTCCAAACCGCAGCACCGACCCTGGTGTCCGGCAGGTACTGCAGAGGCCAGGTGGTCCCGTCCCACCGCTCTCCTCTCTTCCTTCTGGGGCGTGGCCCGCGGGGCCGGGGGAGGGGGGGCGGTGGAACTGACCCTTCTCAGCTGCTCCTGTAACTGTTCCCGCACTGACTCGGGGCAGTTATCGAGCTGCGTCTGGAGCTCGGCGTAGAGCGCCTGGCGGGCCTCCAGGTGCCTCCGTCCCGCGGCCAGCTCCGCCCTCTCCTGGTCGGCGGGAGGGCGAGGGAGAGGGCGGGGCACAGGGGAGAAACAGAACACACACTCCTCAACTCCGGCCCGGCAGCGGCGGGAGGGGAGCGCGGGAGGGCGGCCAGGGCGGGACAGAATGGGGGTCGGCAATGGGGGTTGAGAGAGGAGAAAAAAAGGCTAGAATCAAAGAGGAGAATAACCAGGCGAGGAGAAAGAAAAGGGCAGAAAGGGAAAGTGAGGAGGGAAAGAGGTGAAGAGGGAGAGGGCCCAAGGCCAGGAGCTGAAGGTAACACGGCAGTCAGAGGTGCAGGGGATGAGGTAACACAGGCAGAGGTGTGGGGGCAGGGCACAGATTTTGGTCTCCTGAAGTCCCTTGAACTGAAATTGTTGGGTAGGTCTCGAGAAAAGGCCCTCTGTTTTCTCTCCAAACCAGTCAAGGCTGGTTCTGCATCACAGAGCCTCCAGCTCTCATCCCTCCCCTTCTACTACAGCCCAGAGACCAAAATTTAACCCAGGGAAAAAGGGTAGTGATGGTGAGGGTTAAATCCAGGGTTGGGCGTCAATCAGGAGCTGAGGATGTTAAAGCAGTGTGGCAGAGGGGACCCCAACCCAACACCCTTGGCCTCCCTCCCCTCCTGCCCAGGGTCGGGGTGGGGTGTTGGCCCTGCAGGCTGAACTTCAGGGATGAGGGTTGCAATTAGTTCGGGCTGTTTCCATGGTAATGAGTCCCAGGAGTGGGTACAGAGGGGGTGGACGGTTCTTTCTGGGGTGAGATGACACCTCTGAGGGTGGGAAGGGGGACGAGGGGAGGGTTTGGTGAGTCACCCCTCAAAGGACAGGCAGAGGAGAAACTGTGGTTACTGATTCCAAAGCCAGAGTGGAGCCATGGGCTGAGGGCAGGGGAGGGAAGCCAAGTGAACCCTCCACACCATTGCCATCACTACCACCATCACCACCACCACCATCACTACCACAGCCTCGAATAACCTCTCTTCCCCACAGAGAAAGCGAAGTCTAGGCCTCCAAAAAACTCCAGGTCAGTGGGAAATGAGGTTAGGCAGGTTCCTTCTGAAATGCTGAGCTTTATCCCTGGGAGTGAGGCCCTATGCTGAACCCAGTCACTCCCATCCCTCTACCCAACTCATCTACCCATCCCCAGAGAGGAGGACCTAATCAGGCCAGTTCCTGGGGTCTAGGTGCTTCCTCATCCTTGGACTCAGCCTTTAAAATACCCTGTGTTATAGGTGGCTCAGGAGTGAGGAGAAGAGTAGGGGCTACCCATTACCAACCTCTGATGGGTATCTGAATTTGGGAAGCCCCAAGGGAAAGCTAGGAAGGGTAGCCACTATGTTGGCAGAGAGGTCCTGTTCAAGCCCTCCAAGACCACGCCCACAACTGGGCCTCCTTACTCCTTGGCTCCAGAGGGCAGGCAGGGGAATAGGTGGAAGACAGCCTACTCTGCTGTGCAGGAAGCTGCCAGGAAGCTTCCTTGGGTTATCTCATGCTGTCCTCAGACAGTAGCCTAAGACAGCAGCCTAGGCATTTCCAATGGAAAGAACTCTTCAGTCTGAGCAGCTCCACAGCCAAGCATTTCCCCCACCCTCATACCCCTCCTGCCAATGCCCCCTTGAGTAAAGTTGAGCTACCAATCCTCCTGCCAATTCCTTTCATATAAAAACTCTGGGGTCCCACACCAAGAAAAGAAGGAGGCAGCATTAGAGGAGAGAGGCCAGGGGCACAGAGGCACCCACTGAGTTAGTGCAAAAGCGGGCATGGCTCAGCCCTACCTGGGTGGCACTGGCAGTTAGGGGCATGCGGAAAGCCCAAGTCAGTGATTAGAAGGGACGTTAGTGTAGGCCTAGTTGGCAAGCGTGGAGTTAATTTGGCACAGAATTTGGGAGTGTGGTTTTGGGGGCCAGAGCCAAAGCTCCAAAAAAAAAAAAAAAGGGTCAAAGAATTTTTAAGATTCTCAAAATTGAGGGCAGGAGGAAGAAACTCAAAAAATCCAGAAGGAAAATTAAATTATTGGAAAAATACTGTCAGATCCAGAAATAGATGACCCCTCTCCACTTCAGAGCTTTTGGCACGGTGTTGGGCATCTGGGAGTGGCCCCTGCAGGCTGGCACGAAATCTGAAAGGGGCAGGGGCAGGAGCTAGGATCACCTGGGATGGGAGGCTGCAGATCCTGAAGGCTCAAGGGAAGCAGAGGCCCGAGGGCCATCTCCCAAAGATCACAACGTAAGCACTTGTGGCATGCTTGGAGGGAGATGTTCTCCAGATGGTGGGACCCGAACTTGAATCACTCCCCAATGTCAGTCCCTTGGGCTGTGCTCACTGCCCAAGAAGGGGCTTTGGCACTTCCTAGAAGGGCCATAAAGGGCCTAGGATGGCAGGCACCCAGAGGTAGCACACAGACCCAGACAGAGGAGACCCCAGACACCAGCCCAGCCCCTGGCAGTGCCCTCCAAGCTGGTTCCTTCCACAGAGGAGGAGAAGTCACTCTGTCTCTGGAAAGCCACAGAGACCACTTGTACTGCAGAATGGATGATGAGGTGAAGGGTACAGGGCCCCAGAGAAGACATTTCTCCTTCTCTCCCAGGCCACTGGTACCCAGCACTAAGCTGGGCCAGGTGTGGGTTACCTTGTCCCTCTCCTTCTGGATGCCTGTCTCCAAGGCCACCAGCTTCTCCTGCAGCTGATCCACTGCCTTCTGCTCCTTCTGCAGCAGTGCCCGCTCTGCCTCCCTCTCTCCCTGCAGCAGTGCCCGCTCCATTTCGGCCTGGGGGCAGACACCAGGGTCCCCATCAAAGCAGCTGACTGTGGCCCCTCTCTGGGGCCTTCAGTTGGCCTAGGGAAGAGTCCAGCTAGGGACTTCACGGCTCACCTCTCGGGCTGACTCCTGCAGCTGCTGCTCTAGCTCCTTCACACGGACCTTGAGCTGCTCCACGTGCCCCAGCACCTGAGCCCGCTCTTCTTCCAGGGCTAGCACCTCTCCCTGGAGCTTGGTGCTAGGTGCATCTTCGTGCTGGAGGGGAGGGAAGCTATCAACTGAGGAAGCCTAGAGCCTTTTGGAATCAGACTAAGAAAATGGATCACCTGTTCCTCCAGGCACTTGCTGAGGAATAGCTGGACTGAGACAGGAGGCTAATTCCCTGCCCCCCCGCAACCCCCACCTTTGAGGGGAGCAATAAGGGCTCTGCGGAAGAGAATATTTACCACTGAGTGCCAGGCCTGGGTGGGGCCCCATGGAAAGGCAGGTCATAAAGCATATTTACAGCTTGGGAAGCTCATCAACACCTCCCTTCTCTTCCTTGTCTCATTTCTGCACCTCTGCTCTCTAATCTCTTCCCAAACTTGATCCTTCCCCTCACTGGACCTTGGCATTGGATACACCAGCCTCCTCTGCCCCCAGCAGGTCCAACTTCAGCCTCTTTGTCTTGCCTACCCCTCCATCTCACCTCCTGCTGGGTGCTCTCAGTGCTGCTGCACTCCTCCTTGAGATTTTCCTCATCTGAGCGCTCCATACTCTCCCATAGGCGTTGGGTGGCAACGCCAGGCTCCTCGCTGCTCCGCCCAGAGGCCCCTGCAAGGCCTCGTGAGGGCCTCCGGCCTGCCAGTGCCAATGCTGCGGTGGCCTCCCCAATGCTGGGAAGCTCCCCAGCCTCAGGTCCCCCATCAGCCCGGCTGTATTCGGCACACAGGTTCAGGATGGTCTCCAGGCGCTGGCGTTCCTGGGGAGGATGGACAGAGCAGGACATGAAGGGGAGGAAGCTGAGCCCTGGTGGGGATAGAGCCAGGTTCAGTATCCTGTCAGGAGGGAGAGCAGGGTTACAGGGGGCTAGGACATCAGTGTCAAGTCAGGAGAGGCCTGACCCCAAGACCTAGGGGAGGCAGAGGGAAACAAGGTGCCCCAGAAGTGGGCAGGAAGAACGAGGCTGTTGTGCCACATGCCCACATGGCATAACAGCCTGGTTCTTCCTGCCCACTTCTGGGACAGCCCCTTCCATCTTCCTGTTCCTTTCTTTTTTCAGTCTACCCCAGGACACACAGGAACACACCAAATGGACCCACAGTAACACACTAAACACATACAGAAACACACTGTTAAGCAGACTACAGACCACAATGAGACACAGATAAACTCAGTTGCTCGTCCTGACGCAGGTACACACAGATCTACAGACACAAGGACACATACTGACACACCAGCACTGATGCACAGGCACACAAGGATACAACATGTGCCCTGGCCCTGCATTAATAGGCAAGTACAGAGACACCAGCCCTGACATGCACAAATGCACACTGATGCACACTCACAGATAAACACAGTCTAGCATACAGACAGGTGGGCATGTATGCAGACAGACAGTGCTGGAAAACAGACCCATGAGCCCACAGGGACCAGACACCCAACCACAGACATACATGGAGAAGAGGTAGACCAAGGACACGGCCCTCTTTGTCCCCACCTCAGCTCCAAGTTACCCTCAGGCAGCCCTTGGCTGTTTATCAGCAGGATGGGCTGCTGCCAGTCCTTGAATGCCCAGGCCCATGAGTGAGTACTCCCATGGCCCTACCACTTCATCCACCCCTCTCCACATACACACCCACCCAGATACAGTCACCTCTCAGGGGCCTAGGAGGTAAAGGAGGGATGACACAATCACATTCCTGGTCTTTGTTGCCTTTTCCCGCAGGCCTACCTATAGGCCTGAAGCCTGGTTTGTGAGGCTTCCATGGCTCTCTAGGGTCCCTAGACCTCCTCAAGTGTCTCTCATCACTTACAGTTTGGCCATGAACCCAAACCGCAGGAAGTGGAGAGAAGGCTGGAGAGGTGTTCTCATACACTTACCCAGCTTCCCTCCTGTTGCTTGCCCAGTTCCATGGCAAAAAAAAAAAAAAAAAACCGGAACAGAGCCTCGGCACCTGGGAGGCTGGGCCAGTGCCTCCACCCCTGCCCCAGGACCCAGATAAGCAGCCTGGTTGAGGTGGGAGGGGCAGGGCGGGCAGCCTCCAAGACTTAAAGTGGCAGGTGAGGCAGGTCAGGACTAGTGGTAAGATGTGTGCTTATGTGTGGGAATGGGGGTGGGAAAACTGATGGAGGAGTTGGGGGAGGCTGTGCCTGCCACTCTGCCTGTGCCAGGCTCACTGCCCCCTCTCCAGGATGAGACCCCAGCTTAGAATGGCCATGCATTCCCGTCTAGACCAATGCAAAAACAGTGAAGAGAAGATGCAGCAAAGGAAAAGATGGGATCCGCCTCATCTCACCCCCATCCAACACAAACACACAATCCTATACCCTCATCCAAAACTGTCCCAACCTCTTCCAAAAGCATCTCCAGATGCTTCAGTTCTGGTTCTCATCAGTTCTGGTTCTCTTCCTCAAACCAATCCCAGGGTTCCTGCCCACCTTCCAAAGAACCCTGTTCTGCTCGTAAGGGACAGAGGGCAGAATCCATTCTTCTGTACATGGGCTCGACTGTGTACACACCAGCCAGAGCCCCTTAAGCTCCCTGAGCTATCTGGGGAATCCTGGCCCCCACCCAGCTCAGATGCCATCTCCAGGACAGCTGCCTAGAGCCACACCCAGCCCCTGCATGCACCCACGTGCATGCACATGGACACACACAGTCACAATTACACAGGCTGGCTAACGGTCAGGCCAGGGTTGCCTATCCTGCTCTGTCCCTCTACCCTGCCACCTGCACTCCTAGATGATACTGCCTGGGCCAGGATGAGCAGCTCCCACCCACTTGTAGAGGCCAAAGACAAGCAAAAAAGAAGGACAAGGTACTTTTCTAAAGAACAAGTCTCAGAAAGAGTCAGACAGGGGACCTGGGTTCCAATTCTAGCTCTGCCAGAACTTGCTGTGTGACCTTGGACAAAGCCATTCCCCTCTCTGAGCTTCAGCCTACTCATGATCACCAACTGCTTCTCAAACTGGGAGGTTCGAGGTCTTACCATACCTGTGGTATGTTTTCCTAGAGCTTCACTGTGCTCAGGTAAACAATGTGAAATTTAATTTAACATTAAAACAAATGCTATGTTGAATAAATGCAAAATTAGCAAGAATTTAAAATAAAGTCTTAGAGATTTCAAAGGAATTTCTTCTTCACGGCACCAGAACCATAAGATATTGATCACTAAAGTGTATCCTGGAGGTGGGGAACCTTGAGAAGCCGAAGCCCTGTTTGAGGGCCTCTCCTGCTCTGCCAGCTGGCCTGCTCGAGCCCTGGCAGAGACTCTGCCATGGACAGTGGCAAGCCTCCCTGGCACCCGCTCACCAGCCTCTCCATCTCCTGCTCCCGGAGCCGCTCTTGGCGCTGTCGCCGGTGGTACTCCAGGAGGTCGTCCTCATTGTCACTGATCTCTGTGATGCTATTTTTCCGCTCCCTTGTGACAGGCACCCGCAAGTCCCCGCTGGAGAGCTTCCTCTGGACACAGGGACTCTGGCAGGGTGAAGCCCCAGTAAGAGAGCCCAGACTGTAGGCTGGGCTCAGCCTGCCACTGAAGCTGCCCTTGTGGGGTGCCAGAGACTCACCCAGTGTGGGTGAGGGGCTCCGTGTCCTACGGCCCCGTGCCCCCAGCGTCAGGGAGAAGTCCTCTGGTGAAGCCCCATGGGCTGCCCAGCGCCGGGGCCGAGGACTCTCTGCCACTTCCCTGTTTAGCTTGGGATCTGGGGTGGTCCGGGTGGGCAGCGGGGAGAGAGCTCGCCGGGACAGAGATGGACTTAAGGGGGGTAGTTCTCGCATA
Source organism: Homo sapiens (assembly GCF_000001405.40). Classification (NCBI taxonomy): domain Eukaryota; kingdom Metazoa; phylum Chordata; class Mammalia; order Primates; family Hominidae; genus Homo; species Homo sapiens. The sequence goes on along the minus strand of NC_000011.10, from coordinate 118,628,181 downwards.
CTGTCCAGGCCCCGCCGGCCCAGGCGGGGACTCTCAGGAGGCTGCAGGGTACGGGTGGCTAACCCATCTGAAAATGTTCGGCCCACCAGTTGGCGTGAGGGGCTGGTTGTTAGCACCCGCTCACTGCCTGGAGGCTCACGGAAAGGGCTGGGAGGGCGGTCCTGGAGTGTGCCAATCTTGTTTCGGGGAGCAGGGACTGGAGGCTGAAACTTGGGGCTGCCAGGAATGCTGGTGGGTTGACTGAGAGCACCAGAAGCTGGGTATTCACTCAGGCTGATGGCCACCACAGGCAGCTGCCCACCCAGCCGGGGGCTCTCAGTGGCTCTCCGGGCCTCCGCCAAGACAGTAGCTGCAGGGCTGTCTGTCAGCAGACCCCGGAGGCCAGGGCTGGGAGGCCTCTCATGGCCCCCTTTCCTGCTCAGCCGAGGACTCTCGGAGCGAGCACCACTTGGGCGGGACTGTGGGGGCTGTAGGGCCAGATGGTAGCTGGAGGAACGGGCAGGTACCAGCGGGGGCACAGAAGGTCCTGGCTCTTGCCCACTGGGTGAGTGACTGGCACAGCTTCCACTGCTGGCTGGTGAAGAGAGTGGAGAGAAGGCTGGAGAGGTGTTCTCATAGCTGGAGCCCACAGACATGGCGCCGGGGCTGGTTGGGGGAGACAGCAGGTAGCGCCCACCATTAGCCATCGGTGACAGTGGAGAGGTTGCGGCAGGCTTCTTGCCAGCAGCTCCAGGCTCCTCTAGCACCAGTGAGTCCATGATCTCTTGCAGGTCCTTCTCAATAGAGCTCACCAGGGAACTGTGGCTGGCACAGGCAGAGGGTCCCCGTGTTGCAGTCTGTGGGGTGTGGTTCCCATTTACCAGACTTTCTGATTCTGCTGGAGGGAAATGCAAAGGTCTTTGACTTTAGGGAGCTGCATATGCATAAAAGCCAGAGCACTAGCCCCCCTCCTCCTAGCACAGTGAGGCTAACAAGGCTCTGGAGAAGAAGCCAGGAGATGTGGTTCTGGTACCAGCTAGCTCTGCCACTGACCTGCTATGCAACCTTAGCCAAGTCACTTGTCCTCAGTTTCTCCTTCTGTAAAGGAAGGGAATCGGCAGGGCCTTCCTGCCTGTGACTTAAAACAGTTAACAATGATAGGCACTTCTAAGACTATTGTTGTCAATTCACCCCAAGACTAGACTCCTCCAATCTATATCCTATATCCCTCCTCAAGAAGGGCACGTAGGCCAGGCACGGTGGCTCACGCCTGTAATCCCAACACTTGGGGAGGCCAAGGCGGGCAGATCACTTGAGGACAGGAGTTCAAGACCAGCCTGGCCAACATGGTGAAACCCCACCTCTAATAAAAATACAAAAAATTAGCTGGGTATGGTGGCACATGTCTGTAATCCCAACTACTCAGGAGGCTGAGGTATGAGAATCGCTTGAACCCAGGAAGTTGCAGTGAGCTGAGAACTGCCTGGGTGACACAGCAAGACTGTCTCAAAAAAAAAAGAGGCCAGGCGTGGTGGCTCACGCCTGTAATCCCAGCACTTTGTGAAGCCGAAATGGATGTATCACCTGAGGTCAGGAGTTCGAGACCAGCCTGGCCAACATGGTGAAACCCCATCTCTACTAAAAATAAAAAATTAGCCGGGTGTGGTGGCATGCACCTGTAGTCCCAGCTACTCGGGAGGCTGAGGCAGGAAAATCACTTGAACCCAGGAGGCGGAGGTTGCAGTGAGCCGAGATCGCGCCACTGCACTGCAGCCTGGGCGACAGAGTGAGACTCCATCTCAAAACAAAAAAAAAGAAAAAAGAAAACAGAAGGCATTATACAAAGAAGATGGGCGCCTGCTGCAGAGCTGGCCAGAAGTTCCAGGGGCTCCTAGTCTAATAGGATGTCAGGGCCTCCCAATGTAGGAACCAGAGGCCCAGGGGTAAAAAAAAAAAAAGAAAAAGAAAAAAGCCTGCAGGGCTGGGTGAGGGGTGTGTGCTGCACCACTTCGTCCAATCAGAGGCAGGGGAGGGAGCTAGTGCTAATGGCTGGTTCCTGGAAGCCAGGCTGCCAGCAAGGAGGTGAAGCTCAGTGCCTCCAATTATCCCATTAAGCCATGCCAGCAAGAGCCTGCTTTTGCCATGCCCCAGCACTAGTCAACCATATAGGAGTCCCTGGAACCACTGCCCCAAACAGCTAAGGGAGTGACATGACAAGGCTGGGGTGGGGGCAGGGTAAAATTAACTAGGGAGTAGACTGGGAACCCAGGCTTCTGAGCCCCCAGAGGACTGGAAAAGATCGAGGGTAGGGAAAAGAGAAGGGAAAGCCTTTGCAAGACTGAGTTTGGGTCCAAAATTATGGAGACTGTGTGGGATATAGTCAGAGGGGATGCCATGGATACTGATAATCCCAGTGATCACTCACCTTTCTTCAGGTCCCCAGGCTATCCACTTAGGCTGCTGATACCACCCCACTAGGTGTACCTGACATCCATGTCCATCTGTCCCAGCACCTGTCACCCCATAGCCATCTAAATGCCAGTGCAAAGTCTGAGATGGTAAACCCATAATAGCCTCCTGGTCTGCACCCCTCCTGCCCCCCTGTGCAGCTGGGCTGAGGGGGCCTGTGTTGGTTCCCCAGAACAATCACCAATTCTCTTCTGGGGATCAATAATTCACACACAAAATACAGCTGCTCCACTGAGTCATCAGCGGGCAGGGCATGGAGTGAGGGTTGGGCGAGGCCCAAGGACATGATCCCCACCACAGCTTACAGGGAGTTCAACCTAATGCTTCCTTCTGCCCCTCAGGGTACCCTAGAGGGTGAGGCTCCCTGTGGTGACACAAGTGGGCCAGAGTTCCAGACACTGAGTGGCATCCTCCAGGGCAGTGGGGTACAAGCTGGCAGAGCTTGCCATCCCTCGAGGCACATAATTTCCCAATTTTAGCTAAGCAGCACTGCCTTGGTTAGCTCTCAGTGGCCCCACTGCCTGGCATTCTCCACCCGCCCATGGCAGGTGGCAGTGAGCCCAGACCTTAGGTATTGTCTTGCCCTAACACTCCAAGTGTGGCTGAAGTGAGCAAGGAGGAGGACTGCTGCAGGAACACCATCAACCCAGCACCCTGCCCCCGTCGGTACCTACCAGGAACAGGGCTGTAGGGGGGCCCAGGGGCTCGGCCCCCTGCTGGAATCATGCTTTTCATCCACTTGGCTTCAGCCGGGTGGTTAAAGCGAAGGAAGGTGGACTGACCCAGGCACAACATGCAGCCTGCAGAGAAAGCAAACACTTGAAGACCAGGTGTGGTGGCTCACACCTGTAATCCCAACACTTTTGGAGGCGGAGGAGGGTGGATCACCTGAGGTCGGGAGTTGGAGACCAGCCTGGCCAATGTGGTGAAGTCCCGTCTCTACTAAAAATACAAAAATTAGCCGGGTGTGGTGGTGGACGCCTGTAATCCCATAATCCCAGCTACTCAGGAGACTGAGATCAGAGAATAGCTTGAACCCAGGAAGCGGAGGTTGCAGTGAGCTGAGATCATGCCACTGCACTCCAGCCTACATGACAAGAGCTAAACTCTGTCTCAAAAAAAAAAAAAAAAAAAAAAAAAAAAGAAAGGAAGAAAGAGAGAAAACACTTGGAAGGGCAGGCAGGACTGAAGTTACCCCACCTCACAGCACTAGCAGGCTCACCTCAGCTCTAAAGACCCATCCTCATCTGCTCTCAGAGTCCACACAGTCCACACCTGACCTTGCCTGTGCTTGAGATGGGCACCTCCAGGGCTCCGCAGCACAAGACAGAGTAGAAAAAGCACTGGTGAGTGAGTCCCAAGATCTGAGTCCTCGTCCTAATTCCTCTTCTTACTAGCTGTGAGATCTCTGGGTGAAGTAACTTCACCTCTGAATCTAGTTCTCTTAATCAGAAAAATGGGGACAATACCACTGATCTTGTAGGGTTAATAAGACAGTGTATGTGAAAGTACTCTGTAAAAATATATTCAGAGAGGCCAGGCATGGTGGCTCACACCTGTAATTCCAGCATTTTGGGAGGCCAAGGCGGGCGGATCACCTGAGGTCAGCAGTTCGAGACCAGCCTGGCCAACATGGTGAAACTCCGTCTCTACTCAAAATACAAAACTTAGCTGGGGGTGGTGGCGTGCGCCTGTAGTCCTAGCTACTTGGGAGGCTGAGGCAAGAGAATTGCTTGAATCCAGGAGGCAGAGGCTGCAGTGAGCCGAGATCACACCACTGCACTCCAGCCTGGGCAACAGAGCGAAACTCCGTCTCACACACACACACACACACACACACACACACACACACACACACAAATGTTCAGAGAACACAGACACACCTGTCCCCCAACCCCAGCCTGTATCCATGATCCATCTATCTGCCCCTTGGGTAGAAGGGTAGAAGAGTCAGTCTGAGAGGCAGCAACTTCCAGGGTCACAAAAAAAAACTGAGATAGGGAACAAGGGGAAAAACCATGGATCAGTCAGATGAACCGGGGGGGTCCTGAATTTGCTCCCACTCTTTCTTGTTTTGTGACCTTAGGAGAGCTGTGCACTGCAAGTCTAGGGAGCGACCACCACCTTTCTTTCTGACTAAGCACCCTCTGCATGCTCCCTGGTCTCCCCTGGCATCAGGCCAAGACTAGGCCACCAGGCCCGGCCTCAGCCAAGCACATTCCCAGGCAGTAGACACAAGCCCAGTCCTGCCCGGGAAGTGTGAGTACCTGGAGGGGGAGGGCATGTGGGAGCTGGAAAATGTAGCCAGGGGCACCTGGAGTGTGCACAGTGGCAGATGTGCCCACAGGCGCCTAACTGTAGCTAGCAGAACTCCACCTCCCAGCCACACCAGGTGCTGGAGGGCTACTGCAGAAGATACTATGTTGGGAGAAGCCAGAGCCCTGTTGCTCTCTACCACCAATCCTTCCAATTTGTCCACACCCCTGGCCCCCGGCCTCAGCCTCCTGTCTACCCAATCTGGTGCCACTTGGCACCCCAAGCTTCACGCCAGTCTGAGCTAAGACTGGCAGAGAAGTCTACATTCCTGGACGCTGAGACAGTTCAGCTCAGGCAGGCCGCAAGGGCAAGAGGCATCCCAGGCCACGTGAGTACCTTGGCAGGTCCCTTACTGAGAAGCTCAGGAGCCTGTTCCTGGGATCCTGGGCATTGCTTGGGTTGGGGGTTTAGTAGGCTGAGAAGCCCATGGCAGATAACCATAGTGGATAAAGCCACTCACTATCCTGGCATACACAAAGGCCCTCCCAGGCAGCCAGACACCAACAATTCTAAAGGAGAGAGAGGGAGCCTTCCCTGCCAAGTCACCAATCAGAGAAGAGGATCCCAGAGTATTCAAAACTGGAATAAATAATAGCCAACCACACTGTCCACCTAATTACAACCACAGCTGTTTCAGAAAGAGCCCTGTCAAGCCCCTCCCCCTCCATTTAGCCATTTAACAAGCCTACTGGTGATGAGTTCACAGGGTCTAGACAGAGCCACTCAACCCAGGGTCGTGGGTGGTAGGGATCAGGAGCCTGACCACACAGTCCAGGCTGGGAAGGAGGCAGGGAGTCTGAGTGGATTCCAGCCCAGCAGTCCCAGGCCCACCCAAGTAGGATGTAGGCATCTAGGGATCCTCTGCCTGGGCCCCTATAGCTGTGTGTTTTCTGCCCCCTCCTCAGCCCTTCACCCTCCCCGGCATAAGGGGGTGTGGCCATGCTGCCTCTGGGCTATAAATAGTGATGCCAGGCAGCAGAGCTGGATCCGTATTAATAGAGCGGGCAGGAGGGCAGCAGGACTGAGAGCAGCCCAGCTCCTGCCCAAATTAACTTTCTATTTGCATGCAGAAGCTTCAGGCATTGCCCTGATGCTGGCCCCTACAGCCCCCAGGGGTCTGGCCAGCCTGTTTCTGGGAAGAAGCCTCCTCTCTGCCCACTCCCACCCCAACCCGCAAAGGCCAGCCCTTTCAGGGAGCCCAGGAATCCCTGCCCATCCTGCCAAAGTCATGATCAGTGTCCCCCATGCCCAGGGGGGATCAGGGTCCAGCTGTGTGCAGGTGGGTGGAGGAGCTGCACATCTGGAGGGGAAAAACTGGGCGAAGGAGAGGGTGAATCCTATCTGTGAGAGATGCAGAGGAGAAACACCAACACAAACAGGCTCACACTCATACACACTCATAGTAACACAACAGACTTATGGGCGTACATGCTCACACACTCTCAGAGCTACTGTCACTGCCCTCCTGGTCACACAAATAGAATGGATTGTCCAAAGGGAGACCGAGTGAAGGGAATATGGGAGGAAGGGCCTTGGTCCTTCCTATCAGAGACCCTCCTTGGCCATAAGGTAGACTCCCCTCATTCTAACCAGGACTCTTTAACCCCATCTGAGGGAGGTGGGTCCTAAGGAGGGGACTGCCGGAGCGCTGGAGAAGATAAGGTCTACCGGCTGAGAAGTGCCCCCAAGCCCAGAATCCCCATTTAGAAATGTTCAGGGAACACACACAATCGAGTCTCTCAGCCTCAAGCTCCCAAAGAAGGTCAGAGGACCCCATGCACCTCCTCCCGCCCACCCTCCTCAAGACGCCCCTCCCAGTCTGAGCTTCTCCAAGCTTGGCTGCTTGGGGACTGTGGCTGGCCCGGGGCTGAGGACTCACCGCCGAAACCGGACCTCCGGACCGCTCGCCCCCGCTAGCTCGGGCCCTCCAGGTCCCGGGCCCGCCCGGAGCCTTTGAGGGGGCGGGCCGACCTCCCGAGCTGCCGGCTCTAGGCTCGGAGCGAGCAGCGAGGCAGCGAGCAGCCGCCAATGCCCGGGGAGGGGCGGGCCGGCCACCAGCGGCGGGGGAAGGGAGCCAGGGAGGGAGGGACAAAGGAGAGGAGGAGGGGAAGAGGAAGTGATGGAGGAGACGAGTGGAGAGCTGGATGGAGAGGGCGGGGCGGGAGGATGCAGAAAGGGAGCCGGCTTGGGATCCTGCATCGAGGGCAGGAAGAAAAGTGGGCGGGAAGGAAAGGTTCAAGGGAGGTGACTGAGTGAAGGAAAGGTGAGAGGTAAGTACAGAGGCCAGAGTGAAGAGCCAGGAGGCAGGAGTGAGGCCAAGCAAAGGACAGGTCTCATTCCCAGCCCCCTGTGGTAAGAGGTCAGTGGCAGCTGGGCTGGCCGGCCCTGACTGGCTGTAGTACCTTGGGCCAGTCACACCCTCTGGCCTCGGCTTCCTTATCTACAGAAAGTCAACTCTGACATTCCATGGGTCCATATCTGAGAGAGAGAGGGAGAGGAAAAGAGCAGGGGCTCTACAGGATCCAGCTAGGTCACTGGGTCCTGCTCTGGCCCTCAGGCTGCCACTGTAACAAGGTCACCCTGGGCTGGGAGTTCAGGCCAAAGCAGTGCTCTGTACAATGCAAGCACTCAGCCCACCTCCTGTCTCCACCCTAAACACCTCCTCTTCCGGCCCCACTCCCCATAGCTCAACTCATGACCCAGAGTGGACCAAGGCACTGCCCTTTCCGGCCAGCCCACTTCCTGGGCCCCTGGGAGCCAGCCCGCACCCCAGCCACAACATCCAGTTGTGCTAGACCCAGCAAAGAGCCCTCCGACCCCAATAAGGTACCCATCCTACTTGGGAAACAGATATCTGGAGCCCGCAAAGTCAGGCTGAGATTCTGAGTCAGGCAGGTGTTTTGTTTTGTTTTGTTCTGTTTTTTTGAGATGGAGTTTCATTCTTGTTGCCCAGGCTGGAGTGCAATGGTGCGATCTCGGCTCACTGCAACCTCCGCCTCCGGGGTTCAAGCGATTCTCCTGCCTCAGCCTCCCATAGCTGGGACTACAGGCATGCGCCACCACACACCCAGCAAATTTTGTATTTTTAGTAGAGATGGGGTTTCTCCATGTTGGTCAGGCTGGTCTCGAACTCCCGACCTCAGGTGATCTGCCCGCCTCGGCCTCCCAAAGTGTTGGGATTACAGGCGTGAGCCACTGCACCCGGCCCAGTCAGGTATTAATACCTACCATCCAGCCAGGTCCCCCAGAGAGTTCCTCTTGTTCCAGGGACCTGGCCCCTGCACACCAGAGCCTTACGGGACACAATGTTTTATGCTCTCAGCAGCTCACACAGCCTGACACAGTGTCTCTCAGATACACACCAACACTTGCTCAGTCACACTGACACTACTTCATCTCTGCATGCTCTGAGTCACACAGACACCCTCATTAAACACACTGTCTCTCACACACCTTTATTCTCATGCACACATCCCCCAGACAACTCCTTTTAGTTACACACTCACCCAGGCATAGCTTTCCTTTCACTTAGTCCCTGGAGAAACTCTGAAATAAAATCAACCTCTTAGATGAATAATCAGGCAAGTTTTCCATTCTTGCTAAACAGCCCACTAGCCCACTCACCCATGCTGCCAACTATATGCATACACATGCACACGCTCACATGTGCACACGTATCTTATTCCCTTCTGAGGAAAAAGGAAGAACCATATAGGGTCAAATGCAAAATGAAGGGAGGCTTTAAAAAAAATCTCCTCAGGAAGAGTGATTCATCGGTCTGGAAACTGTGAGGGCCAGCTGGATAGACCTAGGCAGACACAGAGGATGCCCGCCAATGAGAAATAGGGCAGGAGGCAGACACAAAGAAGTGGGAAGCTGGGAGCCTTGCTCTGCCCTCCTTCTTTTGAGCTTTATTAGTCAAGATCGTTATCAGTCTCATAACAGAAAAAGGTTGAAGGCTTCACTCCCAATTTACAGATGGAATAACTGGGTGGGAAAAAAAAGAGGCTGAATGTCCTAGATCCCAGAGAGAGGCAGCTGGATAACCCAGAGATCCGGCTCCCCAGCCACACTCCTCTGCTGGCCCTCACACAAGCCCCTACCCACCAGTGAGAGGCTTAGGGAATGAAGGAGACTGGAGACCAGGGCTCGGAGGAAATGCTAGGAGTGGATGGGGACCTACTGTCTAGACAGCCTGGGCCCTGAGCTGGTGGCTTTCTGGGTCCTCCCCTGCTTGGTTCCCTCCCAGATCTTTCATGTGGTCTGGCGCTGTGGTCCCAGGGTGGGGCAGCCTAGACCCAGATTGAGATTCCTCCTCATTCCCTTGGTCCTATTCCCAGCTCCACCCCTTGCTCTGTAGAGAAGAGGGCAATGTGGGATGTGCCGAGATGCCTGGGTACAGGGGGTGGAATCAGGACCTTCCTGGCTCCCTCACTTCATGCTCCTATGTTCATAGCTCTGTGCTAAAGGTTGGCATCTGTTTTCTGCCTGCCTCCCCTTTCCCCTGGCCCAGGCATATTCCTGCTGGAAGAGCCTGTCACTGCCATCTCTGCTTGTCATGAAGTGTGTCTCTCCAAGTTGCCTATGGCTGGGCACAGTGCCCAGAATGATGCATCTAAGGCCAAAGCACACTCCTTGTTATTCCCAGAGTAGCCCTTGTTTTTGAAAGAGGAGGGTCCCGTCTACAAGGCCAGATTAGGGGAACAAGGTAGGGAAAATGATCGTCTTGTATATATGCTCACAGATAGGCATATGACTAGTGGGGTCTCATATACACATAGGAGTACACACACAGACATTTTGGTACCATCAGTCCTGAGTTCACCCCTGCCGCCCACTTGAACACACTGATCGATAAACACAAGGAAAGACACAAACACAGGATTCGTAAGCCCAGAGTCACAAACACATCCGGAGCTACATAAACACACTCCGGTTACACAGACACACAGAGATAGCACATGCACCCCCGAGCCACCCAGTTTCCAGGGAAACACACTCCCAAGAATGTCCGGAGTGGGGCCAGGCAGGGCTGGGCTTGGTGCCTTGCTCCAGAGATGAGACAAGGAAACCCTCAGCTCCTGGAGCCCAGGGGAGGGGGAGGACTGGGGAGAAGAACACCCATTCCTTTGTGCCTCTGCCTACCCCTCCACAGGCTGCCAAGCTTCTGAGACAGGCGAGCCCAGACAAGAAGGCTATGGGGGTTGGGGAGGGAAAATGGGAAGGGGTTTAGGGTCAGAAGAGAGTGGGAGGGTACATACTTGGCTGGGTAGGCCTCTGGCTGGAGAAGAGTCGGGAAGGGTCACTGGGGCCACAGGAAATGCTTCAGAATTCCATCTTAGCCCTAGGCTCTCCCCTTCTCAGGGAGCTAAATGATGCATTGGAAAGACTGGACAACAGAAGCATACCCTGCTCACAACATGCAGGGGAACAATGTTCTTACCGATGAATGTGATGGGTTTGGGGCGGGGGTGGTAAGTGCTGGGCCTTCTTTGAACTTTGCCCTGCCTCTCCTTGCTGCTCTATTGTCTCATCTCCATGCTCCCAAATCTTAGAGAAGATGCTCTCTCTGAGACTGAACAGGACTGTTAGGAACCCACTGCCATCATAGCCAAGCCCCAATTTTTGGGGGTTCCTCCTCTCATCCAAAGTCAGAGACCTTGAATCCCTGGAGAAGGCAAGGGCCTACGTACTGCTGCTGGTGGACCTGCCTCCCTGAAGTCAATTGTCCATGCCCTGCCCCCTACCCGAGGGCAGGAAGAAAAGACTGGGGTCAAAAAAAAAAAATTAGCCGGGCGGTGGCAGGTGCCTGTAATCCCAGCTACTTGGGAGGCTGAGGCAGGAGAATCGCTTGAGCCTAGGAGGTGGAGGTTGTAGTGAGCCGAGATCATGCCACTGCACTCCAGCCTGGGCAACAGCGTGAGACTCCGTATCAAAAAAAAAGACGGGGGAAATGTCAGGTCTCCTGGATCAGCTGTGAAGGAAGTGACATTGAAAGGCCTTAAGGAGGATGAAGAGGAGAGAAGGAGACAGTGGAGTGAGTAGGATGGCCACTTCCAAGGGGCTTCTAGGCAGTAAGAGCCCCCAGAAAACAATGCCAGACCATCAGAGCCTGCTCAGAGCCAGGCTTAGCCCAAAGTTCCTGTCCTGCTGTTAGCCTTTAACTTCACCTCTAACCTCCACCCAAATCTGTTTTTCTCATTCTCCTAATCTGACAACTCACTGTATGAACTGATGCCCAGAACCCTGTTTCCAGGGTGAGCACACCTGGTCTGTCAAAGTGCTACCTGGGCCAACCGCTTACCTGCCTGCTAACCATAGTAATTATGGGCCTAGTTTTTATTTATTTTTATTTTTTATTTATTTATTTTTTGAGACGGAGTCTTGCTCTGTTGCCCAGGCTGGAGTGCAATGGTGCCATCTCAGCTCACTACAACCTCTGCCTCCCAGGTTCAAGCGATTCTCCTATCTCAGCTTCCCGAGTAGCTAGGACTACAGGCGTGTGCCACCACGTGTGGCTAATTTTTGTATTTTGGGTAGAGACAGGGTTTCACCATGTTGTCCAGGCTGATCTCGAACTCCTGTCCTCAAGTGATCCACCCACCTCGGCCTACCAAAGTGCTGGGATTGTAGGCGTGAGCCACCATGCCTAGCCAGGGGCCTAGTTTTTAGAGCTACCTTACACAACAGAATGGCCTATTGCTTTGGGTTATATTCGTGACCCAAAAGTTACTGTCAGCAGTCTTGTAACAGGAGCAGGCATGTCCTGAGATTTACCCTTGCCCCATCCCCATCAGGAAGTATTGTCCTCCTCTCCAGCTTCTCAAAACAACTTCCTCTTGGCATCATGGAACAATGCCATTGATACCCTCTCACTGCTGCTCCAATTGCTCTTCCCCAACAACCATTAACAACGCCATCATGCCCCAGGCCCTCTGATGGCGGGAATCAGAACCTCTTCTCTCCCCATAGTATGTGGAGACAGGTTGGGGGTGACCAGAGAAGAAAAGCAGGTTGAAAACATGTCTGGATGCTGAAAGGGTTTGGGATGTTGTTTAGGCACATCCAGATGCACCTGAGTACTCCATTCCCAGTATGGTCACTCAGGCAGTTACCATGGCAACCACCACAGCCAGCCTCCCCTGTGCCTAATACACACAAGCCTTTAAACAGAGGCCCCCTCCATCTGGAGGTGTCCAGCCTTACCCTGAGTGAGCCGGGTAGGCTGCCGGACAGGGAGCCCATCAATAGTGCAGGCATTGCCACAGGGGTAGAGGGTGAGGGTGCCCCGCAGGTTCTCGATGTAGCAGTGCTCTGGAGCCAGGCCTGGGCCCTGTAGTGAGATGTCTCTGGCTGCAGAGCCAATCACCGTCCTCCCTGGAGACAAGAGGCAAACTGAATCAGAGGGGTTGTCCAGGCTGAGGAGGCAGTGACAGGGCAAGGAGGGCCACAGTGGAAACATATTTCCACCTCCTACTCCAGGGAGAATCTCTGCCCACCACTGGCCACCCCTACTAGGCCCCTGAGCCTGGTCTATACAGTAAGTGATGGACGCTGTTCTCAAACAGAGAAAACTCTGCCTGAGAATGGGAGGCCCAGAGATGGGAAGACCCAGACAGCACACAGTAGGACCTAGACTCCACAGATGGAGAAGGAAGACTGCTTTTCTGCAGATCTTCCCTTATTCCCCCAACTGCCTCTCCCTATTGTCCTTTATCCTTTTTCCCCTTCATCCTACTCCTCATTTCTTCTAAATCTCCCTTTCTCTCCTTCTTCTCTCCCCCGCTTCTGCTACCTGCAACACTTCGTCTCCCTTGCTAACCTCTCTCTTCAGTGCAACCTCTCTCTTCAGTGCAGGCTCTCCCCTAACTGCAGCAAGAACAGCCCCTCCCGCTGACAGAGCCCCTGGGACTGGTATTTGGAGAATGTGGAGAATGTAGTATCACCCAGGCAACAAGTGCAGCCAGGAGAGTAGAGAGGGCGGGCAGAAGCTGAAAGGTGAAGGGGGCTGTGCCAGGGCCTCATCTTGGGAGATCTTGCCCTGACTCCCATCTCTCCATTCTCCATCTATGGTATACCCTCCCATGCAAGACAATGCCCTGGAGCGGGGCCCTTTTTCTTCTTGGCCACATTGGTTGCTAAGAGCAATGTGTTCTCCTGTTTCTCTCAGTGCTTTCTTCATGGTTTCTTTTCTTCTTCTTTTTTTTTTTTTTTTTTTTTTTTGAGATAGAGTCTCGCTCTGTTGCCCAGGCTGGAGTGCAGTGGCACGATCTCGGCTCACTGCAACCTCTGTCTCCTGGGTTCAAGCGATTCTTCTGCCTCAGCCTCCTGAGTAGCTGGGACTACAGGCCCGTGCCACCACGCCTGGCTAATTTTTGTATTTGTAGTGGAGATGGGGTTTCACCATATTGGCCAGGCTGGTCTAGAACTCCTGACCTCGTGATCCGCCTGCCTCAGCCTCCCAAAGTGCTGGGATAACAGGCGTGAGCCACCACACCTGGCCTCTCCTCCTTGTTTCTAAGCTGATCTTTAAGCCCAGTCGTGGAACCAGATCATCTACCAAGGAAGGCAGGCAGTCTGGGGAGGCAGAGACAAGGGAAGCAAGCTGGTGGTGTGGGGAGGCGAGCACCAGCAGACAGTAGAAGGGCCCCAACACATGCAGGAGGTGGGCCTCCAGGGCAGGAATGCCTATAAGGATAGAGGGGTGGTGAGTGAGATGCCCTGTTCACACTTACCTTCCTCCAGCGGCAGGAGGGTGATGGCTGTGCTGAGTCGCCCACTGCCCAGGCTCACCAGGTGGGGTTTGTCCGTTTGCACTTTCAGCCCTTTGCCTGTCTCGATCAGGTCCAAGGGTCCTTTCTGTAGGTAGTACGGGTGGAGGACAAGCATCATTAGATTCAGCACCTTACCACCCTAAACCAGTCACACCAGCACTCTCTCCAGCCCTCGCCCCTCTCCGAAGGGCTCTGAGGGTGCTGAAAGGCTTAGCACAAAATCTTACACAGAGCATGATTCCACTAAATTGTAATTAGATCTGAATCTAGGCCACTAACTCATCCCACTGGATTTATCGCAAGTCTTGGCTTAACTGTGCCTTTTGTCTATTAAAACAGAAGCAAGGAGAAAGGGGTGGGGGGTGGGGGTGGCATTGGATAAGCAGCAGGGGTACTGTAGAGGAAGGCCAATCAAGCTCCCTGCAGACTTGTCCATGGCTATCCACGTGGCCATTGCTTGCCCCTGCTAAGCTCAAGTACAGGGAAGATAGAGGCATGGATCAAGGAGAGTGATACAGCCCAGGGTCAATCTGTAAACTGCTTTCGGACTTTCGATGGGTAGTTTCTGGGTGAACCAATTAACCTGATTCAGATAAAGACTGAGCTGTTAATAGGCTTGGGACCTGGGGAAGGGCAGAGAGGAACAGAATTGCTCCTTTCATCCTTGGGCTGGGACCACAAGGGGGTAGAAGAGCTGATCCCATCCCTATTATATCTCTCTTGCCTCACAGCCCTGATCCCACTCACCTGCACCATGGTCTGGGTCTGGCATCCAGGGCCTATTTGGTTCCTATTGAGAGCGTCCATGGTCCTAAGGCTCCAGAGCTCCTAGGGACACAGCAGAAAGGTGGTGAGTGGGGAGGCCAGGGCAGGAGAGGGAAAGAAGTAGGTTCTGTGGCAGGGTTCTCAGGGCAGAGGTGTCACCAGTCACCATCATTCCCCAAATGCTCATGCTGAAGGGAAATAGAGGCAGCTAAAGAGCTTGGGTGGGAGTTGTCTGGGAGCAGTGCCAAGTCTCCAGCCAGCCACAGCATGGATACCAGTCCTGCCCCCTGCCACTGTAAGCACAAACAGTCCCATAGGGCCCAATCTATACTTCTGTGCTTTCTTGCCCTATGCTACTCAGAACCCGGGTTTTGACAGCTGAAGACCCTTGGCCCTGTGGAGCCTTAAGCAGGGTGGGGAAAATCTACCTTAGTGGGAGAAGCAGCAAGGAAGCCCCTCCAAGGACACTGGTAGCCAGAGGGCCCCCAGGTAGGTGGCAGGGCTAAAACAGGAGCTCCCTCCTGCAACCTTTCATTCTCCTCTTCACCATTTGTCTCTTTTCCCAGGGCTTTAGTAGGATGTTTTCTTAAAGGAGACACAAAAGAAAAACTCAGCCATTCCTGCTATCTCCAGATGTCTCAACTCCTACACCTTTTCTTCCCCAGAAAGCAACCTCAACCCAACACAATCAGCTAAAAAAATTTTTTTTAATTAAAAACAAAAAACTTTAGTGATAACTAATACTGGGAATATTGGGCTCAACTCTTGGGTTCTTAATTGGCTAGGTGCTATAGGAAGCTTAAACCATTAGAACCAGGAGTAAGACAGATTCCAGAGCCAGAACTTGAATACTCCCCACCACCACCCCACTGCCCCTCACCCACCATGCATCCCTCTCTCCCTGGCTCATGTTTTTGGTATCTGAGATGTGAGGACCTTTGTGTACTAATGTATGCCCCCATGCCCATCCCTTGGCCAACTAGCTAAGCTGAGAAACTTCCCACTTGCTGCTGAAATGTTACTGGGGAAAGCTAAGAGTGTGGCTGAGGGGTAAGGAGGCAGACCCAGGGAAACAGGGTTTCCTTCCACTCTCTCTTCAAGCCATCTACCAGGGGACTTGGAAAGGAAGTAGGGGCAGCAGCCCGCATTCCAAGGAGTGTCTGACCCTGGCAGTGGGTCCCGAGGACCTTAGCTATGGTGTTACTAAATTTACCCTCCCAGCTTCCACCCTTCCGGACCTGGACTGCATCATCTCCGTCACCATTTCCACCCAAGCTGGCGGAAGAGAGGCCGGAACCCAGGCTGGGGCCCACCCCAAGACTGCCAGGGAAGAGGGGAGGGAAAACGCCATTAACCTATGCAAAGCCCCAAGCTGGCCTGGCACCTCCCCAGAATTCCTGGCCATGGAGAAGAATTTCCAAGGACAAAGATTGCTGTACTGCTTCCTTAGACTCAGGGAAATCCCTCAGCATTTTCTGAGGGAGGAGGGGCAAGAGAGTGGGTTGGGAATGGGGAGTTTATGTAAAAAAGGGGTTAAGAAAAACAAAATAATAAATAATGGTGAAGGAGAAACATCATCCTTTGGTAGAAAGAACTTTAGACTGGGATATATAAAGCCTTAAATTCTACCCTGACTTTATTTATTTATTAGCTATAAGATCCTAGACAAGTTATTTAACTTCTCTGATTATCAAGTTATTCTTCTATAAAACTAGAGTAATGGAAAAAAATAAAAAAGACTGTCTGGATCAGTGCTTGCCTGGGGCTAGGGGTGGAATGAGGAGTGACTGTAAAAGGGCACAAGTTTGGTGGGGGTGGGGTGGGGGGAATGTTTTCAAATTAAATTGTGATGATTGCATGGCTCTGTAAATATACTAAAAATCTTTTAATTGCATACTTAAATTGGGTGGATGTTATAGTATATAAATTATACCTCAATAAAGCTGTCAGTTTTTTAAAAAGGACTGTCTGAAATTCAGGTATTATATTAAATGGCATTCTGTGAAAGCAAAGCACTTAATGCCATTTATTATTATTATTATTATTTTTTTTTTTTTTTTGAGACGGAGTTTCACTCTTGTTGCCCAGGCTGGAGTGCAGCGGTGCTATCTCGGCTTACCGCAACCTCCACCTCCCGGGTTCAAGCGATTCTCCTGCCACCAAGCCCAGCTAATTTTGTATTTTTAGTAGAGACGGGGTTTCTCCATGTTGGTCAGGCTGGTCTCGAACTCCCGACCTCAGGTGATCCGCCCGCCTCGACCTCCCGAAGTGCTGGGATTACAGGCGTGAGCCACCGCGCCTGGCCCCGTTTATTATTATGAGCTGTGTGACCTGGAGCAAGGCAGTTCACCTGTCTGGGCGTTAGTTTATTTATCTGTCATATTGGAGTATTGGTCACTATCGCCGTGTGGGGCAGCTGTGGTGTGCTCATTTATTTACACCCAAGAACTTCAAGTGGAGATAAAGATTGTAAAGGAGTAAGGCCGATGGAGAACAAGAGTGATTAGAGGAGAGAAGAGAATAAGGAGGCGAAAGTAAAGGGAGAGATAAGGAGAGAGGTGTGGGGAGAAGATAAGAAAAGATGGAGAGATTGGGAGGTGCGAGGCTGTGGCCCCAGCACAGTAACCTGATCCAAGAGAAGTGGAAAGAGACACCAGGCCAACCTGCCCTGCACTCAGGCGGTGCTTTCCCAAAGGGCGATCGCCGCGGCCGAGAGCGGCCACCTGGGGGCGCCCTCACCTTGACTCCCGCTCTGGCCCCGGCGGCTGAGTGGCGCTACGCGAGGGACGTCCCTCACCTGCGGCCCCGCTTCCATCTGGCCCGCGGCTCCCCAGCAACCCGGCTGTCATTACCCGCCCGCCCGGCCCCGCGGCCAAAAAAAGACCCCTGCGGTGCGCGTCCGGCCCTGGGTGCCCTCCCGCACGCTGGGTACAGACGCCCCAGTGCCGCCCCGGCAGCCGAGTGGCGGAGGCCCAGGTGTCTGGATTTGACGAGCGACAGGCAAGGCCCTCTGTGCGCAAGGCCGGGGCGCCGGCAGGTGACCCCGGCCCGGGCCCTCGGCCTCCTCCCCCGCGGGAATGCGCCGACACCCCAGCCACGCGGGACACCAGTCTGAAGCCCTCTCCGCCGAGTGGAGCACCCAGAGTGAACTCTCGGGGGTCTTGGCCCCCGCCTGAAGGAGGCCAAGGAAGGGCCGACTGGCTCCAGCACCAACGGGCACTGACACAGCTCCCGGGCTCCCACGGAGTCCCAGGACGAGAGGTCCAAAGCCAGCCCCAGAGCACCAGACCCGGCCCTTCGCGGGGCCACTGCTCGGGCGCTCCCCGGAGCCCCGCGGGTCGCCCGGCCTCACCTGTGTCCCTGGGGGTCGGCCTCGGCCTCGGCCCAAGCGGTGCATGGCTGTGGCCAGAGGCCCGCCAGGCCGAGCTGGGGTCCTCTCGGCCGCCGCCTTCGCCCTCCAGGCGCACATCCGCCCTCGAGAAAGGGCCGCCGTCAGAGGAAGGAGTCAGGAAGGGAAGGAAACTGAGGCGGGGAGCCCAGCGGGGGACGCCCGAGTGGGGAGGGGGACGAGAGAACTTAAGGATGAGAAAAACCTGACAGAGATGAATGGGGGTGTGCAGAGGGACGGGGCGGGGAAGGGGAGCCACCGGGATGTGAAGGGGAAAATGAAAGGCAGACTAAGAGATGGGAAAAAATGCAAGCTGGGGAGGGGAAGACCGAGGGCAGAGGATGCGGGGAGACTGAAGAACACAGAGGTGGAGGGGTCGGGGGAAGAAAGGACAGGCGGGTCCTCAAGTGGAGGCGACGACAGACGGGAACACTGGGGATGCGCGAGGGCAGCGGAGGGGAGGCTGACGGGCGGGGAGATGGGGCGAAGGAGAGGGAGGCTGGGGCCCACCGGGACCCCAAAGGCGGAAGAGAGGAGAGATGGGCGGCCCGAGGAGAGGGGGAGCCGGGAGAGCGCGGATGGAGCGAGGGCTGTTGCTTGGGTGTCCGGTGGTGGAAAGGTGCCTCTCCGCGGTCCGCAGGGCCGAGGGAGGGAGGTTTCCGCAAGGTAGCGGCCCCTTGCACCCCTCGGCCTGCTCCTGCCCAGGCTGCCCGCGTGGGACAAGGCCGCAGTGTTGGGCGCCTGCCGCTGCCGCCTGCCCGCCCGCCCCTGACAAGCGGCCTTTCTTTGGCGGGGCAGAGAGAAGGAGCCGCTTGTTTGCGCGGCCGGGAAACGGGGCGGCCCCCACAGACACCGCCCGTTCCGAGCCTGGCAGCTGCGGGAAGGGCGGCTGAATGTGTGTGAGGGGCCGCGTGTGTGAGCTGGGGCTGCGGTGTGAGCTGGGCTGTGTGTGTGACTGGGGCTGCATGTGTGAGGGGGCTGCATGTGTGAGCTGGGCTGCGTGTGTGAGCTGGGCTGTGTGTGTGGCTGGGGCTGTGTGACGGGCTGCGTGTGTGAGCTGGAGTGTATGTGTGAGCTGGGCTGCGTGTGTCAGCTGGGCTGTGTATTGAGCTGAGCTGTGTGTGTGATAGGCTGTGTGTGTGATGGGCTGTGTGTGTGAGCTGGGCTGTGTGTGTAAGCTGGGCTGTGTGTGTAACTGGGGCTGTGTGTGTGAGCTGGGCTGTGTATTGAGCTGAGCTGTGTGTGTGACGGGCTGCGTGTGTGAGCTGGGCTGTGTGTGTATAACTGGGGCTGTGTGTGTGAGCTGGGCTGTGTGTGTGACGGGCTGCTTGTGTGAGCTGGGCTGTGTGTGTGAGCTGGGCTGTGTGTGTGACGGGCTGCTTGCATGAGCTGGGCTGTGTAACTGGGGCAGTGTGTGTGAGCTGGGCTTCGTGTGTGAGCTGGGGCCTCGTGTTTGACTGGGGTGTGTGTGTGAGAGCTGGGGCTGCGTGTGTGAGCTGGGCTTCGTGTGTGAGCTGGGGCCTCATGTGTGACGGGTACGTGTGTGAGCTGGGTTGTGTGTGTGACTGGGGTGCGTGTGTGAGGTAGGCTGTGTGACTGGGGTGCATGTGTGAGCTGGGGCGCGTGTAAGCGGGGCTGCGGGTGTGAGGGGCTGCGTGAGCGCGGGGCGCTTTCCTGTGAGGCGTAAGGCATGGAGTGCGTGGGAAGGCCTCGGCGTGTGGGCGGGTCCGGGTGTGTCTGGGTGGCGTGACGCAGGGACGTAGGTGTGCGAAGTGTCGCGGAGGCGTGCGTGTGTGCCGCGTGGGAGCCCGGCGTGGTGGGGCGCCTGCGTTTGCGTTTGACGGCTGGGGGGTGAGCCCGCCGCCCGATGAGTCAGCCTCGGGAGGCTCCAGGACCGCTGAGCTAACGGCCCAGAATGCAGCCCCGCCCCAGAGCCGTGGGTCCCCGGCAGGGCTGTGCGGTCGCCCGGCCAAGTCCCCACTCGAGCCTGCCTCGGCGGAAGCGCTAGCGGGCGACTCGGCCACCCTGCGCCGGCGCCCCTACCCAGCCGCCCGCCCGCACTTCCCTATCCCGGGGGAGCCCGGATGACTTGGGTCAGCCTCCGCTCGGGGAACTCCGCTAGGGATTCCAATAGGGACCGCGCGGGCGTGGCAAGGCGCCCCAGGCGGCCTCCCCGGCCCCCGAGGACGTGGGGCCTTGGGGAGTGCCTGGGAGGCCCCAGGCGGGCTTCCCATCTCCTGGACACCCCCAGGCAGCCCTCCTAGACGCTCAAGACTCTGAGCCGGACTCCGAATCCCTTCCTGGTCCATCAAGGCGGCCGGCCTGGGGACAGGCGGGGAGACGTCACAGGAGATACCCCCGCCCCAAGGTCCTGCTGTGGGCGGAGAGGGGGAGGTGTGGGGCGCTGGAGGACGAAAACCCGCGCGCGCGCTCGCCGCCCGATACCCCGCGAGTGTCCGCCCGGCCGCCTGGGTGCCGGCGGGAGAGTCTGGATAGGGCCAGGATCAGAGTTTCTCCAAGGGGGGGAGAGCGTCACGGCCCCCTCTGGCGGTGGCGTTGGCAGCGGCCGAGGAAGGCAAAAGCAAGAGGCTCACAGGAAAACTCCCCATAACGCTCCTTTCGCCCCCACGCACTCACCTGGGGTGCCCTCTCTCCCCCACGGGTTTCTGCCGAGCTCCCTAGCCTAGAGCTGATCTCAGGGCTCTCGCCAGGCCCCGGGGACTTCCCCTTATCCAGTCCTAGCACCGCAGCGAATGGGACCCGCAAGTGTAGTGGGACGGGGCGCTCTTACCTAGAGGTGGGGGGGGGGCAGGGAGACACTGGTCCCTTAGCCTGGCTCGGCTCGGTCGCGGTGGCCTCAGGCTTAGGAGGACACCGTTGCTTTTCCCCGGGAGCTCGCTAAGTAGGAGGAGAGCGAGCCTGTCCCGCCCCCCTCCCGCCAGTCCCCGCCCCCGTCCCCCGTCCCGTCCGCCTGGCCAGCCAAAGAAGACGCCCTTGTGGGGCTGGAGCCCAAGGTCCCCCCACCCACCCTTTCCCACAGCAGCACCTCCCCCAGCCTGCACAGCGCCCGCTTTGTTCATCTTTGCAGCTGGGCTCTCCACCATCACCACCACCACCACCACCACCACCACCACCACCACCACCACCACCACCACCACCACACATCCCCCTCTCCTCCCACCCTGCCCTCCCGACTCTCCTAGACCACCCTCCACTCCCAGGCTTTAACACGCTTTTGAGAGGGTGTTTTTGACAATCCGTTCTCCCTCCCCCAAACTCTCCCCTCTTTCTTTTTGCCTTAGATGCCTGAAACCTCCACGGGCTCCCACTGAACCTCCCAAATCGAAGCCCCTACAACATGCTCTCAACATCTCCAGAACATCTACTGAGGGTACCCAGGTCTTCTCCCTGTCACCTCCTCCCCTCGCCCTATTCCAAGCCCCACCATGAAGAGCTGTAAATGACATTGATAGCCACGCACATCAGGCTTCACAGACTTTCTTAAGGATAGGCACAAGAAGACTCGTTAAAGTGTCATGCAAACTCCAAAGCACAGGAAAACCGAATGGAATTATCATCTTGCCCCCATGGAGCTCCACACCCCTCCACCCCGACAGACTTGCTGGATTACAGATTGGGAGATGGAGGCAGGCTATAGACATACAATTGAGCACACCAACCTGTAGTAGGAGTGGGAGTTAATAAGGAAGAGAAGGAGGCACTAAACACCTAAAAGCAGCCCCCAAATTGAGCTAGGTTGAAGTCATTCTCCATCTCAACCTCCACTCCGAAATCCAACGCTGACAGTGGATCCTTACCTTGCAAAGCCAGCTCTTGGTCCAGGAGACTGGCTGGGGAGGCCCTAGGGAGCTGAACTCAGCTGGACTGGACTTCTTTGACCTGCACTAGAGGGACCCTGGAGACTCTTCTTCACTGAAGGAAGGAGCAGAAAGCCTGTAAGTCTGGTCTAAATTCCAGCTGGGGTGGATAGCAAAAAATAATTTATCCTCTTTGAGATGGACAAGTGCTGTTCTAATTCAATGAGTTTAGTTTGTGCCGTCTCTCCCTAACCCAGGAACAGCAGGAGGCTGAACTACAGGAATCTCTGGTCACTCATTGACAGGGCTGGCCTTAGCAGGGGACCCCCCACGGCTGGAGACTGAAGCTGACCGGGGCCAAGCAGCAGACAAGGAGGGGGAGGGGAGAGGCCGCCCTTTGCTGCCACCTGCTATAGCTAATGGAGGTGGAACACTCAAGATCCAGAATATGCTGTGGGTACCAGGAAGTCCTAGGATTTGAGGAGCGAGACTCTAGTTTTTCCTCTCTTCATACTGTTTGAAGTCATGAAAGTAATTCTGATGAACCTTCATGAGGCAGATCACAACAGTAATATTCAGGCTATTTGGGTATGTAAAAAAAGGAAGAAGGAAAAAACCCAAACTGTTGTATCCCATGTGCCAAGACCCAGCACTGAGGGGAGGGGTCCAGATTGCAGTACCTCAGAGGCTTTTCACTTCATTCTGTTTCACGGCCCCCAGCTCCTCTTTACTGTACTGGGCAGGAGGAATTTCAGGGAATAATCAAGCCTGCCATGGAGGCAGTGGATGCTGAGGCAGAGGGTCGAAACAGCACCCAACTTCTCTCACTGACCTCCCAACACAGGGACCAGCTGACCCTATGATAAAGGCGCTGTGCAATGTGTCCTCTCCCCTGCTGTGTCAGGCCTCTATGTTCCCACAGTTAGAGCACTCAGGGGACTAAAGACCTACCGCCCCCACTCTCCATCTCCGCCCTGCTCCACATCTGGAGCCCATCAAAAAACTCAGCGCTCTCTCACAGTTACGCAAGAGGTCGAGCAGCTGGGAGCTCAGGAAAGGGGGAGGAAGAGAGGGAAAGAAAGCAGAAAACAGCTTTCCAGGCCTGCTTCAGACTTTCCGAAGTGGAAGCAGGGGGAGAGGGCAAAGCCTGGGTGTGGAAGGAAGAGTGGATTTTTCTAAGGCCCTTTGCATTGGCTACAAGTGTCAGGAGTGAATTTCCATACTCCTGCTTTTGCCTTGGCACATTCCCCACTTTGTCCCACCTCTCAAATTGTACTCCCTCTAGCCCCAGAGAGGTGATTATTGCTCATACAGCAAGCAATCCTTGTAGATACACACCCTCTTCCAGAAAGCTGTCCGTTTCTGGCCTCTGGATCCTGAAGTCAGGCATCATTGGTGTAGGCGTGGTGGTAGCAATGACCCTGCAGCAACTTGGGGAAAAGTTCAAAGCTCTCTTTTCAGCTGTCTTAGAAATTGCATAGTCTGCTTCGACCCAAAGCTAACATGCATCCAAGCTAAGTGGGAAATTTGGGTAGGACAGAAGACTGGTCTTGTGTACCTCCAAGGCTAAGGGCTTTCCTAATGAGCTAAAAGAACAAGCATTCATTTGGGCAAAAGAATGGGAGACAAGACCTATTTCAATTTCTCTCATTGTCTTGAATTTCTAATGCTTCTTTCAAACAGCCCCTGTCCTGGTTTGGTAATCAATCTGATCACCCAGAGTAAACCTAGGGAAGCTTTCCAGTATTGGTTTAGACCCTAAATAACCACTTAGCCCCTGCCCTAAGAACAGCAGGGCAAAAAAACTGCGGTGGGGGATGGGAGAAGTGGTCCAAGCTTCTGAAAACTGCCTAATAGCTTGACTTGTGATTGTGAGAGGGAAAACAGCCTGGTTTGGAAAGATAGTCTAATTTTTCTAAAGGCCTACCTCCGTATCAATCCCCAACTCCCCAGGATAAGACGTTAAGGCAGCTATTTGTAGTGTTGCTGTCTGCCCTTGGGTAACAGCAATGCACAGCAACCAACCTACTTGTGGATCTTCTAGGACAAGGGAATTGGGGGTAAGGGGGTTGTAATAAGACAGATGTGCATAGCAAAAGAAAATCATTTGTGAGGTTTTGCTTGAGATTCCTCTAGAGCCTACAAGACAGAAGCCATGTTACCTACTCTCATATAGATCCATGTTTAGTACTAGCTGTAGTTAACACTTGTCTAACTTGGAAAAAAAAAGGCTTCACAAGCAGATAGTCATTGCTTCCAGTTAGACTTTAATCTTCTTGAGGATGACTTTTTCCATTTTTCTCCTGTCTCCTTCCAATAAGCCCTGTCAGATGTGAAGTTTAATAAAAAGCTATTCTATATCAACCCTGGAAATCTCAGACCCTAGCCAGTGTGAACAACTTTAAAACTGTTCACAATTTAAAAATTAATTGGAGGGCAAAGTTTCCCATCAGAGATGCATGGGTTGACAAATTTGAAGCTATGGTGAGTAAAGGAATGACAGACCTTAATCATTTCATTCGATTAAGGCTACAGTCTCAGACAGCTAAGCCACACTTGAGCAACATTAGACCAGATACTTTTTTTCACCAAGAAAAAAAAAATCAGAATCTTGGCTTTCAACATTAGAAATTTCTCATCCCAGATACTTAATAAGTGAGAATAATTTGCCTTCCAATTTTTTGACACCCAATAGTTTTTCCAAGTTAAATTTTAAAAAAGCATAAGAAAGTAAGCAGCTCTGGCGGAGCGCGGTGGCTCAGGCCTATAATCCCAGCACTTTGGGAGGCTGAGGCGGGCGGATCACGAGGTCAGGAGTTTGAGACCAGTCTGACCAACATGGTGAAACCGTCTCTACTAAAAATACAAAAATTAGCCGGGGGTGGTGGTGTGGAATGCCTGTAATCCCAGCTACTCAGGAGGCTGAGGCAGGAGAATCACTTGAACCCTGGAGGTGGAGGTTGTGGTGAGCCGAAATCATGTCACTGCACTGCAGCCTGGTGACTGTCTCAAAAAAAAAAAAAAAAAAGGCTGGGCGCGGTGGCTCACGCCTGTAATCCAGCACTTTGGGAGGCAGAGGTGGGCGAATCATCTGAGACCAGGAGTTCAAGACCAGCCTGACCAACATGGTGAAACCGTCTCTACGAAAATACAAAAAAAATTAGCCCGGCATGATGGCGGGTGACTGTAATCCCAGCTACTCTGGAGGCTGAGGCAGGAGAATCGCTTGAAGCTGGGCGACCGTGGTTGCAGCGAGCTGAGATCGCACCACCACACTCCAACCTGGGCAGCTAAGCGAGACTCCATCTCAAAAAAAAAAAGTAAGCAGGTTTATCTGAGGGAATTATCAACAGTTCCCAAAAATTGTTCCCATTATCCCTCATCCCTGGATCACTTCTCATCACGGTCTAATGGGGAAGAGAAGACTCCAAGACTCCAAGATTAAAGATGAAGCCTGACTTTTTTGACTCTCCAACTGCCGTCTGACAAAATTAAGACTCCAATCCCCAAAAAGGCCAGAAGTAGCATCAAATTCAAAAGCTACACTGTCAGGAGTGCATGTATCAAATGTAGAAAAATACGCAAGGAAGCACAATACATATAAGATGGAAAAAGGCAATGAATACTCTCACAGATTACTTTCTCTTAAAAAAAACATGTCATTAATTTTTAATGTTAGGTCCCATTACAGCATCCTGAATCAACAAGCAGACACCAAAGTGAGTCAATAATCCAATAAACATCTCATTTTATAATGCGCTTTATTTGATTAAAGAATTTGCCTTCTTTGTATACACTGGAATGTTATATTCCCTATGTATTTTACAGGGTTACAAAATGTCTCTCATTTTAAATATTACCCCAAAAGTAATCTCAGAAAAAAAAGGTTTTTTGAAATTAAACTTGACTTTTAAAAAATCATACGGACAAACAACTTTCAAACAAAACTGGATTAGTAGGATTTCTTGCCTGCTTAACTAACATGACAGACTTCTTGTCCCAAGCCCTTCTCAGAAAAACCTCATGTGGAAACCAAGCTAGAGATAAGAATTCTTCCCTGATGCAGTTAGGGGAAAGGGAAAGGCTAGAAACTTCTTTGGCAAGCAATTCCACACACAGCCATTTATGTGTGAGTGCTCTGCTTCAAGCACAGTACACTCTTTGCAGGGACGGCCAGATGTTCAGAGTGGGAGTGGTACTTTTCAACCAGCTAAAAGTGCAGAAGTCATCTAGTCGTCTGCCTCTTCCCACTGCCAGTGCCTGCAGCCTTGCAGCAACTTTTAACCACCCCTATGGACTGGAATATTGAGTTAAAAGCCAAGGCTGAGCTGGCTGACGCTGTAGTCTCCATTGAAAAGGAAATGGATGAGATGGAACCGAGAAACCACCAGTACATGATGACACTCAAAAGACTTAGGGGGAAAGAGAAGGAAGGATTTCAGAGATGGGGACAGACTGGTGGAAAATGTTGGGCTGACTGGAAGGAAATGGGGTATACGTGAGTAATATGTACATATCGAAACAATCAGTTGCCTCCTGAAATGCAAAAAATCAAATGGTGAAATGGAGCCTCCTTGATAGTTTAGGGCCAACAGGATTGGCAAAGACTCCCTGAACCCACAGCCTTCAAAATCATAACCCCATTTCTGTTAGAAAGGAGGGGACTGATGACAGAGAGTGCAGTCTGGAAGAGGGAGGTGGTGAAACTGAGGAATGTGAATGGATTACAGACTGTGGCCATTACGTTTTAGCTTAAGTACCCAAAATGTGGAGAAATGAAAATTTGGGTAGCAACAGCAGCAGACATGATTACATGTGGATGTGAAATCCCTAACTGGACAGACATAACCATTCTTTTAGACATCTTGAAGAGGGACTGTGCCATTTGAAAGGTGCTTCTCAGCTATCTTTAATATTGACACAAGTGGGATTCATGGTACTGTTCTAAACTGGAAGGACAGGCCCTGAAAGGAAAACAACTTGGCAAAGAGATGAAGGAATGAATTGATACGGGAAAAGAACAGAAGACATGCGTATCTTTTAACTTCTAGACCCCATACCCCTCAAATAGTTCACCTGAATAGTCCAAAAATCAAGAATGGGTTAGATATACTTGTTCCAGGAGTGCCAAATAAATATAATGCCTGTAAACAGATGATCCCAGTGCCTGACTGAATGTATAGAAAGAAAAACCTAAAGGTAAAGGGTATGAATGATTAAAATTTTCTACAGAGAAAACTTTTTAAAAACAAACTAAGTATGAAATATAACTATATTTAGGGATTATATTTAGGGATTAAAATAAAGGAGCAGCTGGGCATGGTGGCTCATGCCTGTAATCCCAACACTTTGGGAGGCTGAGGTGGGCGGATTGCCTGAGCTCAGGAGTTCGCGACCAGCCTGGGCAACACGGTGAAACCCCGTCTCTACTAAAATACAAAAAATTAGCCAGGCGTGGTGGCGTGCACCTGTAGTCCCAGCTACTCGGAGGCTGAGGCAGGAGACTTGCTTGAACCCAGGAGGCGGAGGTTGCAGTGAGCTGAGATCATGCCATTGCATTCCAGCCTGGGTTACAAAGTGAGACTCCATCTCAAAAAATAATAATAATAATAATAATAATAATAAAATAAAAATAAAGGAGCAACTTAGGTAAAGGTAGAGGAGGTATTTAACTGGGGGCATTCTCTGGAGAGCTTGCTTTCCTGCTGGCCAATACAATCTGCCAAAGAAAATTAGCAGCCTTTCCCTTTATGTTTGTGCCATTTCCTTATCAAAGAATGTCTCTGTGACACTGAAACATGGGGGTGAGTCGAGGGTCCTTGCGCGCAGAGAATCGTGCATTGTATCAGAAAAAAGGGGTCTCCAGTGGCTTGTAAATCTGGGAAAAACTCTTCAGCCATCATTGGCGTCTTCTTTATTAATCTGAAAATTTTCCTTTTCAGCTCCCTCTTCTTGGTATTACAGAATTTCATACTTATCCACTAGGAAAGTGGTCTCTGTGGAAAACCTGACGGGGCTGTTTCCATCTACCTGGGTCACTTTGGTAACCTAGGAAAATAAACAAAGAGTAAGGTAAAGCAGGAGGTTTGAGTCTCCATCATGTTGACTACATTCTCATTACAGAACATATCAATTTCCCTAAAAGCGGTATTAAAAGTAACTGTAAAATACTAGAAAAATGTTCAATTCACAACTGAAAGTCACAGCATCACTCTTCCCCACCAAAATGATTAAGCTGCTTTTCTTCTAGATGGAGAAAAGACAACTGTTGGGACGAGATGTTCCGTAGTATTAAGTAAAAGCTCCAAAATGAGTGGCCACAGCCCAGCCCTGCCCTGTATAACCTATGAAATTCATAGACATTCTATCAGGATGATATATTAACATTCTGACCCAAAAGGCAACGTTCTAGCTCTTCACATTATTCATTTGCTCTGCTCTCAAAGTCTCGTGTTAAAAGTCCCAGTAAGCTGCTCTATCATACTTATTTTTTAGGCATGGCTGGTCCAATGAGGTTTTTCCTTTTTAAATAAATAAATGTCCAGCTTAATTAATTACATGTAACAATGGTACCTATAACGGCACCAATACAACACTTGAACCACTGATTCGTATTTTCTAATGAAGTTTTGGGAGAGCAATTATAATGTCCTAATCTTTGAATAGCCCCAATAGGAAAATTTACCCATTTCTATCTAATGTCTTGAGTTCAATACAGTTGCTTCCAACACTGATGGGGTTATGTCACTAACAGGATAGGGAGAGAGAACTGCTCTTTGGAATCATTCAAGGGAGGAAGCTGCAATTTTCTAAGCATTTACAGGGGAGACGGAGACCATATGGGAAGCTAAGGTAGGGCCAGAACAACAAGCAAGTCAAAAAGAGGGGAATATTAATAATATAAACTGGGTCCTAGTAATGCAAATTAAAAAACTGGAAGAACAGCCAGACGTGGAAGCTCACTCCTGTAATCCCAGCACTTTGGGAAGCCGAGGTGGGCGGATCATCTGAGGTCAGGAGTTAGAGACCAGCCTGGCCAACATGGTGAAACCCCATCTCTACTAAAAATACAAAAAAAAATTAGCTGGGTGTGGCAGTACACGCCTGTAGTCCCAGCTACTTGGGAGGCTGAGGCAGGAGAATCACTTGAACCTGGGAGGCAGAGGCTGCAGTGAGCTGAGATCGCACTGCACTCCAGCCTTGGTGACAGAGCAAGACTCCGTCTCAAAACAACAACAACAATAAAAACTGGAAGAATGATGAGTTAAAAAATAATGATCCGGGCCGAGCGCGGTGACTCGCGCCTGTAATCCTAGCACTTTGGGAGGCCGAGGTGGCTGGATCACGAGGTCAAGAGTTTGAGACCAGCCTGGCCAACATGGTGAAATACCGTCTTTACTAAAAATACAAAAATCAGACAGGCGTGGTGGCGCATGCCGGTAGTCCCAGCTACTCAGGAGGATGAGGCAGGAGAATCGCTTGAACCTGGGAGGCAGAGGTTGCAGTGAACCAACATCACGCCATTGCACTCCAGCCTGGGCAACAAGAGTGAAACTCCGTCTTAAAAAAAAAAAAAATCCGCCAGGCGTGGTAGTTCACGCCTGTAATCTCAGCACTTTGGGAGGCTGAGGTGGGCGGATCACCTCAGGTCAGGATTTCGAGACCAGCCTGACCGATATGGTGAAACCCTGTCTCTACTAAAAATACAAAAATTAGCCAGGCATGGTGGCAGGCGCATGTAATCTCAGCTACTGGGGAGGCTGAGACAGAATTGCTTGAACCCGGGAGGCAGAGGTTGCAGTGGGCCGAGATCATGTCACTGCACTCCAGCCTGGGCAACAGAGCAAGACTCCGTCTCAGAAAAAAAGGAAAAAAATCCATTGGGCACTGTGGCTCACACTTGTAATCCCATCACTTTGGGAGGCTGAGGCGGGTAGATCACCTGAGGTCGGGAGTTCAAGACCAGCCTGACCAACATGGAGAAACCCCGTCTCTACCAAATATACAAAAATTAGCAGGGCATGGTGGCGCATTCCTGTATTTCCAGCTACTTGGGAGGCTGAGGCAAGAGAATTGTTTGAACCTGGGAGGCGGAGGTTGCGGTGAGCTGACAGCGCGCCATTGCACTCCAGCCTGGGTGAAAAGAGCAAAACTCCATCTCAAAAAAAAAAAAAAAAAAAAAAATCCGAAGGAACAGCTCACACATCTCCATTGCTTTGCCTACCTAAAGGACAGAGTTTGCAACAGAATTGGCTCATGATTATTTGTACTAATAAAGGGAGCTGTGACATAAATAACCCTCAAATAATTTCCATTTGTAATAGAATGGATTTTTTTTTTGTAGTAATTTTGTCTTCTAAATAAAACAATTTCATTCTTTGGGTATAAATCAAGTGACAGCAAGGCCTTAAAAAAACCATGTGTTGGGGTGTTTTGGCAAATCGACTTTAAAATATATAAGGTTAAAAAAAAACAGGCAACTAAGTGTTTATGAATCTTGCATAATCCACAAGTACTTTTATCTGTATTAACATTCCATTTCTTTACTTTGTCTGATCTAGAGAGGAAAACTGAGGTAAAGCAATAAAAGAATTTGACCACGATCATACAATGAATTAGAAAGGGAATTCCTGTAGGAGACATCAGTTTTTTTCTGAGCTTTATCTGACCACAAAAAGCCATGCTACCTGTCTGGCATCCTATACGTGTTCCTACTGTCCTACCACTTTCCCTATATATGTTCTCAACTAAAATGGAGTACCTGTATGTTACAGTAATTTTTCTTGGAGACAAAGGAAACTTGAACAGGGAAGAAGTCATTGGGCTGCCCAGCAATGCTAAACTCCAGGCTGCCACTCTTATTTTTGGCATCAATCACAGGCAGGCACCACTCCAGGGTATTTCGTCGACTGTCATGTCGATACTCCCCATCGATCTCACCGATAACAGGCGCGCCGACACCAGACCTGTTGTGAGAAACATTCTGGTCAAGGTAGCTGTTCAGAGCTAGAACTCCACCACGGAAAACCAACCCCAAATTTGATATATGATCCCCAAATTTTGCCTTCTAGGACTACAATTTCAGGGGAAAAAAAGGCTAATAACTTCAAGGATCAAACGATGAAGTCCTAGCACCTTGGGCTAAGAGTTTCACTCAATTCCCTCTGTAGATATAGTTAATATGCAAAAATAGGTATTTGGCAGATATGCCTATGGGCTGCTCCAACTTAAGGACTAGATCTGGGGACTGCGACCAACAGATGTGTTAAGATGGCTATGTTTCCAAAAACCCTGCACCAATAGGTTGCTGCCCTATAAATAAGGAATTTTAACATAATGTAGCACTCTTTATAGGAGACAATGGGGAAACAAGCAGATTGATAATAGTGGGGGAAAACTCTAAACATCAATAGTGGAGATGAATGGAGGCCTTTGAGAGAATTTGTTTTCTTGTTCATTTGTTTTTTGAGACAGAGTCTTGCTCTGTCGCCAGGCTGGAGTACAGTGGCGTGATCTCAGCTCACTGCAACCTCCGCCTCCCCAGTTCAAGCGATTCTCCTGCCTCAGCCTCCCAAGTTGCTGGGACTACAGGCGTGTGCCGCCACGCCCAGCTAATTTTTGTATTTTTAGTAGAGGCGGGGTTTCACCATGCGGGCCAGGATGGTCTCATCTCCTGACCCCGTGATCCACTTGCCTCGGCCTCCCAAAGTGCTGAGATTACAGGCATGAGCCACCGCACCCGGCCGAGAATTTGTTTTTAAAGATTTCAGAATGTTTCAAACTTATTGAAGTTGACACCAATGGGTTTATTTGATTTACAATCCAGTAAATGGACTTTTATTTGATAAGTGAAAGCACAATTACCCCTGGGGCAAAATGGAAACATGATGGGAGAAACAGATCCGTAGTTGTCCTTAATCTGCGAGAGAAGCAGGGCTAGTTAAGATTTACTCTGCACCCCTACACACGGCTGACAGGCAGTGTCACCTACTCCTACACATTCTAAATTTACCAGCTTTTAATTCACCAGTGACACTCAATGTTTATATTAGGGATAGGGTAAATAAGGGAGACAAAGTAAACTTTAAGGGTGGCATAAGACTATTAACTCTTCCCTATCAATTTCAGGGTCCTGGTTCTTTTATGTTCCTTCTCTGTGCCCTTGCTCTAATTCTGATTCTGATCTCTTCTAATTTGATCAGTTCTAGACAACGGGAGTAAAATGTTGTGTAAGGGTCTCTTCTGGAGACCATTGCAAAACTGAACTAGAATACAGGAAACCACCACAACCACAATTATAGGGTAGACAGGCCTCAAAATTGTAGCATTCTATAAATAGTCTAGTAAACTAAATCTTGACAAACAAAACTCTACCTGTCACCAACACCCAAGTCCTACAACAGTTCAAGGCAGCCATCTATTGTTCTGAAGCAATAACCATACTGTAGAGGATAAGATGGTTACCCATTAAAGGGGATACTGGTAATAAAGTATATTTTTAAAATTGGAAACAAGAATGACTAAAACCAGACCTGATAATGTAAAGGCTTGAATTATCAAAAAGGGAAGAAAACTATGAATTAAATTAGTACTTTTTTTTTTTTTTGAGACGGAATCTCGCTCTGTCACCCAGGCTGGAGTGCAGTGGCGCGATCTCAGCTCACTGCAAGCTCCGCCTCCCGGCTTCACACCATTCTCCTGCCTCAGCCTCCGGAGTAGCTGGAACTACAGGCGCCCGCCACCAGGCCCAGCTAATTTTTTGTATTTTTAGTAGAGACGGGGTTTCACTGTGTTAGCCAAGATGGTCTCGATCTCCTGACCTCGTGATCCGCCCGCCTCGGCCTCCCAAAGTGCTGGGATTACAGGCGTGAGCCACTGCGCCTGGCAAATTAGTACCATTTTCTCTGCAGCAATAACTGAGCGACATAACAGTAAAGATACACTAAGAATACACTTACTGGTGCTCATAATTAAACATTGTGCTTAATCATGAGGGCTGATGGGTAGGTGAAAGGAGCTAGGATTTACTGTGAAGTAATAACTGCATGCTCACTGTAAATGTTACTAAAAAGATAAGGTAGAGACCATTTCCAGTTGATCCTAGATAGTGGGCCATTTAAGTGTACAACAAAAGCTTATTGGAACTCAACTTCTGGGGTTGACATGACATTTTTGTTATCTTGATTATGGTGGTGGTTTCACAAGTGTAAACATGTCAAGATTATACAATTAAAATATGTGTAGTTTATTGTATATAAATTATGCTCCAAAAGGGCTGTTAGGAAATTTACTGTAACTAATGTAGACATCTTGTTCAACAAGAATCAACAGTTCCCTTGAACACACTCTCATCTTTAGTGAAAGTTTAGAGACTAGCACGTGAAAATGAAACATTCAGCCCGATAGACTCAATTTCTTTGAAACCTGCAAAACAGAAAGTTTGACTGACAAATGGCTCCTCCTTCTGGAAATCTTCATTACTACACAAACAAGCTGAGGACCAACATCTAAAAACAGCTCCAGGCCAGGTGCAGTGGCTCACGCCTGTAATCCCAGCACTTTGGGAAGCCAAGGCAGGTGGATCATTTTGAGGACAGGAGTTTGAGACCAGCCTGGCCAACATAGTGAAACCCCATCTCTATTAAAAATACAAAAATTAACTGGGCGTGGTGGCACACGCCTGTAATCCCAGCTACTTGGGAGACTGAGGCACGAGAATCGCTTGAACCTGGGAGGTGGAGGTTGCAGTAAGCCAAGGTTGCACCACTGCACTGCAGCCTGGCTGACAGAGTGAGACTGTCTCAAAAAAATAAAAATAAAAATAGCCAGGTGCGGTGGCTCACGCCCATAATCCCAGCACTTTGGGAGGCCAAGGCGGGCAGATCATCTAAGGTCAGGAGTTTGAGACCAGCCTGGCCAACATGGTGAAACCCCGTCTCTACTAATAATACAAAAATTATCTGGGCATGATGGCACATGCCTGTAACCCCAGTTACTCGGGAGGCTGAGGCAGGAGAATCACTTGAACCTAGGTGGTGGAGGTTGCAGTGAGCCGAGATCACATCATTGCACTCCAGCCTGGGCAACAAGAGTGAAACTCAGTCTCCAATAAAAATAAAAAATAAATAAATAAATAAAAACAGCTCCAGATCTACAACTGGCTTGTTCAATTTGGTTTTAAAGTCAGTAAAATCCATCCCTTCCAAGTGCTCAATGTATTTCAACAAGTGTATGCAGTAAGCACCACCACAATCAAGTCACAGAGCAATTCTTGGCTGGGTGTGGTGGCTCACGCTTATAATCCCAGCACTTTGGGAGGCCGAGGCGGGCAGATCACTTGAGCTCAGGAGTTTGAGATCAGCCTGCACAACACAGCAAAACTCCGTCCCTACAAATAATACAAAAATTAGCCAAGCGTGGTGGTGTGCGCCTGTAGTCCCAGCTACTCGGGAGGGTGAGGCAGGAGGATAGCCTGGGCCTGGGAGGTGGAGGGTGCAGTGAGCTGAGATCGTGCCAGTGACCTCCAGTGACAGAGTGAGACTCTGTCTCAAAAAAACAATTTCCTTGCTTTACTTATTTATAAATATGAAATGTTTCATAACTTACATG
Source organism: Homo sapiens (assembly GCF_000001405.40). Taxonomy (NCBI): domain Eukaryota; kingdom Metazoa; phylum Chordata; class Mammalia; order Primates; family Hominidae; genus Homo; species Homo sapiens. Next base: position 118,594,063 of record NC_000011.10, on the reverse strand, counting down.
TCAGCCTTGCACAGGGCCCATGCTAATCTTCTCTGTATGGTTCCAATTTTAGTACCTGTGCTGCCAAAGCAAACACAAGTCCTAGAACATTCCTATCATTCCCAAAAGTTCCCTTGTGCCCCTCTGAAGTGAAGTACCTTCTTCTCTACCTCCTCATTTTTATTCAATAGTATTACCTTTTCCAGAAAGACAAAGAAGTGGAATCACATAACATGCAGCCTTTTGTATCTGGCTTCTTTCACAACTAGCTTTTTAAAGAAGTATCTTTGAATGGACAGTCAGGTCAGGTAGGTGCTGACTCCAAAATGAGTTCCAAAAGACCAGTTCTCTAAGTCCACCGTAGAGGACACAGGGACAGCACTTACGGGAGTGGGATGGTGATAACCACATCATTCAGTTCTAAATTATCTTCTTGTAGCTCATATTCTATGTTGACATCACAGCCATTTCCACTCTCCGAGGGCCAGCAATTAACTGAGGAGAAAGCAAAGCAGTCATACTAGAATATTAGAAAAAGATGGCTGGGTGCAGTGGCTCATGCCTGTAACCCCAGCGCTTTAGAGGACCAAGGTGGTAGGATCGAGGTGGGAGGATTGGTTGAGGCCATGAGTTCAAGACCAGCCTAGGCAACAAAGTGAGACTCCACCTATACCAAAAAAAAAAAAAAAAAAAGCCAGGCGTGGTGGCACTTCCCTGTTCTCCTAGCTACTCAGGAGGCTGAGGTGGGAGATCAGCTGAACCCAGGAGTTCAAGGTTGTAATGAGCCATGATCACACCACTGCACTCCAGCCTGGGTGACAGAGGGAGTTTGTGTCTTTTAAAAAAAGTTAGCTGGATGTGGTGGCATGTGCCTATAGTCCTAGTCCCAGCTACTAAAGAGGCTGAGGCAGGAGGATGGCTTGAGTCCAGGAGTTTGATGCTGCAGTGAGCTATGATTGCCCCACTGCACTCCAGCCTGGGCAACAGAAGAAGACCTTGTCTCTAAAACAATAACAACAACAAAACTACAATGGTTTCAAAATGAAAGCTATTAAAAATGAAAACTAATGATAAAAATATACAAAATGCAGCACCAGGTCCATTTCAAAAGAAAGTCATTTTGTCAGAAAGAACTTTGCTATGGTAATAAAAATAAAAGTGTACCAGCAAGGGCTATTTCTAGTTCTCAATGCAAACTAGCTTAGTGGGACTGGCCAGAGGCACTTACTTGTCAGTGGAATAAAAGATTCCTCTGTGGTTTGTAGTCTCCACTTTAGCACCCCTACGTCACTGTTGACTGGAAATGACTTCTCTGGATTCTTCAGGCCAATTAGAGACTCTGCAGTGAAAAGTTTTTTATCCACATTTGGATGGGTCTAGAATGAGAGGGAAAGGAAAACTCCTGAGGTTCAGATAGACGAGAAACAACCCCTCACTAGGCTTATATGGCCCACAATCTAAACATCCAAAATAGAGTACCTAACAAATTCCAATTCTTTTTCATTTTGAAGAAAGATTTCCCTTCTTCAAAGACTTATTTTAAAATGATTTAAGATACTTAAAAACTAGTAATTTTTTAAAAAAAAAGCTAATTTCAACTCTAAAAGCCATTACAGAACAAGTTTGCACCTGAAAAAGTTAAAAGACTATTAACCAAGTTCTTTCCAAAAATACTTCACAGGGAGCAGGTTCATGGTGGGGCCAGGTTTGCCAAGCAGAAGGCTCCAGTAAGACCCTGATCAGCTGCCTGGGTCAGACAGCAGTTCTGGCCTTATATAAAGTAGCAGAAAAGGGCAAGCTCTGTGTAAAGTCTAGTTGCAATTTTGCCTAGAGACTTAAAGTTGTTAAAATCCAAGCCAATTAAGATAGTCTTATCTTTTTAAAAGAAATTGCTTTTGGGGAGGCTGAGGTGAGAGGGGCATTGAAGGTCAGGAGTTTGACATCAGCCTGGCCAACATGGCAAAACCCTATCTCTATTAAAAATACAAAAGTTAGCTGGGGCTGGACATGGTGGCGCACGCCTGTAATCCCACCTACTCGAGAGGCTGAGGCAGGAGAATGGCTTGAACCCGGGAGGCAGAGGTTGCGGTGAGCCGAGATCACACCATTGCACTCCAACCTGGGCAGGAAGAGTGAAACTCCGTCTCAAAAAATAAAAAATAAATAAATAAATAAATAAATAAATAGCTGGGTGTGGTGGTGCACACCTATAGTTCCAGCTACTATGGAGGCTGAAGAGGAAGCATTGCTTGAGCCTAGGAGGTTAAGGCTGCAGCGAGCCAAGGTTGTGCTGCTGCACTCCAGCCCGCATGACAGAGAGAGACTGTGCAAAAACAAAAAAAAAAACAAAAAAAAGAACAAAAAAACAAGACAAAAACAAAAAAAACCCAGAAGGGCTGGGCATGGTGGCTCATGACTACAATCCCAACACTTTGGGATGATGAGGTGGGCGAATCATGAGGTCAAGAGTTCGAGACCAGCTTGGCCAACATGGTGAAACCCCATCTTTACTAAAAATAAAAAAAATTAGCTGGGCATGGTGGCAGGTGCCTGTAATCCCAGCTACTCAGCAGGCTGAGGCAGGAGAACTGCTTCAACTGGGGAGGCAGAAGTTGCAGTGAACCAAGATCGTACCACAGAACTCCAGCTTGGGCAACAGAGAGAGACTCCATCTCAGGAAAACAAAACAAAACAAAACAAAACAGAAATCACTTTTGGATAGCACTTTACAAGCCAGCAAAAATGTCAAATAATATAAGCACTGCTTCCAAAAGACAATTCTGTGCTGACTACGGTGGGGAAAGTAGACAAAAACACTCTTCCGTAAAAAGGCTTTGTTCTTGTGACGAGATGTCGGCTAAATGAAATGAAATTACAAGAACACCTGTAACATAAAGCAGGGCTTATATATATCTATCCAATAGTTGGAACACACACACTTATATTGAAAGGATTTTATGTACTTTTCAAATACACCATTAGATACTGCCCTTCAGTTAACAAAACAAGCACTGGCAGTTTATTTAATAGCAGAATGAGTAAATTTCGCATTGTGCCACCACGCCTGGCTAATTTTTTAAGTTTTTGTAGAGATAGGGTCTTGTTGCTCAGCCCTCATTGCTCAGGCTGTTCTTGAACTCCTGGGCTCAAGCGATCCTTCAGCCTCAGCCTCTCAGAGTGCTGGTATTATAGGCATGAGCCACCACACTTGGCCTAAAGCCTTGTTTTTTTAAAACTGTATTTCAAGCAAGATCCTAAGTGATTAATTTACTGTTTTCATAACAGCAAAAGACAAACACCTCCTTGTACCTTTTATTGGTGAGTATGAAGTCATTTATTAGATTTCGAAATGACCTTTTATTCAATTCCAATATTTAAAAGCCATCCTTACACAGCTGCTTTACTCACTCTCAGGTAGCTACTGTATGCAATATATTAACTTCTTTCCTAAGCGTTTAGAGTGATGCTAGTTATATAACTTAAGTAATTTTCTGTGGTTCATATTGGGAACTCTAGTTGAGAAAGACTATAATAGGTAGACAAAGTGTTAATACTCCCTATCAAAAGCTTCTACACACCTGTAGCTGCACCCCTTTCTTATCTTCATTTTCCACATGAAGACGAATTCGGCCATACTTGTCATCTGAGATCCTAAGCATGATCATGCCATGCAACTCCATATTCTGTAATCCTCCGTCTCGTCCACAGGTTAATGTTATCTTTTCTTCAATCTTCATATGTACACTATAAAGAGAAAGTAATACATTTGTTCAGAAAGGTAGAAACCAATGGCCGGGCGTGGTGGCTCATGCCTATAACCCCAGCACTTTGGGAGGCCAAGGCGGGCAGATCACCTGAGGTGGGGAGTTCGAGACCAGCCTGACCAACATGGAGAAACCCCGTCTCTACTAAAAATACAAAATTAGCCAGGCGTGGTGGTGCATGCCTGTAGTCCCAGCTACTTGGGAGGCTAAGGCAGGAGAATCGCTTGAACCACGAGGCAGAGGCTGTGGTGAGCCGAGATTGTCCCACTGCACTCCAGCCTGGGCAACAAGAGTGAAACTCTGTCTCAAAAAATAAAAAAGAAAAGAAAAGAAAAAAGAAAGGTAGAAATCAGAACTCCCTTTCTCCAAGGTCTAATGATTAGCCATCAACAACGTTTTTTTAAAGGTGCTACTGCTATAGCTATCAACATTTAAAAGGCGATACCCTTTGATACAGCAATTCTTCAACAGACTCTATCCTACAGATAAATTCTCACCTGTGCAAAACAATCTGCTAAGTTATTCACTGAAGAATTGTTTGTAATGGCAAAAGTTTAGAAACATGTCTGCCAATAGGGGGCTGCTCAAATAAAGGCATATTCACGGGCGTGGTGGCTCACGCCTGTAATCCCAGCACTTTGGGAGGCCAAGGCGGGTAGATCACGAGGTCAGAAGATCGAGACCATCCTGGCTAACATGGTGAAACCCCACCTCTACTAAAAATACAAAAACAAAATTAGCCGGGTGTGGTGACGGGCGCCTACTCAGGAGGCTGAGGTGGGAGAATGACGTGAACTCAGGAGGCGGAGCTTGCAGTGAGCCGAGATGGTGCCACTGCACTCCAGCCTGGGCAACAGAGTGAGACTCTGTCTCAAAAAAATAAAAAATAAAAAATAAAGGCATATCCACCCGAATGAATAGTAGGCAATGGTGAGAAAACAAACAACTGAAAAAACTTTCTATTTGTAAGTATTTTCAAGCTTAAAAAAATTAAAATTATACAAGGAAGACATATATACCCTTTTCCAGATTCACCTATTGTTAATATTTACCTCATTTGTTTTATAATTTGCACTTGTGTTTCTCTCTCTCTAAACATTATATATGTATGTTATACATTTGATTTTTTTTCCCTGAACCATTAAGAAGCAGATTATATACAACACGGCACTTTACCCCTAAATACTTCAGTGCTTATTTTATAAGATTAGGGATATTCTCTTACATAATCAATCACAGTACCATTATTAACTTCACAAATTTACACTGATAGTTTTTTTAGCTTTTTGTTGTTGTTGTTTTGAGATAGAGTTTCACTCTTCTTGCCCAGGCTGGAGTGCAATGGCGTGATCTCGGCTCACTGCAACCTCTGCCTCCCGGGTTCAAGTGATTCTCCTGTCTCAGCCTCCTGCGTAGCTGGGATTTCAGGCACCTGCCACCACGCCCGGTTCATTTTTGTATTTTTACTAGAGTCAGAGTTTTACCATGCTGGCCAGGCTGGTCTTGAACTCCTGACCTCAGGTGATCTGCCTGCCTCGGCCTCCCGAAGTGTTGGGATTACAGGCGTGAGCCACCGCACCCAGCCTGTTGTTGTTGTTTAAGAGACAGATCTTGCTATGTTGCCCAGGCTGGAGTGCAGTGGCTATTCAGAGACACAATCACAGTTCACTATAACCTTGAACTCCTGGTCTCAAGTGATCCTCCTGCCTCAGCCTCCTGAGTAGGAAGGACTACAGCCATGTGCCATCATGCCAGGCTAACAATGATACAATAATTGTATCCGATCTGTCAACCATATGTCAATTTCGTCAGTTGACCTAATAATATTTTTAATAGTAGTTGTGATATTATGATATACATACATACCGGTTTTCATCCATGGTTCCTAGCTCATAACTCCCATATCCCTTATTATACATAATGTTGGGGCACTTTAGGCCTCAGGAGCAGCCCTTAGAAAAAAGAACCTCTCTTTGACCTTCTCCTGCCCTCCTTTCACCAGCCCAAGGCAGGATCTCCAAAAGGGGTCCTGCACCATATCCTGGAGGAAGATTAATGCTGCACAGAGAGGCCAAGAATTTGGACAGGCCTTGCTGTGTTTCCCCACTCAGCCTATCAGTATTAGGTCATACCCTTGCCCAGTCACATTTCTGCATGCCTGTCAATCATGCCTATCCAATGAAGTCTCCATAAAAGGCTCAAGAGGACAGGGTCTGGGAAGCTTCTGGACAGCTGAACACATGCAGGCTTACAGGAAGATGAACAAGGTCTCATCTATTTTCCAGGAGGGTGGCGTACCCCAGCTCCCTGGGGACAGAAGCTCCTGTGCTCAAGACCCTCCCAGACCTTGCCCTATGTATCTCTTCATCTGGCTGCTTATTTGCATCCTTTAAAATGTCCTCTGTAACAAACTGATAAATGTCAAGTAAGTTTCCCTGAGTTCTGTGAGGTGCTCTAGCAGATTAATTGAACACCCCAGAGGGGGTCGTGGGAGGCCAAACTTGAGGTCAGTAAGAAGTTCTGAAAGTCTGGACTTATGACTGGTGGGAAGGAAGAATCAGTCTTGGGGGACTGAACTCTCAACCTGTAGAATCTGAGGCTATTCCCAGGTAGATAGCATCAGAATTGAATTGAATTGGAGGACACCAGCTAGGTGTGACCGCTTGATGTGTGCGGAAAAATCTAAACACACTTGATCACAGAAGTCTTCTGTGTTCATTGTTGCTGTTGAATGAGAAAATAGAAAAAACAAACAGTTTGAGTTGTTTTTTCTACACTACATTAGTAGAGGATCCAGTCTAGGGTAAGGTATTGCGCATTTAGATGTCATATCTCTGCAGTTTCAAATAAGGAGATTCTTATCTCCAAAATAATTAAATGAAAAATGCAATTGGAAGACGTGTCTAGTTTTACTGCTTTGCATAAAAGGGGGAAAAATAGACACACTGTATACATGTTTTTTATTCATCTGTATATCACAGACCATCCCCCTTAGAAGGATACACAAAAAACTCTGTTAATACTAGTTGTCTCCAAAATGAGAAACTGGCATGGCTGAGTGAGAGGAAGACTTCTGACTGTTAACAACTTTTGAATTTTGTACTATATGAATGTATAATCCAATTTTTAAAAGATTAAAAACTGCTGCTGCTAGAGGCAAGTATTAAGTACAATCTATTCATATTCAGTAATAGACATACGTTTGGCTGGATGAACTACAGAGGCTACAAAAAATATTTTGTTATCCTACCATGTTCTTTGTTCCAACCTCTTAGGTCTTCCTAGAAACAAAGGCATCAGAGTCAAGACCATAAAGGAGTGCATCTTAAGACAATGCATGGTACCATTTTACCTTCACAAAAGTTTGCTCTGTGCTCAAGAGGCAATTTATCATTTAGAAAAAAACAGTGTCTCAAATTCTCTTTAATATGTGATGATCTCCAACATTTTTTTTTTTTTTTTTTTTTTGGAGATAGAGTCTCACTCTGTCGCCCAGGCTGGAGTGCAGTGGCACCATCTTGGCTCACTGCAACCTCTGCTTCCCGGGTTCAAGCAATTCTCCTGCCTCAGCCTCCTGAGTAGCTGGGACTACAGGTGTGTGCCACCACGCCCATCTAATTTTTTGTATTTTAGTGGAGAAGGGGTTAATTTTTTGTATTTTAGTGGAGATGGAGTTTCACCATGTTGCCCAGGGTGGTCTTGAACTCCTGAGCTCAGGCAATCCGCCCACCTCAGCCTCCCAAAGTGCTAAGATTACAGGTGTGGGCCACTGCACTCAGGAATATCTTTTTAAAAGTGTGAAGCCTCTGTCTCACTCAAAGCAACCACTAGGAAGAGCACAGCGGCTTTAGTGAATCAAGAAATTTATCCCAATGTAACCCTGTTCATTTCATACAGAACAGGGCATATAAAGAGTAAATACTTGGCTGGGCACGGTGGCTCACGCCTATAATCCAAGCACTTTTGGGAGGCAGAGGCAGGCAGATCACTTGAGGTCAGGAGTTCGAGACCCACCTGGCCAACACGGCAAAACTCTGTCTCTACTAAAAATAAGAAAATTAGCCGGGTGTGATGGCGTGCACCTGTAATCCCAGCCACTTGGGAGGCTGAGGCAGGAGAATTGCTTGACCCCGGGAGGTGGAGGTTGCAAGATCGTGCCATTGCACTCCAGTCTGGGAGACAGAGCAAGACTCTGTCAAGAAAGAAAGAAAGGAAGAAAGAAAGGAAAGAAGAAAGAAAAAGAGTAAATACTCCTCTTTTATGCACACCTGATAAAGGTATCCTCCTGGTATTATCTTTCACTTGACCTCAAAACCATCAGCAACAGTAGAAGGTCTGGCTTCAAGACGAGAAATCTGAGTCACGAATATGTGAACTTGATAACTACCACTTAAAAATGTCACCAACCAGTACCACAGCCCTGAGATAAGAGATGAATCAAAATATTCCATACTGGCTTCAAATATTTAAACTGCAAAAGATGGCTGGGCATGGTGGCTGACGCCTGTAATCCCAGTACTTTGTGAGGCCGAGGCAGGCAGATTGCTTGAGTCCAGGAGTTCGAGACCAGCCTGGGCAACAAGGCAAAACCCCATCTCTACCAAAATACAGAAATTAGCCCAGCGTGGTGGTGCATGCCTGTAGTCCCAGCTACTTGGGAGGCTGAGGTGGGAGAATCACTTGAACCTGGGAGGCAGAGGTTGCAACAAGCTGAGATTGCACCACTGTACTCCAGCCTGGGTGACAGAGTGAAACCCCATCTCAAAAAAATAAATAAATAAAATAAAAATGCAAAATATATTAATTTGCTATTAAAGATATCTACAAGTTTTGGATTAAAGATTGGTTCTACTTAGACTTTAATTAGAAAAAGTCATGCCAAAATACAGTGTGGGGTCACCATAGCTCTAGTCCCCTAATTCAAGTGCATTCTAAGAGATACGCTATATACCAGGTGTGACTACAAGTAACTTTAATTTAGCTGTAAAAGGAAAGTTCTAAACTTCATAGAAAATAGGTGGCTGAGGGCCCCCAATCATGGTTTAAGGAAAAAGGAAAAGGTCAGGTGCAGCAACGCATGCCTGTATCCCAGTTACTTGGGAGGCTGAGGCAGGAAGATTAACTGAGCTCAGGAGTTGGAGGCCAGCCTAGACAACATAGTAAGACCCTGTCTCAAAAAAATAAAACAAAACAACAGCCGGGCGTGGTGGCTCACGCCTGTAATCCCAGCACTTCGGGAGGCTGAGTCAGGCGGATCACAAGGTCAGGAGATCGAGACCATTCTGGCTAACACGGCGAAACCCCATCTCTACTAAAAATACAAAAAAATTAGCCGGGCGTAGGGGTGGGCGCCTGTGGTCCCAGCTACTCGGGAGGCTGAGGCAGGAGAATGGCGTGAACCTGGGAGGGAGAGCTTGCAGCGAGCCGAGATCACACCACTGCACTCCAGCCTGGGTGACAGAGTGAGACTCCATCTCAAAAAAAAATAAGTAAATAAAACAAAACAAAACCAAAAACGATCTTATGTTAATATGTAGAATCTGCTCTGAATAAATCTTTTAAATCAGGAACGATTAAAAGACAGAGAAAGAATTTATAGCACACTGAAATAAGATTTTTAAAAAATTATGTGGACTGTATTCAAAGCTTGAATTCTTACTCAAAGTTCCTACTTACCTTTCCATATTAATGGGTGGAGCATGCATTTTGGTTGCTTCAGAAGTACGCTTGCCCATACTAGAGGACATGATGGTTTCACCTTCAGATTTTAATTTGTCCACAAAGTTATCTACTTCCTTTCCTTTGGCTCCAAGTTTTAAAGCCTTGCTGGGGCCTGAAGGCCTAAGTGGAAGAATTTGAAATTCATTACCCAAAGGTTTATTTTTACAAGCACACATGATCTGATGAAAATTTTGTATCTCCCGTCCAGAGAAATACACCTGTGCACAAAATTTTGTATATAATTTTGGGTAATTCACAGATTTCCCCTAAAATCAATCAATGAACATCAAGATTAAAAATCTACATTCCATAAAGCATTAAATAGCCCTTTCCTCCCCACAATAAGGCAACTCTCATAGGAAACTGAGGTCATGACATAATTTATAACTCTCTTTTATACAAAAGGAAAAACACCACATTCAGATTTCTTCTTTATCCTCATATTGTATGTGGCCAAATGTAACATCATATCTTACTTCATCAAGTCCTTCTTTATTTACAGCTTTCCAAGAAATCAGATTATGACTTCAAAGATAGACACATATACACCCTTCACCTGGTATTCTAAAGTACACTGGATTATACCTGGCTGGTGCAGGTGCCACTTTTGGTTTATCAGTTTCAATGATGGTCTCTGTGATCATGGCAGCTGTGCTGCCTCCAGATACTGCAGAGCTGCCAAATCCGCCAAATCCTGGTGCTTTTTTGCCCTGTCTCTCTGCATCTCTTCGGGCCTGTTGTAATTCCTTTGCTTTACGACGCATCTCAGCCTTAGCTTCACGTTCTTGAGTCTACAGAAAAAGACATACATTAATGTAGCTTTTTTTTTTGGGTTTTTGTTGAGACAGGGTCTCACTCTGTGACCCAGGCTGGAGTGCAAGTGGCACAATCACAGCTCACTGCAGCCTCAACTTCCTGGGCTCAAGTGATCCTCCCATCTCAGCCTCCCAAGTAGCTGGGACCCACATGCACGTGCTACCATGCCTGGCTAATTTTTTTTTTACTTTTTATAGAGACAGGGTCTCACTACGCTGTCCAGTCTGGTCTTGAACTCCTGGACTCAAGTGATACTCCCACTTCCGCCTCCCAAAGTGCTGAGATTACAGACATGAGCCACTGTGCCTAGCCTGGACATAGTTTTGAATACAGTCTACATTAGTAAGTAAAAATAGGAAAATGAGATTAGTGAAGCCTAAGAGAAAGACATACAAACAGGTAGTCCCAGAGAAGATCCTATTTACCTCTCTGACGGCTCTGAACACCTTCTCCTCATGAGAATCCATTTCTGTGAAGGTTCTGATCTGTGCCAAGTTAACATTCTCCCGGTATCCCAGTGCGACAATTTCATCAAAAGCAAAAATCAAATCAAAACAGTGCTCAGATATTTCATTCTCTTCTAAGGCTCGGCAATATTCAGGGATCTAAGCGTGGACACCAATAAAAAAGAAAGATTTAGAATTTATCAGCAGCTATATTTCCAAGTCTTATCCTTTAGAGTACATAAATTTCAATAACCTAAATCCCTTTATTAGCTACTTCTAGTCTTTATTTTATTTTTTGGGACAGAGTCTCGCTCTGCTGCCCACGCTGGAGTGCAGTGGTGCCATCTCGGCTCACTGCAACCTCCATCTCCTGGGTTTAAGTGATTCTCCTGCCTCAGCTTCCGGAGTAGCTGGGACTACAGGTGTGTACCACCACGCCCAGCTAATTTTTGTATTTTTAGTAGAGACGGGGTTTCACCATGTTGGCCAGGCTGGTGTTGAACTCCTGACCTCAGGTGATCCGCTTGCCTCAGTCTCCCAAACTGCTGGGATTACAGGCGTGAGCCACTGCGCCCAGCCTAACTCCCTGATTTTTTTTTTTTTTTTTTTTTTAAGACAAAGTCTAACTCTGTCACCCGGTCTGGAGTGCAGTGGCACGATCTCGGCTCACTGCAACCCCCACCTCCTGGGTTCACGCAATTCTCATGCCTCAGCCTCCTGAGTAGTAGGATTATGGGTGCCCGCCACCATGCCCAGCTAATTTTTTTGTATTTTGAGTAGAGACGAGGTTTCACCACGTTGGTCAGGCTGGTCTCAAACTTCTGACCTCAGGTGATCCACCCGCCTCAGCCTCCCAAAGTGCTGGGATTACAAGCGTGAGCCACCACGCCCAAGACCCTGATTCTTACAGCCGGGTGCAGCGGCTCATGCCTGTAATCCCAGCACTTCGGGACGCCAAGATAGGCAGATCACCTGAGGTCAGGAGTTCGAGACCAGCCTGGCCAACATGGTGAAACCCCGTACAAAAATTAGCCAGGCATGGCGATGCACATCTGTAATCTCAACTACTCGGGAGGCTGAGGCCAGAAAATTGCTTGAACCTGGGAGGTGGAGGTTGCAGTGAGCCGAGATTGCACCATTGCACCACTGCACTCCAGCCAGGGCAAGAGCGAGACTCCGTCTTTAAAAAAAAAAGAATCAGGGTCTTGCTGTGTTGCCCACACTAAAGTATAATGCCTGTGCACTTGAACTCCTGGCCTCAAGCAATCCTTCTGCCTCAGCCTCCTGAGTAGCTTGGACTACAGGCACATGCTACCGCACCTGGCCTTAGCCTTCATTTTAAGCAAGACTTTGGCATAAAGTCTTAAAAGGTGTGTGTGTGTGTGTGTGTGTGTGTGTGTCTGTCTGTCTGTCTGTCTCTGGATCAGTAAGTCTTACCTAAGTCTTCATTTTAAGCAAGACTTTGGCATAAAGTCTTAGAAGAGGGGTGTGTGTGTGTGTGTCTGTCTCTGGATCAGTAAGTCTTACCTAAAAAACATTACCTAAAAAGCATAGCCAAACAAGTGTCAGAACTAGAACGGCAGATTAGAACAACTGCTTAAGAACTGGGAAATGAAACAGTAGTTCCCATATTCTTTTGAGACATCTATAGTCTAAGAGGACACCCAATAAATGTCTGCTGAATAAACAAGGTGCTGCAGCAATAAGTCGCTGGGGTGCGGAGTAGGAACCTGCAAACTGGTTAGCATCAGCTGCTTTGGAGGAAAAACTAGTTTCACATAAAATGTAAAACAAAAAGTGGAACCCAGTATTATAGCAGTACTCTTACCACTCTTGAGAAGAGCCTTAGGGTCTCCAAATCTTCTAAAATGTTGCTGTTTTTGGTAGTGATCAGTACCATATACAGTTTCTCCATAGGCTGGTAGACATATCTTACACTCTCTGTTTCAACAAACGTATGTTGTTTTCCAGTGTTCATGAGCTTTGGAAAAGCTGCTAATAAGCCCTCAATCCGAGTTCGGGTCATTTCCACAAACTGTCGAGAAACAATAGCCTTTCCTGCTTTTGTGCAGACCGCTGCTGCCAACAGCACCTGCCAGGAACATATGCATAAGTAAGTACTAATTATTTCTTCACATCTGTTTTCTCAGCATCTCAGGAAATGTTCCATAGAATGACATATTTATTTAGTGACATGACTAGTAGTAGTATTATTTTTAAGACAGGGTCTCACTCTGTCACCCATGCCGGAGTGCAATGGCAAGACCACAGCTCACTACAACCTCAAACTCCTGGGCTCAAGAAATCCTGAGTGGCTGGGACTACAAGTGTGTGCCACCAAGCCTCGCTAATTTTTAAAAAGCTTTTAGTAGAGACAGTATCTCGCTATGTTTCCCAGGCTGGTCTTGAACTCCTGGGTTCAAGCGATCCTCCTGCCTTGGCCTCCCAAAGTGCTGGGATTATAGGCGTGAACTACCACGACCAGCTGACATGACAAGTAATAGAATACTGACTTTCACGGGCACAGTGGCTCACACCTGTAAACTCAGCACTTTGGGAGGCCAAAGCGAGTGGATTACTTGAGGTCAGGAGTTCGAGACCAGCCTGACCAACATGGTGAAACCCCATCTCTACTAAAAATACAAACACATTAAGAGACTTAGACATGTCAATCAATCACAATGTATAAATCAAATTTGAACAGTGACTGAATAATTGATAATATTAAAAATTATTGCTAATTTTTTAGGTGTGAAAATATGCTATCATGGTAATATATTTTTATGTAAGGAATACTTATATATTTTTAAAAAAGAGTTGTGTAGTTTTGAATCCTTCCATAGTCTCTCATATTAAAGGTGCTCCCTCAATGACTTTATATTGAACTAAAATAATTGTCTGGGATACATCTTATCTTCAAACTACGCTAGTTTTGCATGTAGTACTAACAAAAGGTCACTGGATTTAGTAATTATCCTGAGGATCAGAATTCACAATTTCTTTCTTTTTTTTTGGAGACAGGGTCTCACTTTGTCACCTAAGCTGGACTGTAATGGTGCAATCTTGGCTCACCGTAGCCTCAACTTCTGGGCTTGAACAATCCTCCTGCCTCAGCCCCCTGAAAGGAGCTGGGACTATAGGCAGGTGCCATCATGCCTGGCAAATTTTTGTATTTTCGGTAGAAGTGGGGTTTCACCATGTTGCCCAGGCTGGTCTTGAACTTCTGGACTCAAGTGATCAGCCCACCTTGGCCTCCCAAAGTGCTGGGATTACAAGCATGAGTCACCACGCCTAGCCAGAACTCACAATTTCATGTGTTGAATATCAGTTACAAAATATTCCTTTTAAAAGCAACTATCCTAATATTATATAAATGGGTTTTTATGACTTGGGATAAAATTTCCCAAACTGCCAATATATCACACATGGATTCAAAACTGCTAAATACCAAACTGATGATTCAAAAAGTGGCCCCAGTGATGACATGATGTTCATAAAGAATCTAGAAAAAATTGTTTTATTAATATGAAAATGGAAAAAAGTAATTATTTCTAAATTAAACTTTATTTATTTAAAACATATACATATAAGTGAATTATTAACTATTTTAAGAACATATTTGACTATTTTTGCTACCTTTTTTTTTTTTAAGATGGAGTTTTGCTCTTGTTGCCCAGGCTGGAGTGCAATGGCAAGATCTCCGCTCACTGAAACCTCCACCTCCCAGGTTCAAGTGATTCTCCTGTCTCAGCCTCCCGAGTAGCTGGGATTACAGGCGCCTGCCACCACGCCCGGCTAATTTTTTTTTTTTTTTTTGTATTTCTAGTAGAGATGGGGTTTCACCATGTTGGTTGGCCAGGCTGGTCTCAAATGCCTGACCTCGGGTGATCTGCCCACCTCGGCCTCCCAAAGTGCTGAGATTACAGGCATGAGCCACCGCCCGGCCTATTTTGGCTGCATTTTAAAAAGTTTATACAATTGGCAAAAAGCTTTCCTTCTTAATAGTTTCATCAGAAAAGTAGGGAATTCCCTTATATTTGGGATCATTTCACATTGGTTTCTCCTTTTCCTAAAGACTTAGAACTAGTGTCCCAAATTTGCAAAGAACCAAGCTGATATTAGAAAAACTAAATGACTGGGAGTGAGAAAATCTATTTTCTAGTTTTGTTCTTCTATTTACTATCTGCCTGACCTTCAGTTACCCAACCTCTCTTAACCTCGTTTCTTTTCCTATAAAATGCAGCATTATCTAATGACCTTACAAGCTATTATGAGGGCCAAATGACTATAATGAAACTGTACTTCAGAAGTGCTATACAACTTGTAGCACATATATTCATGATGTAAAACAGCACCATTAGTAATAATAAACATGCATCTCATGAAAAAAATTTATGCCACTTCAAGGTAATGGATTTTTCTTTTTTTATTAAAAAAAAAAAAAAAAAAAAAAAAAAAAAAAAGAGAGACGGGGTTTTGCCATGTTGCCCAGGCTACAAATTCCTGGGCTAAAGTGATCCGCACACCTCAGCCTCCCAAAGTGCTGGGATTACAAGTGTGAGCCACAGCATCCGGCCAAGGCAATGGATTTTTGCCTTTGTCAATATTTTGATATTCAAATAATGAATATTGACTCTCCCCCCAAAATTTTACATACAGTTTCAGGGAATGCATCGATCCTCTAGAGAAGTTATTTCAAATGGCCCATAGAAAATCCCCTCATGCGATGAGAAATATTATTAATAAATGGGAGCATATTGTAAATGTAATCCCTGTAGAGCCTCCTATCCCTAAAAGGTTGAGAGTCATAGCTCTAGGAAGTCATGGTCCTCTATGTTAGAATTTTATGAGGTTTTGAAGAAATAAGACAAATCAAATGAACACCTAAAGAAAGGACAGCTCAGACCAAAACTTCAGACCTATATAAACATGCTGCATTTAATAGAAACCCCATATCTAATAATAAACCTGTTAGAAACAATGTTTACAGGCTCAAGGGTAGTTCTTAGGTTTCCAACTGGAGTTAAAAACACCTCTATACCATACAAGTAAAATTTAGGTAAAAACATCAAAAGCAACTTGAGAGGGAAAAAGGAACAAAAAGGTGTATGTTACTATCCACTTTATTTATTTATTTATTTATTTATTTATTTATTTATTTATTTATTTATTTTTTGAGAGAGTGTCTCACTCTGTAGTCCAGGCTGGAGTGCAGTGGTGCCATCTTGGCTCACTGCAAGCTCTGCCTCCTGAGTTCAAGCAATTCTCATGCCTCAGCCTCCTGAGTAACTGGGACTACAGGCACAGGCCAGCACCACCAAGCCTGGCTAATTTTTCTATTTTTAATAGAGACAGGGTTTTGCCATGTTGGGCAGGCTGGTCTCCAACTCCTGGCCTCAAGTCATCTGCGCGCCTTGGCCTCCAAAGTGTTGGGATTACAGGAGTGAGCCACTGCACCTGGCCCATCCACTTTACTGATGAGCATGTTCAAAAACTAATTATAGGTACTGGTAATCTCCATTTTTGCGATATTATAAGAATTAACTGAGTAATTATTTATCGAACATCTACTATACATACAACATGCTTTCTGAGAATTAAGATGACACAGGCTAGCATTCTGCCTACAAGAAGCTTAATAGGGATAAGACACAAACACAAATAACTGTAATATGAGGCAGAATGTGTTAAGTAACATGAGAGAGTAACCGATAAAGTGCGTGGAAATTCAGAGGAAGAGATTACTTCCAGCTGGTACAGTCAGGGATGACTTGATAGAAGAAACAGCATTTAGGCCGGGAGCGGTGGCTCATGCCTTAATCCAGCACTTTGGGAGCCAGGGCAGGCAGATCACCTGAGGTCAGGAGTTCGAGACCAGCCTGGTCAACATGGGAAAACCCTGTCTCTACCAAAAAATACAAAAAATTAGCCAAGTCTGGTGGTGCACGTCTGTAGTCCCAGCTACGGGGAGAGTGAGGTGGGAGGATTGCTTGAACCTGGGAGGCGGAAGTTGCAGTAAGCCAAGATCATACCACTTCACTCCAGCCTGGGCTACAAAGTGAGACTCTGCCTCAAAAAAAAAAAAGAAAGAAAGAAAGAAAGAAACAGAATTTAGATCATGCTTTGATGAATTCCAGGATTTGTTTGTTTTGAAACAGAGTCTTGCTCTATTGCCCAAGCTGTAGTGCAGTGGCGTGATCTTGGCTCAGTGCAGCCTCAACCTTCTGGGCTCAGGTGATTCTCCCACCTCAGCCTCCCAAGTATCTGGGACTACAGGCACAGGCCACCACACCTGGCTAATTTTTTGTATTTTTCTGTAGAGACAGGGTTTTGCCATGTTGCCCAGGCTGGTCTCAAACTCCCAACCTCAAGTGATCTGCCCGCCTGAGCCTCCCAAAGTGCTGGGATTACAGGCATGAGCCGCCACACCTGGCCAGAATTCCAGGCTTTCAGTACGTCAAGATGAAGAAAGAAGTAGGGTAAAATCATATGTCTCTCTTTGAGTCATTCCATTATCCAGATACAAGCAAAACAAGGCTTCCAAAATAGGACCATAGTTCCCCATACTAAGTATAGCATAAATCTCCGAACACCCAGGACACCACAAATTACAGGTTCCAGGCAGTTGACACAGGTCTCTCTGTTACAGCTACTAATATGGCTAGAAGGTATGGTCACCTCTAAACATGATAAATTTATCCTATCCTAAATTAACATTTGTCTTCTTAAAGTTCTTGAAATAATAAACCTCTTTACATTAATGTTTACTGGTTTAACAATTATTAAAATATAGCATATACTAAAAGGTAAGTTAACAATTTTCCCTATTGAAATTTGATCTGATTTTCTCTGAGGAAGAATTAATAAATATGATTACAAAGTTTTTGGTTTTTTTTTTTTTTTTTTTTTTTAACATTTTTGGAAAAAACATTCCAGATCTAAAAGGAACTTGCAAGAGCCCTTGATTGTCTTACAGATGTGAAAACTGAGGGCCCATAAGTTAGATGATCTCTCCAGGACGGTTAAAAAAAAAAAAAATTCCCTCATAAAGTTGAGCTTTGCCAAACAACTTTTAATAATTCTTACATGGTTTGAGTACACTATCTTTGGACTAAATAACAACTCTCTCCTACACAGACTTAACTACATGAATTGTTAAGTGCCTCAAGTAAAAAAACCTGGAGAATTAGGTTTCTGTTCTGCCTTTGCCACTAATTATGTGACCTTGGATAAGTCACTTAATTGATTATTGAAATATCCCTAACATAGGAGGTTAGTTTACATGAAATCCAAAGTGCTCTGTGTCTTTAAAGTTCTGTAAGTCTAAGCATTTGAAAACTACAGTAACAGAAAAAAAAAAAAACAACTACAGTGACAGAAAATGTACAATACTTCCATTTTATACCCACTGCTCCAGTTCTAACCACTTTGGAACAATATTTTATAGTAACATTAGGCTGCCAGAAGGCAAATTGTCTAACCATAACAAATTGTGTGTGCAAGAGAGATACAAGAATAACAGGTGGTATAATAATTCAGGATAAATATGCACAACTCTCTCTCAAAAAAAGTCAAGTTCTTTCTTGAATCTCTAAATGCTTCAGGATCCCTTACTTCCAGAATTATAGTCACCTTCTCCTTTGTAATTCACCGCAATATTTTATACACATATACATGCACACACAATTCATGGTCATATTAAGGCTAGTTTCTATAATTGTCAGGGAGGACTGTTCTGTCTTTTCTATTTATATGAAGCTATTATAGATAAAATCAGAGAGAAGATTACAATAAAATGTAGACCACATACGAAACCTAAAACTTGAAAAGTAATTTACTCAGTGAGGGTTTTAAGTCCATCACATTTCTATTCTAAAACAAAAGCTTGCAGAGAATTAAAACACACACACACACACACACACACACCCGTTATCAGTTTCTGCAGTGAACTTCTATATGAAGACATAAATAGATGGCAAATCAATGGAAACTCAAGAGAATCATTTTCTTTCTTTGCTGTCCCTCAAAACACAATTAAAAAGATACATAAATAATACAGGGGCCGGGCGCCATGGCTCACACCTATAATCCCAGCACTTTGGGAGGCCGAGGCGGGCAGATCACGAGGTGAGGAGATCGAGACTATCCTGGCTAACATGGTGAAACCCCGTATCTACTAAAAATACAAAAAAGTAGTTGGGCGTGGTGGCAGGCGCCTGCAGTCCCAGCTACTCAGGAGGCTGAGGCAGGAGGATAGCTTGAACCCGGGAGGCAGAAGTTGCAGTGAGCTGAGATTGTGCCACTGCACTCCAGCCTGGAGACAGAGCGAGAATCCGTCTCGAAAACCAAACAAACAAGAAAAAAAGTCAGAACATGTTCTCATTAATTTGCAGAATACAAAAAAAAGATCAAATCAAGGCCCGCATGCCTACAGTCCCAGCTACTTGGGATATGGAGGCGGGAGGATTGCTTGAGGCTAGGAGTTCTAGGCCGCAGTGCACTATGATAGCGCCTGTGAATAGCTACTGCCCTCCAGCCTGGGCAACATAGTGAGACCCTGTCTCTTTAAAAAAAAAAAATCAAAAGATGCCTTTCTTTGTACTTTATTTTATGATGAAGTCATGAGAAAGCATTTGTTTCTGCATTTGTTCACTTATTTATCTATTGGAACTTTGCAGTCTAGGACATTCTGCACTTCAATAACTAAAGCCAAAGGGAATTTATTTTTTAAAAAATCAATGTTTACGTACTGATATCTGCAACTTACTTTGAAATGTATATTTTTTTTTAATGGAGAGAGGGATGGATGGATGATTAGATGCATGATAAAATATAGTGAAATGTTAGTTATAGAATCTAGTTGGTGGTTATATGGGTATTCACTACAAAGTTCTTTCAACTTTTCCAGATGTTGGAAAATTTCATAATGAAATGTTGAGCTAAAATAAACGCTGGAAATTTTGATACAACTTTTAGATAAAAATTTCACCCTATCTGGACATTTCTACTGTCCAGGGATCTGTTTGTAAAGGAGCAGGACCCAAAAACATTACACAGAAATCATACCAATGTCTTAACACTCTACAGAGCAGAATGTACTGAGATAAATTGTTCTCCAGAGTACACAAATCTGTGGGTATCTGGATCATGTTAAGTCCCAAATAATTCAGAAATATGTGACACAACTCTATGTATACGTACACATGTCAAAATAGCATGCAAAAGTTATATTTTATATATATCACGTAGGGCTTTACCATCCCTCAGTTATCAATGAATTAAAAATACTAAGTTCCAAGAACCTTTTAACAAAGAATATTTTTAGAAAGATTACCTTTATCTGGTTTATATAATACAAGACCTTAACTTTACTATTAAAATAAAAATATGCTCTAAAATGCATTATTAATTCCAGGGTGTAAACGGGAACTGAGTTTCAAAATCACTAACCAAATACAGAACCTCCTGGAGAAACTGAAAATACAAGTTTCTGGAAATTTTGTGTCCAACACAAAAATTTTAGGAGGCAAACCTGTTTGATGCAATTTATATACCTGAGGCTGAGAAAAGCTGTTCAGTGGCCTAAAGTCCAAGCATGAATTCCCCCCATTATCCAAGTTCTTATCTAAAGGGTTGTCAATAGAACTTATTAGGATTGCCACCAAATTACATTCTGCCATCTCTCAGGTACACTGGACGATGTTTTAAATCAAGTTATCTATTGACAAAAGAATAAAAAAGAACAGAACAGAACATCCTTCAAAAGACTAAAGGACATAAGGTGCACTGAAAAATAAATTACTAGCTTTTTTGAAACCAAAGAATGTCTACTACTTCATGAATATCCACAAATCACAGCGATAAAGGAAGATTGAGTGATGTCAGCAGTTCTGATTTCCTCCATCCTCAACCACATTAACCTTTCTCATCCTTGTAACAGATGAGTATACAAAGATAACGCATGGGAAGGCAAGTAACTGGTCTCGGAGGCTAACCCATCCCTCTTACTCCACCTCCTGTGAGACATCTGACTACGACATGCCACATACACATTTTTCTTCACCTGGACAATAAGTTCCTTGAAGGCAAACCCTGTGTTCTCTGGAACCTGCTCACATTTTCCCAGTGGTCTACACAGTGTATGTACCCCGAGTCACACTAACAAATGGACACAAGTGAGTTCTGCGGAAGTAGTGGAAGGTTTCAGAGACACTTGGGTCCTATACATTAGTGTTAGAAGTTACTCCTTTCCGCTCTGTGTCTCCATTTCCCCCTTCTGAACAAAAAGAAAAATTTCTGGACACCAGTGGATTTGCATTTCGAGTTATCAACGGCCTAGCAAACACCGGGGGTGGGAGACAAGCTCTGATTAACAGAAGGACCAGAACCTCCGGAGACAGGCCCAGCCTGCTGAGCCTAAGCGCCAGGGAACCGGCGGGACAGCATCAGTTCCGAGGTCCGCAGCCTGGGACCCGCACCACCACCACGAAGTTCTCGCAGAGCAAAAACGCCGGGCCGTCTCAGGGGCAGGTCCCAGCAAACGAGGGAGTCCAGCTGGTTGGGGGGTGGTGCGGAAGCGGGCACGACGACAGATGGACTGGAGTCAGCTCCATCGGATCTCCAGGAGACCGGGCACAGGAGGCCACACTGCTCCCCGAGCCCGGAGCAAAAGCACTCTGCCCTAGACCCTCAGGGCGGGGCTCCTCCGGCCCCTGCCCCAGGCCCGCCGACAAGGAGAGACGGTGAGGCTCGGACCCCAGGAGTTCGGGTCCTGGCTCGGATCTTACCATGGTGAGGGCGGTGGTGGGGCGCGCCCGCACTCCGGCTCCACTGGGGATAGGGGTAGGGTCTGGGGAACGGGAGCACCAGCAGCTCTGGACCTGCTGCCCCCTTGACAGGAACCGCTGCCGCTTCGCCTCTTGCCAAGATGGCGGCCCCAAGCCACGTCTTCAACCGGAAGCGGCGCAGGTCAAAGGGCGGGGGGGGGGGCGGGGCCTGTGGGCTGGGGAAATTGAGGGTACCCCGCTCCGGTTACGATTAAGCCCAGGAGGTGTAGGGGGCGTTCACCCTCCAGCTGTGGAACCTCGTATCTCTCCCCTTTCACTGTCATCGCCTTCATTTATTTTGCGTCACATCTTACAGTTTAACAAGCCGCTGGCACAGCCACTATTATTTAATATACAGGATAACCTGTGTGCCTAAAAGACCAGTATCCGGAATATATAAAGAACTTTTTTTTTTTTTTTTTGAGATGGAGTCTCACTCTGTCGCCCAGGCTGGAGTGCAATGGCGTGATCTCGGCTCACTGCAACCTCCACTTCCCAGGTTCAAGCGATTCTTCTGCCTCAGCCTCCGGAGTAGCTGGGATTACAGGCACGCGCCACACCACGCTCGGCTGTTTTTTGTATTTTTAGTTGAGACGGGGTTTCACCATGTCGGCCAGGCTAGCCTCAAACTTCTGACCCCAAGTGATCCGCCCGCCTCAGCCTCCCAATGTTGGGATTACAGGCGTCAGCCACCGCGCCTGGCCTAAGAACTCTTATAACTCAGCAATAAAAAGACAAATACAGTATTCCTGTCTAAAAATGGGCTTCATCTGCAAAATGGAGGGAGTAGAAAACACAAAATTAAAATGAGCAAAAGATTTGAATAGATATGTGTCCAAAGAAGATATATAAATGGCTAATATGCACATTAAGAAATGTTGAATATCCTTAGGGAAATGGAAATCAGACCCGTGGTGAGACGTCATTTCACACTCACTAGGATGGCTATCATAATAATTGTTGGTGAGGATGAATGTAAAATAGTGCAGCCACGTTGGAAAAGAGTTTGGCAGTTCCTCAAAAAGTTAAACAAAATTACCACATGACTGAGCAATTCCACTCATAGGTACATACCCAGGAGAACTGAATATATGTCAACACAAAAATGTGTACTCTAATGTTCATAGCAGCATTATTCATAGTAGCCAAAAAGTGGAGACAATCCAAACAAATCCATTCATCAATAGATGTGGCATATATATGCAATGGAATATTATTTAGTCACAAAAAGGAATAAAGTACTGACATGCTACAATATGGATGAACCTTGAGAATATTATGTGAAAAAAGACGGATACAATGGGGCACTCATATATGATTCCATTAATACGAAAGATCCAGAATAGAAGAAAATCCACAGAGACAGAAACTAGCTTAGTGATTTCCAGGGGCTCAGGAAGGGTAGGAATAGAGAGTGACAGTTAATTAGTGTAAGATTTATTTCTGGAATAATTAAAACATTCTGGAATTAAGCCAGGCATGGTGGCATGATCCTAGAGTCCCAGCTACTTGGGAGGCTGAGTTGGGAGGATGGCTTGAGACCAGGGGTTAAAGGTCAGCCTGTGCAAATTGTGAGACTTAGACTCTTAAAAAAAAAATAGTTCTGGAACTAGATAGAGGCAAATATACTAAAAACCACTAAATTGTATAATTTTAAAAGGTGAATTTTTATGATTTGTAAATTATATCTTTAAAAAAACATGCACTGGAAGCAGGGCAGTTGTGCTCATGTCCATTTTG
Organism: Homo sapiens; assembly: GCF_000001405.40. NCBI lineage: Eukaryota > Metazoa > Chordata > Mammalia > Primates > Hominidae > Homo > Homo sapiens. The sequence goes on along the minus strand of NC_000011.10, from coordinate 118,570,771 downwards.
TATATGAAGAAAATGGTGAAAAGTTTAAGTGACTTACCCAAAGTTTCTAAACCAGTATATGATGGAACCAAGACTCAAAATCTGTTCTTGTGATTCTCATGTTATTTCTTGTATGCCAAATTTCAGATTTTTCAGAGTATAGCTGATTCAGTAGTTCTTCCTTAAATCATTTTATCCTACATCCTTAGCTCAACCGAACAGCACTCATCCATATTAAACCTGTATGTCCACAATTAAGTATAATAGCAACTTTTAATTGAGTGCTTCATTTGTGTCAGGTACTTTACACATGTTATTTCCAATCTTTTACATCAATCCAAATAAAGATACTGAGGATCAAAAAAGTTAAGCATTTGTCCAAACTCACACAACTAGTAAGTGGTAGAGCCAAGTTCAAAGTCAGTTTTCTCCTGGCTGGGCGCGGTGGCTCACGCCTGTAATCCCAGCACTTTGGGAGGCTGAGGTGGGCGGATCACAAGGTCAAGAGATCGAGACCATCCTGGCCAACATGGTGAAACCCCATCTCTACTAAGAGTACAAAAAAAAAAAAATTAGCTGGGCATGGTGGCGCGTGCCTGTAGTCTCAGCTGTTCGGGAGGCTGAGGTGGGGGAATCCTTGAAGCTAGGAGGCGGAGGTTGGGTTGCAGTGAGCCGAGATCATGCCACTGCACTCCAGCGTGGCGACAGAGGGAGACTCCGTCTCAAAAAAAAAAAAAAAAAAAAAAAGCTGGGCGTGGTGTCTCATGCCTGTACTCCCAGCTATCTGGGAAGCTGAGGCATGAGAATTGGTTGAACCTGGGAGGCGGAGGTTGCAGTGAGTTGAGATCACAACACTGCCCTCCAGACTGGGCAACAGAGTAACACTCAGTCTCAAAACAAACAAACAAAAAAACAAAGTCAGCTTTTTCCATTAAAACACACTGCCTCTGTATCTCCTGTGTGTTCCCTAACATTTATTGAACACTTACAGCATACCAGCCATTACTCTAACTTCACACAGATTATCTCATTTAATCCTCACAAGAATCCTCTGAGATAGGTACCTTTATTGTCTCCATTTTACACATGAGGAAATCAAGGTACAGAGAAGAAAACTATCCCACCACAGGTCTCATGGCTAAAAAGTAGGTAAGCGAGGATTCAAACAAAGGCTGTTCAACTTTGGACTATACCCTTAAGCACTGCATTATAGACTTCTTGCTCTTACCCGTATCAATTCCATCTCCAATGGCCTTCTAATAGAAATCTTTAGAAAGCTCAAATATTTTTAAATTTTATATGTCTGGGAGGATATATGTCAAACTGTATTTTAAAGTTTTTTTTCATTAAAAAAACTTTTTTAGAGAGATGGGGGTCTTGCTATGTTGCCCAGGCTGGTCTCGAACTCCTGACCTCAAGCAGTACTCCCATCTTGTCCCCCCAAAGTTCTGGGATTGCAGGAATGAGCCACTGAGCCCAGTCAATATTTTAAAAAAAAAAATTTTTTTTTTTTGAGAAGGAGTTTCGCTTTTGTTGCCCGGGCTGGAGTGCAATGGTATGATCTCAGCTCACTGCAACCTCTGCCTCCTGGGTTGGAGGGATTCTCCTGACTTAGCCTCCCAAGTAGCTGGGATTACAGGCATGGACGACCACGCCTGGCTAGTTTTTTGTATTTTTAGTAGAGATGGGGTTTCACCATGGCCAGGCTGGTCTTGAACTCCTAACCTCAAGTGATCTGCCTGCCTCAGCCTCCCAGAGTGCTGGGATTACAGGCGTGAGCCACAGCTCCCGGCCTATTTTTAAATTTTCTAATTGACACATAATACTTGTACCCACTGGCCAGGTGCGGTGGCTTACGCCTGTAATCCCAGCATTTTGGGAGGCCGAGGTGGGCGGATCACTTGAGGTCAGGAATTCCAGACCAGCCTGAGCAACATGGTGAAACCCCATCTCTACTAAAAATACAAAAATTAGCTGGGCGTGGTGGCCCATGCCTATAGTCCCAGCTACTCGGTGGGAGAATCGCTTGAACCCCGAGGCAGAGATAGCAGTGAGCTGAGGTCTCGTCACTGTATTCCAGCCTGGGCGACAGAGTGAGACCCTGTCTCAAAAAAAGAAAAAAAAAGTGACAATGGGTACAAACTTTCTTTAGGGGATGATGAAATGTCCTAAAAAAGATAACAACTGTACACATTTATGGGGTAACTTTTTATTTATTTATTTATTATTTATTTATTTATTTTGAGACAGTCTCACTCTGTCGCCCAGGCTAGAATGCAGTGGTGCCATCTTAACTCACTGCAACCTCCGCCTCCCGGGTTCAAGCGATTCTCCTGTCTCAGCCTCCTGAGTAGCTAGGATTACAGGCATGCACCACCACACCTGGCTAATTTTTGTATTTTTAGTAGAGATGGGGGTTTCACCATGTTGGGACAGGCTGGTCTTGAACTCTTGACCTCTGGTGATCCACCTGCCTCGGCCTCCCAAAGTCCTAGGATTACAGGCGTGAGCCACTTCACCTGGCCCAATTTTAATTTTTGTTACAAAAAGCAGACATATTTTAAGAAACATGGAACAAATTCTTATTTTTTTAGAAAAGTAAAAATCCTGTTAGAAACTATTGCCTTATTGTAGCACCTTCCAGGGCTTCCAACTTGGATCTCAGAAGCTCAGCAAAGACCAGTTGATGCTGCTTCTTCGGAAATATAACGGTAGCTGAATTAAACCACAGAAGAAAAAGCAACCCTGTAAGCATGCTTCTTGAGGAGTCCCATAGTGGCAGTATCTTATAATGGTTAAAAGCAGAGACTTAGGAATCAGACTGACCTGTGTTTGGCTGCTATTTTCAGCGCTTATTATGAGTGACTTTAGGCAAGTTACTTTAACTGTCTAAGCCTCAATTACTTAATCTGTAGATTGGCAGTAACATCTATCTCATAAGGTTGTGAAGTAAATTAGATGATATAATCTAAGTGCTCCCCACAAAAAAACTAAGTGCTCCTACATAGTAAGTACTGCACATTACATATCCACTATTACGAGCAAAACAGATCACAAATTTTTTTTTAAATGCAGTTCTATTTTTAACTATCAGTATGCCAGAAAAGCTGTCTCTCATTTTTTAAAGGCACTTTCCTTGTTTACCTCTGGTAGGTTTTCAGGGTCAAATTTCCAATATTATTTTCTTTTTAAAATGTATTGCTATTATTATTATTTTGAGACGGAGTCTCGCCCTGTCGCCCAGGCTGGAGTGCAGTGGTGCGATCTCGGCTCACCACAACCTCCACCTCCCGGGTTCAAGCAATTCTCCTGCCGCAGCCTCCTGAGTGGCTGGGATTACAGGCGCGCGCCACCATGCCTAGCTAATTTTTGTATTTTTAGTAGAGACGGGGGTTTCACCATGTTGGTCAGGCTGGTCTTGAACTCCTGACCTTGTGATCCACCCACCTTGGCCTCCCAAAGTGCTGGGATTACAGGCGTGAGCCACCGTGCCCGACCAAAAAATTATTATTGTTATTATTCATTATTTATATTTGAGATGGGGTCTTGATCTGTTGCCCAGGCTGGAGTGAATGCAGTGGCCCAATCTCGGTTCACTGCAACCTCTGCCTCCCTGGCTCAAGCAATCCCCCCGCCTCAGCCTCCCGAGTGGCTAGCACTATAGGTGCGTGCCACCACACCTGGCTAATTAAAAAAAATTTTTTTTTTATTTTTAATAGAGTGGAGGGGGGCGGTTCTTGCTATGTTGCTCTAGCTGGTCTCAAACTCCTGAACTCAAGCAATCGTCCCACCTCTACCTCCTGAAGTGCTGGGATTACAGGTGTGAGCCACCGCACCTGGCCTCCAATATTTTATGTTTCTCTCTCCCTGACTTCCCAAATTAATTATGTCCACAGTTTGAAAATATTTGTTCCTTACATCTCCATTCACTCATTCCTCGATTCATCCACCCAATGAGCATTGTTAGTGTCTAATTTCTGCAATACACTGGTGTTACAAAGCTTAAAAATTAATTAGACACAGGTCTTGCTTTAAATAAGTTAAAAGTCTACTTTAGCAAATAAGAAAGACAGGACACAGAGTGAAAAAAAATTTTTTTTGAGACGGAGTCTCGCTTTGTTGCCCAGGCTGGAGTGCAGTGGTGCGATCTCGGCTCCCTGCAAGCTCCGCCTCCTGGGTTCATGCCATTCTCCTGCCTCAGCCTCTCGAGTAGCTGGGACTACAGGCGTCCGCCACCACGCCCGGCTAATTTTTTGAATTTTTTAGTAGAGACGGGGTTTCACCGTGTTAGCCAGGATGGTCTCGATCTCCTGACCTCGTGATCCGCCCGCCTTGGCCTCCCAAAGTGCTGGGATTACAGGCGTGAGCCACCGCGCCCGGCCCACAGAGTTAAATTTGAACCTCAGATACCCAAGGAATAATTTATTGCTATAAGTATGTTCCATTCCATGGCACCCTGTGGAGGGGAAAGACTATAGTGTAATATAGTGCTAGAAAAGGACTTACAGAGTGCTGCGAAATTTCCCCTGGAATGTGTCTACATCCTGGTAAGACTGATCTGGGAGCAACTGCATCCCCAGAGATTGTTGTCCTAGGGGAACAAACGCACACCTTGTTTCCAGATTGAAGGGCTAACTCTACACCAGCCCGAAATTTATCAGCCGCGTTGCCACCCATAGCCGCTAGATGCCGCAACAGACGTATTTACTGAAACCATAGACAAACAGGCGACTTGGCCGCCCAGAGAGGCTTTATCCGTGACTCCTTGATCTTCTTCCTGCGTGGAGAGCCTTCGCGGGTGAGGCTTAACGCGCAGGAGGTCTCACGAGAGTGGAAGCAACTCTCGCGAATTTTAAAATTTATCTTTTTGCCTAGCGACTGACAACAGGCTGGTTGCTTGGCGTGGAATCCTAAAGTGGCCTGGCTTTGAGACTGGAGTGAGACCCCAGCCCTAGGCTGGGGTTCTTTCCATTATAGAGGAGACGGATTCAGAAGGGCTACAGGTAATTAGTACTCATCCCAGCAAAAAGGGAACTGTCTTTCTAGAGAGGCTTAAGAGGACTCCCCTTTACCCCATTCCCGGTTACCTCTTCCAATCTCCGTGGTAACTGTTCCTTCGTCACCTCACCACCAACCGTCCTGCTTCCTTTATTCCCCCAAGAAACTTAGGTGGGATCCTATCTGCAAGATAAGGGTGAAAGTGGAGGTGATGATTTTGGGATTATCGGATGGGACTGAGAGACTGGAGTTTCCCCTCTCTTCGGGGACCCTCCCACCCTACCCCGCCTCAGCCCACCCCACCCCACCCCACCCCACCCCACCCCACCCCACCCCAGAGGTGACTCCAGAGACAGAACTCTTTCTAGAACCTCTACAGCCTTCCCTGAGAAACCTCAACAGCCTTGGCCATCTACATACAAATAGTGTTCTGCCCTTGCGCGTGGTCGTACAGCTTTGGGAAGCTGCAGAAGTTGGCTCTCTTTCCCTCCACGATTCCCTGGTTCCTCAGCCAGCCTGCCAGCAGTTCCTAAATAAGGGCTGCAACAGAATGACTTAACTGCTTGACCGAGGGCCAGGAAGCCTGAAGGAAAGTTTGGATGGGGTGATGGTTTTGTGAAAAACTGGTTTCTTGAGTAAGGAAGAGGAGCCAATGCTGGTTTGGAATATACCTCCTGGCAGAGTGCTTTATGTCTCATGATAGGAGCTATGAATTATGTCTCCCTTTGCTTAGACCAAGGTTGTTGAAAACCAGACATATGATGAGCGTCTAGAGATTAACGACTCCGAAGAGGTTGCAAGTATTTATACTCCAACCCCAAGACACCAAGGTAAGAGAGGAAAGAAGAGAAATGCTACTGAAAGAGCAGGATGGATTCACGGTTGTCTTCAAGAAGTTCTTATTTTATAATAGCAAATGTTGACTTTCAGCGTCAATTTACTTCACTTGCCATTGTTTGTTTTCTGACTAGTTAAGGGGGAGAAATCATAGCCTTCCAAATTACAGGATCTTCCCCCAATCCAACCCTGTCACCATTTACTTCATGTTACTGCTTTGCTCACTGTCTGCCAGGAATTCACTGTTCTTTTTCTTTTTCTTTTCTTTTTTTTTAACTTATGTTTTTCCTAGCTTTGAAGATGCTTCATAACCTCCCCTTAGCCTGCAACCCCAACCAAAATCACAGTGGAATGTTTTTAAAGGACTGAACACTATTTATTTATTCAACAAACTTTTTTTTCTTAATTTTATAGAGACGAGGCCTCGCTATGTTACCAAGGCTGATCTTGAACTCCTAGCCTCAAGCAGTCCTTCCGCTTTGGCCTCCCAAAGTGCTGGGATTATAGGTGTGAGCCATCGTGTCTGGCCAACAAGCATTTTAAAATGCCTACTGTGTGCCAGCCTTATGCCTGGCACTTGGGTAAATAGTGTTAAATGACACAATGTCCCTGCCATCCCGATGCTGGTAATCATGGGAGGCAGATGACAAATGAGTAAACACATGCCAAATGTGGTAAGTGCACACTGATGGAGGCAGATTGTTTGCTGTTAAGGAGAATAACAGTGAGGAAGGAGACCCACTTTTTTTTTTTTTTTTTTTTTTTTTTTGAGACAGAGTCTCACTCTATCACACAGGCTGGAGTGCAGTGGTGCGATCTTGGCTCACTGCAATCTCCGCCTCCTGGGTTCAAGTGATTCTCCTTCCTCAGCCTCCCGAGTAGCTGGGATTACCACACCCAGCTAATTTTAGTATTTTTAGTAGAGACGGGGTTTCACCATGTTGGCCAGGCTGGTCTCGAACTCCTGACCCCAACTGATCCACCTGCCTCGGCCTCCCAAAGTGCTGGGATTACAGGTATGAGCCACCGTACCTGGCCAGAAACCCACTTTTGATAGGGTGGTCAGGGAAGACCTAAAGGGGTGACATGTAAGACTGATAGATGGCAGGGATCCAGACACTGAGGAAAAGTAGACCAGGAAGAGGAAACAGTATGTGAGATGTGAAAAACCTTGAAGCCTGAAAGAACTTGGCTTAGTTTGAGGACCTGAAAGAGACCAGCTTATGGTAGAGGGGACACTACCGTATGATATGGTCAGATCAGAGAGGTAGGGCAGGAAGCACAATAAGCAGAGCTTTGGAGGCTGTGTTGCTGTCGTGTGTGGAATGGACTGTTGTGATGGCTGAGTTGAGATGATAGTGGCTTGGCCTCTGGTGAGGAAGCTGAGAATAAAGAAAAGAGGCAAATACGGTATAAGACATTGTCGCAGAATCACTAAGACTTGGTGATGGATTGGATTTGACTCGAGTTAGGAATCAAGGATGACATCCAGGGTTTCTGTTTGTTTATTGTGGTAAAATATACATAACATAAAATTTGCCATTTTAACAATTTTTAAGTGTGCAATTAAATAACATTAAGTACATTCACAATGTTGTTTAACCATCGCCACTATTTCCAGATCATCCTGAACAGAAAATCCATACCCTTCAAAACAATAGTTCCCTATTGCTTGCTTCCACTCCTCCCTGGTAACCACTATTCTACTGTCTGTATGAGTTTGCTTATTCTGGGAACCACATAAGTGAAATCATACTGTATTTATCCTTTTGTGGCTGACTTACTTCACTTATTGTGATGTTCTTAAGGTTCATCTGTGTTGTTGAATGTAGACTTTCTTTTTAAGGCTGAGTAATATTCCATTGCATGTATATTGCACTTTTTTTTTTTTTTGAGACTGAATTTCGCTCTGTCACCCAGGCTGGAGTGCAGTGGCACGATCTTGGCTCACTGCAACCTACGCCTCCCGGGTTCAAGCGACTCTCCTGCCTCAGCCTCCTGAGTAGTTGGGACTACAGGTGCACACCACCACACCCAGCTAATTTTTTGTATTCTTAGTAGAGACGGGGTTTCACCATGTTGGCCCGGATGGCCTCGATCTCCTGACCTTGTGATCCACCCACCTCGGCCTCCCAAAGTGTTGGGATTACAGGCGTGAGCCACCGCACCAAGCCTATGCCACGTTTTTTAATTCATTCATTTGTTAATGGACACTCGGGTTGTTTTCATATTTTGGCTATTGTGAATAACACTGCTATGAACAGAGGTGTACAAGTGTCCATTTGAGTCCCTGTTTTCAATTCTTTGGGACCTAGCCACCTAGGTTTTTGACTTGAGCGTGTTTATGCTCTTGACAGCTGTGGATATTATAATTTGTTTTTAATTTGGGCTAATTTAGTAAATAAAAAAAGGGTTTAATTTGCATTTATTTGATATAGAAATCATTTATCATGTTTTCATTCCAGTTAATGCCTTACATCTAATTATACTTTTATTTTAATTTAATTTTTTATTTATAGAGACAGAGTTTTGCTCTGTCACCCAGGCTGGAGTGCGGTAGCATGATCACGGTTCACTGCAGCCTCGACCTCCTGGGCTCATGCAGTCCTCCTGCTTCAGAACCCCCGGTAGCTGGGACTACCAGCCCATGCCCCCATGTCCAGCTAATTTTTTTTTTTTTTGAGATGGAGTCTTGCTCTGTCGCCCAGGCTGGAGTGCAATGGCGTGATCTCGGCCCACTGCAACCTCAACCTCCCAGGTTCAAGCGATTCTCCTGCCTCAGCCTCCTGAGTAGCTGGGATTATAGGAGTGTGCCACCACACCTGGCTAATTTTTTTGTATTTTTAGTAGAGACGGGGTTTCACCATGTTGGCCAGGCTGGTCTCGAACTCCTGACCTCAGGTGATCCACCCGCCTCAGCCTCCCAAAGTGCTGGGATTACAGGCAGGAGCCACTGTGCCCGGCCTAATTTTTGTATTTTTTGTAGAGACAGGGTTTCACCGTGTTGCCCAGGCTGGTCTTGAACTCCTAGGCTCAAGCAATCTGCCTGCCTCCGCCTCTTAGAGTGCTGGGATTACAGGTGTGAGCCACTGCGCCTGTCATTAATTATCCTTTTAATTGTTCAGAATATTTAAAAATTGCTCTTATCTTTGCATACTGATTCGGATTCAAACTTGTGACTATTATTTGCCAGGCCCTGGGTCAGTTCCTTGCACATAAATTTTTTCACTTGATCCTTATAAGAGGCCTGGGTTAGAAATATTAGTGACCCCATTTAGAGGTGGGAATACTGAGACTCAAAGAGGTTAAATCTTTTTTTTTTCTGTCCATATGTTTATCGTCTTTATCTGAAAAATCTTTATAGAAAATTGTTTGGTTTAGCTCTCAGCAGCCTGCTCCTGAGCTCTGAGGGAGCTTGCCTTCTTTTAAGCTACCTGATGTTTCTTCTGAGCAAGGGACATTTTGGGACAGTTCCACCTATTCTTTTTAACTTCTTTCTTGGGCCTCTTTTCATAGACTGGATTCTCTCATATAGCAGCATGAGCTTTCTTATACATCTCTTCCATCATGTCTGGAGTTACGCTCTTCTTTATGCATTGAGAGAACTGGTTCTTGTAAGCATCTTCATCTTCTTCTGTTAAGTAGTGCATGTAATCTGCAACATTCTGGCCCATGATGTGCTTCTGGTGTACTTCTGCATTAAATTCCTTGCTTTCAGAATCATAACTAGGGAATCGTTTGGTACTGTGAGGGACAGACAAGCCTCCATCCACAGCTCCCTTCAGGGTGCCAAAAACTTTATTGCCAGTGGTAGTTCTGGCAAGACCTGTATCCAAATAGCAGGTAAAGGCACCTGGCTGACCATCAATGCTTTCCACATTGTATTCATTGCCAGTCTCCTCCACTTGGCCTTCATAGATCTTGTCCATGCCAAACCTATTGGGAAGCCTGCGGGCCAGCAGCAGGCCAGTACAATAAGTTGCAGCATAATTTGTCAGGCCAACCTTCACACCACATTTTGGCAGTTTGTGTGCATATGCTGCGCAGACTATATCCCCCTCTATACGGGCATAAGCAGTCTGACAAATGATATCTCTGTTTGTTACACGAACTATCATCTTATATTTGGGTGTGTTGTATTTATTTTTATCCTGTATCACCAAGCATTTCTGAGGATAGTAACCAGTTTTACCCTCTCGTCGTCTTCTAAATTTCACTTGGTATCTCTTAAAGTAGGCTTTATTCTTAACAACTTTAATAAACCCCATTCTGCGGAACAGAGACCCGCGTTTGCGGCTCGACAGAGACCTGCCGGCCCAGCAGTGCTAGGGGGTGAAAAGGCAAAATCATTTTAAGTAATTTTTCTTCAAACCCACTCTTAGTATGAATTCAGCACTCTGTACTTTACTAGTTATTAACCTAATTTGACTAATGTGTAAACTAAGGGCAGAGTGTATATTTTTCTCTTTCTTTTCTTTTCCCCCTCCCCTCCCCTCCCCTCCCCTCCCCTCCCTTCCCCTCCCATTCCGTTTCTGACAGGCTCTCACTCTGTTGCCCGGGCTGGAGTGCAGCAGCATGAACACTGGACACTGCTCACTGCAGCCTCGAACTCCTGGGTTTAAGCAGACCTCCTGCGTCAGCCTCCCGAGTAGCTGGGACCACAGGCGCATGGCATCACACCCAGCTAATTTTTTTTCTTTTTTTTTTTTTGTAGATGGGATCTTGCCATATTGTCCAGTCTAGGCTCAAACTCCTGGGCTCAAGTGATCCTCCTGCCTCCCCTTCCCAAAGTGTTGGGATTATAGGCATGAGCCACTGCCCCTGGCCAGAGTTTATATTATTTATGTAATGGCAGATAATTTGAATAGTATAATGTCTAACCCAATGCCTTAAGCACAGTAATGTTTAGTAAATATATCTTGAATTGAACTGGCAGAGCCATGACTAGAATTCAGTCTCCTGTCTCTTTAGCCAGATGTTCCAATAAACCTTGTTTTATAAAATGGTTAGAGCATAAAATATTAAAAACTAAAAAATACTTGTTTTTAAAAATCATTTTAACAATAATCTAAAGGAAAAACTTTTTTTCTAAGGACTTCCTCGTTCTGCCCATCTTCCTAACAAGGCTATGGCTGATAACAGCAGTGATGAGTGTGAAGAGGAAAATAACAAGGTACAGTAAAACTCACAGCTTCTTGTAGAATTTCTGCTTTGGGTTTTTAGTAGTTAGAGATGACACCAGTTCAACGGTAAACATTTCTTGAACACTCACCTCCAGGGGTTAGGGACCTTTGAGCTCATGGAGGAAAATCAGTTACAAAGAGCCTTGAGATTTTGACCCTTCTTCAGGAATAAAGCCTACTACTACAATTGACTTTGGTGAGGAATTTCACATAATGTAGGCCAGTGTTTCACAAACTTTCCTGATCATAATACTCAACTGAGGTACTTATTTTTAAATATACGGATTCCCAGTCCCAGCCCAGAATCTCAAAAGTAAAAGCCTGGGAATTTATATTTTTTAGGAAGCAGTCCAGGTAATTTTATGCTAAAGCGAGTTTGAAATTATCAGTCTAGGCATTTTTTCATTGTCAATACTTGTGATACTGCCAGTATTTTGTGAAGGAGATTTTAATTTTGAGGTCTTAAGACCCAGATGTTGGCTGCTGTTATTCTGTGTACCTAGAGAATCACCCTGCTTCTGAAAGAAACATGGCAAGAGGCCCACCTCTCTAGAAACATATAGGACCTTAGAGTTGCACATATGATTTCTTAAAAACCGTTTATGTTGGCCGGGTGTGGTGGCGCACTCCTGTAATCCCAGCACTTTGGGAGGCCGAGGCGGGCGGATCACCTGAGGTCAGGAGTTTGAGACCAGACTGTCCAACATGGCGAAACCCCATCTCTAATAAAAATACAAAAAATTAGCTGGGCGTGGTGGCGGGTGCCTGTAATCCCAGCTACTTGGGAGGCCTCCCAAGGTGCTGGGATTACAGGCACAAGCCACTGTGCCCAGCCTGTTTTTTTTGTTTGTTTTTTTTTTTTGAGACAGAGTCTTGCTCTTTCACCCAGGCTGGAGTGCAGTGATCTTGACTCACTGCAACCTCTGCCTCTTGGGTTCAAGCAATTCTCATGCCTCAGCCTCCCGAGTAGCTGGGGGATCACAGGCCTGCACCAACTCGCCTGGCTAATTTTTGTATTTTTAGTAGAGATGGGGTTTTGCCATGTTGGCCACACTGGTCTTGAACTCCTGACCTCAGGTGATCCTCCTGCCTTGGCCTTCCAAAGTGCTGGGATTACAGGTGTGAGCCACTGTACCCAGCCTGATGGCTGCATTTTAATGGTTTTTGTTTTTGTTTTGAGACAGAGTCATCTCGCTCTGTTGCCTAAGCTGGAGTGTAGTGGCATGACCTCAGCTCGCTGCAACCTCCGCCTCCAGGGTTCAAGCAATTCTCCTGCCTCAGCCTCCTGAGTAGCTGGGATTACAGGCGTGCGCCACCACGCCTGGCTAATTTTTGTATTTTTGGTAGAGATGGGGTTTCACCATGTTGGTCAGGCTGGTCTCGAACTCCTGACCACATGATCCGCCTGCTTCGGTCTCCCAAAGTGCTGGGATTACAGGCATGAGCCACCACCCCGGGCTGACAATATTCTTAAAAGTTCCCTCTGCCAAAACTGCTTCCTATGTGACTAAGGATAATTTTGGCAAATCTTGAATTGAGAAAGAATGCTCTAGAAAGTTCTTATCAGTCATATACTAATAAGGCATAGTCACTGAATAAATTCTGCAACTGTGTTTCATTATCTGCCATGCATATTACAGCTTAGTTAGAATATACTTTATGTATAATAAATTTGTTATTCTTAGAGCAAAATGTGACTAAAAGCAGTTTTTGGTGTCCTGTAACGTGTCACAATTTTGTGTGCCAATAGCTGCTTTACCATAAAAACAAATTAATTTTAAACAACTGGAATCAAACGTGTTAACCTCAGTATAAGCCATACGGTATATAGAAACCAAGTTTTGAAAACCTACTTTTAAAGGGGGCCAATTGGTCATCCTTCAGGTCCTAAGGGAGGGCATGCCACAGGCTCCAGGCCACAGAGGCAAAGACATGGACCCTGTTCCACCTGCCCCTGCAAGTCTCAAGTGCCACCAGACCCCTTCTCATGTACTTGAGAGGGTGGGATGGTACAGAGAGAGCCAGAAGCACAGAAAGGTAGGTTATAATGTCAAGAACAAAAGAGCTGTTTATCTTGAGAGAGAATGTGTAGTCATTTTATGTAATTTATGGGGTAAGGGAAGGGAAATACAGATAGGTCAGATACTCCATGAAGAGAAATATCACTGAACAAAAATGGAAAGTCCATAGTCCCTGGGACTGCTGGTTTGATGGGCACAAGGTTGATTTTGAACTTTCTTCTTTTGATAGTTTCAAGCAGCTTATGCTGGGCAGTCTTGCAAATTAAGTATTAGATTTCCTCTCTATGGTCTTTGTGAGTATTAAGACCCCTAAAATTTCTATTCCCACTTCATATTCCCTGATTTTCTTCCAAAATAACTAGAGTTGCCATCCTCTTCTTTGAAAGTCCATAGCTTTTCGGGCCGAAGCTGTCTAAAGTGTACACAGGGCCCTGAAGATCTAAGTAATATGTACAATAGATAAAATTAGAATTTATACCCCAGCCTCAAGTAGAGAAATGGAATAGGGTTCTAGAAAGTGGAGTCCCCATTTGTAGCTGAGCAGGGGCAGAAGAAGGCTCTCAAGCCCCTTCTGGGAAGTGCCCCCTTCTCTTTCTGGTGACGAGGTGCCAGGTGGTTGGTGTATTGGTTAGAGCAATAGAGAACTGGGCATAGGTACATTTGATTTTTTTACTTGAAGCTTTCTATGCCTGCCCTGCCCTATCACAGGAGAAGAAGAAGACCTCACAGTTGACACCTCAACGGGGCTTTAGTGAAAATGAGGATGACGATGATGATGATGATGATTCATCTGAAACTGATTCTGATTCTGATGATGATGATGAAGAGCATGGAGCCCCTCTGGAAGGGTGAGGAAAGAACACCCAAGCCAAGGGTGCTCTTCAGAATACCTCCTTCAAAACACTGGAGTGGGAGGACGTCAGTTAGAAGTGAAATTCCAGCATCTCTTTTGATCTCCTGTATTTAGGATTTTCAGATGTCTCAGAAACCCAACATAATAATGAGTTTTCCTCCCTTTCTGACTCCACTACCTTATCCAGTCCTATAGTATCACTTTACTATCTGAAACGTTTGTGGGCTTGGGGGTTACATGAGATTTTGCTGAGTAAATCAAAAAGGTGGTGGCCAGGCATGGTGGCTCAAGCCTGTAATCCTAGCATTTTGGGAGGCTGAGGTAGGAGGATTGCTTAAGGCTGGGCGTTCAAGACCAACCTGGGCAACATAGCAAGACCTCGTCTCTACAAAATTTTATTTTTTTTTTGAGACAGAGTCTTGCTCTATCGCCCAGGCTGGAGTGCAGTGGCGTGATCTCGGCTCACTGCAAGCTCCGCCTCCTGGGTTCACGCCATTCTCCTGCCTCAGCCTCCTGAGTAGCTGGGACTACAGGTGCCCGCCACCACGCCCAGCTAATTTTTTTTGTATTTTTAATAGAGACGAGGTTTCACCGTGTTAGCCAGGATGGTCTCGATCTCCTGACCTCGTGATCCGCTCGCCTCGGCCTCCCAAAGTGCTGGGATTACAGGCGTGAGCCACTGCACCCGGCCGCCCAAAAATTTTTTAAAAATTAGCTGAGCATGCTGGTGTGTGCCCATAGTCCCGGCTGCTCGGGAGGCTGAGGCAGGAGAATCACTTGAGCTCAGGAGTTTGAGACTGCAATGAGCTATGATCGGGTCACTGCACTCCAACCTGGTCAACAGAGTGAGACCCTGTCTCAAAAATAAATTAATTAAATTTAAAAAATAATAATAACACTGCTAAAAACACTTCTATAATTTTTTTTTTCTGGTGCAAACTATTTTCATGTCAGATATTTAAATCTCTTTTTTTTTTTGAGACAGAGTCTTGCTTTGTCACCCAGGCTGGAGTGCAGTGGTGCGATCTTGGCTCACTGCAACCTCTGCCTTCCAGGTTCAAGTGATTCTTCTGCCTCAGCCTCCTGAGTAGCTGCGACTACAGGTGTGCACCACCACACCTGGCTAATTTTTGTATTTTCAGTAGAGATAGGGTTTCAACCATGTTGGCCAGGCTGGTCTTGAACTCCTGACCTCAGGTGATCCGCCTGCCTCGGCCTCCAAAAGTGCTGGGATTACAGGTGTGAGCCACCACGCCCAGCCCTAAAATCTCTTGTTCTACCTTTTCTTGTCATCCTTTCATTAAAAAAAAGGAAAACCATTTATGCTACATTTTAACATCAAAAAAATATTATGTTTTGGATTTTCTGCACCTCTGTCCTTCAGAGTCAGAGATAATTGAGAGTTAAGTACAATCAACCTTAAAGTTGCCTTGCAAGCCACCAGGAAAGGCAGATATTGGAGAGGCAGAAGCTAGCTTCAGGATCATGTCCCTATAGTCAGTAACACACCAGCACCTAGGACCCTGCCACCTCTGCTCTTCTCTGGCCACCTCGAACAAACTGTTTTCCTTTTCCCAGGGCCTATGACCCTGCAGACTATGAGCATTTGCCAGTTTCTGCTGAAATTAAGGAACTCTTCCAGTACATCAGTAGGTGAGTACTAGGACCTCCCACCATACCCCACTATCCCTACCTTGCCCCAAACCTTTCCTATCTCTAGTCTGAAACAGGGCCATTCCCCTTAGATTTTTTTTTAGCCTGAATAGTAAAGTAACTTTTTCTGACTGTCTCCACCTTCCCTTGGCAATATCTCCTAGGTACACACCTCAGTTGATTGACCTGGACCACAAACTGAAGCCTTTCATTCCTGATTTTATCCCAGCTGTCGGGGATATTGATGCATTCTTAAAGGTATAGTCAGTACATCCTGAAAATGACTCCTTAAGTGTTTCTTCTGATGCCCCTGTTACTCTTAACAGTTTCCCTAATTTCTTTGACTAGCATTGGCTAGTCATGTTCATTTCATTGGAGTTCTTAACCTTGCTCTCAACTCCAAATTACACTCATTGCTCTTAAGTAATACTTAATATCTCATTACACATTAACAGTTTGTCATGTATTTGCTTCCTAATTATCTATGACAACAGGTTCATATTTAAGCTGCTATGGATAATATTTTTTTTCTGGATAGTATTGCGTACAGCATGATAAGCATGCTTTTAATACTAGTAATAATGATGAACCAGAAGTGTTCTTCCTCTTAACTTATTGGAAACATTTTCCTTTCTGCTTTCTTACCTTTTTCTTAACCAGGTCCCACGTCCTGATGGAAAGCCTGACAACCTTGGCCTATTGGTATTGGATGAACCTTCTACAAAGCAGTCAGACCCTACGGTGCTCTCACTCTGGTTAACAGAGAATTCTAAGCAGCACAACATCACAGTAAGATACTAGCTTAGTATAGGCCCCAGCTGGAGAGGGCCAAGAGTGGAGGAGGCCTTGCTGGCACTCATACAGTTGACTTACTGCCTGTCAAAAGAGATGGGCCTGGGTGCGGTGGCTCACGCCTGTAATCCCAGCACTTTGGGAGGCCGAGGCGGGTGGATCATGAGGTCAGGAGATCGAGACCATCCTGGCTTAACATGGTGAAACCCCGTCTCTACTAAAAATACAAAAAAAAAAATTAGCAGGGTGTAGTGGCGGGCGCCTGTAGTCCCAGCTACTCAGGAGGCTGAGACAGGAGAATGGTGTGAACCCGGGAGGCGGAGCTTGCAGTGAGTCGAGATCATGCCACTGCACTCCAGCCTGGGCAACAGAGCTAGACTCCATCTCAAAAAAAAAAAAAAAAGAGATGGTTATTGCTTTGGGCCAGCTCTATTTTTAAATGACAGCTTTATTTATATATAACTTAAATACCAGCAAGTTTAGCCTTTTAAATTGTACAACTTATTAGTTTTAATATAATCACAGTTTTGTAGCCATCACCACTACCTAATTTAGAATATTTCATCACCTCAAAAAGAAACTTCATACCCATTACTATTCACTCCTCATTCTCCCACTTCCTCCTAGACCCTGGTAATTATTTCATTCCTTTGTTATGGCTGAATAATATCCACTGTATGGATTTACCAGATTTGCTTTATTCATTCTCTAGTTCTGTCCACTCTTATTAATAATGGTGCTTTGAATATTTGTATACAAGTTTTTGTGTAGGTATATATTGTTATTCTGTTGGGTATATACATAGGAGTAGAATTGCTGGGCCATATGGAAACTCTATGTTTAGCCATTTGAAGAACTACCAAACTGTTTTCCAAAGTGGCTGTACCATTTTACATTCCCACCAGCAATGAATGAGAGTTCCAGTTTCTCTACATCCTCATCAATACTTTTTGTTTGTATTTTTCATTCTAACCATCCTAGTAGGTGTGAAATGGTATTTCTTTTTTTTTTTTTTTGAGACAGTTTTACTCTTGTTGCCCAGGCTGGAGTGCAATGGCGTGATCTTGGCTCACCACAACCTCCACCTCCCGGGTTCAAGCGATTTTCCTGCCTCAGCCTCCCGAGTAGCTGGGATTACAGGCATGCACCACCACGCCCAGCTGATTTTGTATTTTTAGTAGAGTCAGGGTTTCTCCATGTTGGTCAGGCTGGTCTCGAACTCCTGACCTCAGGTGATCCACCCACCTCGGCCTCCCAAAGTGCTGGGATTATAGGTGTGAGCCACCAAGCCCAGCCTAAATGGTATTTCATTATGGTCAGTCCTGCCATTTTGACCTGCTGCCTTTCCATGGCTTCAGCAAATTATTTTTTTTTGAGACAGGGTCTCGCTCTGTTACCCAGGCTGGAGTGCAGTGGTGTGATTGGGGCTCACTGTAGCCTCGATCTGCAAGCAATCCTGCTACCTCAGCCTCCCAAGTAGCCGGGACAGACCACAGGTGTGTGCCATCATGCCTGGCTAGGTTTTTTTTTTTTTTAATTTTTATTTTATAGAGGTAGGGTCTCCCTATGTTGTCTAGGCTGACCTCAAGTGATCCTCCTGCCTCAGCCTCCCAAAGTGCTAGGACTGCAGGTGTGAGCCACTGCACTTGGCTTTTTTTTTTTTTAAAGACAGGATCTCGCTCTTGCCTAGGCTGGAGTGCAGTGGCACAGTCGTAGCTCACTGCAACCTCAAACGCCTGGGCTCAAGTGATCCTCTTGCCTCAGCCTCTCAAGTAGCTGAGACCACAGGCACACACCACCATGCCTGGCTAATTTTTAAATTTTTAGTACAGACAAGGTCTCACTATGTTGCCCAGGCTGGTCTTGAACTCCTAGCCTCAACTGATCCTCCCACCTCAGACTGCCAAAGTGCTAGGATTACAAGTGTGACCGCCATGCCTGGCCTGGCTGCAGCAGATTTTATCAGGGTTTTCTATCCCCTTCATTTGGCTACTGTTTCACGTGGCAGCAGCTGTCATCAGCAAGCTCGAATATGAAACAGCAGCAGATATAATGAGACACTGTAAAAACAAGAGAGCTACTTCAGTGCCATCAGCTAGGCTTTCTCCTTACTTTCCTAGCAACATATGAAAGTAAAAAGCCTAGAAGATGCAGAAAAGAATCCCAAAGCCATTGACACGTGGATTGAGAGCATCTCTGAATTACACCGTTCTAAGCCCCCTGCGACTGTGCACTACACCAGGTAAGAAATACCACATTCTTTGCAACAGTAACACATAGTAACCTTCACTACCTGTGAACTGTTGCTCCTGAGAAGAGGCCCAGAGGCTGGGAACATATTTGATCAACCTGAGGTCCTGTGGATCCTGGCAACTACTGGCTGAGATTGTAGACATAAAGATTGTAATTTCTCTAGTATTACTTAGCTACCTCCTCCAAACCCCAGGCCCTGGGTAACTTTGGTATGCCCAGTCTAGGTTCTCCTGAAGCCTTCCTGATGTGCCAGATTGAAGACCTCTCCTTCATCCTAGAATATGCTGATCCAGAGGTTGCTGATGTTATCAGTTCACGTTTCTTGTTCATATTTACCTTTATACTTTTAGGCCCATGCCCGACATTGACACGCTGATGCAGGAATGGTCCCCGGAGTTTGAAGAGCTTTTGGGCAAGGTGAGTGGAAGGTAGCAGGAGGTAGGGTAAGAAAGTACAGTATTCGCTCCAGGGCCCAGTGTTTTTTCTCTTCCTCCATTATTATTATTGGTAACTTTTTTTTTTTTTTTTTTTTGAGACAGGGTCTTGCTCTTCCCAGGCTGCAGTGCAGTGGCATGATCATGGCTCACTGCAGCCTCTACCTCCCGGGCTCAAGTGACCCTCCCACCTCAGCCTTACCAGTAGCTGGGACCACAGGCATGCACCACCACACTCAGCCATTTTTTTAATTTTTGGTAGAGACGAGGTCTTGCTTTGTTGCCCAGGCTGTTCTCAAACTCCTGGGCTCAAGCAGTCCTCCTTCCTCAGCCTCCCAAAGTGCTGGGATTACAGGCATGAGCCACTCCACCCAGCGATCATTAATTTTTTTTGTTGAGATGGAGTCTCTCTCTGTCGCCCAGGCTGGAGTGCAGTGGCATGATCTCAGCTCACGGCAACCTCCACCTCCCAATTCAAGTGATTCTCCTGCCTCAGCCTCTCGAGTAGCTGGGATTACAGGTGCCTGCCACCATGCCACCATGCTAATTTTTGTATTTTAGTAGAGAAAGGGTTTCACCATGTTGGCCAGGCTGGTCTCGAATTCCTGACCTCAAGTGATCCGTCTGCCTTGGCCTCCCAAAGTGCTAGGATTTCATTAACTTTTTAATGGTAACACAGGAAACCCATGTATATGTGGTAATTTGATATATAAGAAAGATAGTTTTTTTTTTTTTTTTTTGAGGCAGTCTCACTCTGTTGCCCAAGCTGGAGTGCAGTGGCATGATCTTGGCTCACTGCAACCTCCGTACCCCCCGCAGGTTCAAGCAATTCTCCTGCCTCAGCCTCCCAAGTAGCTGGGATTACAGGCATCTGCCACTGTGCCTGGCTAATTTTTGTATTTTTAGTAGAGACGGGGTTTCACCATCTTGGCCAGGCTGGTCTTGAACTCCTGACCTCGTGATCCACCCGCCTCTGCCTCCCAAAGTGCTGGGATTATAGGCGTGAGCCACCGCGCCTGGCCAAGAAAGATAGTTTTTTAAATGATTGGTGATAGAATTAGGGTATAATGAGACAATTATTTGAAAAAAATTAAAGTAGGTTTCTGCCTCAACTGTATACATATGTGAATTTCAGATGAATTAAAGAGTTAATGTGGGCCGGGCACAGTGGCTCATGCCTGTAGTCCTATAATTTTGGGAGGCTGAGGCGTGAAGATTGCTTGAGCTCAGGACCAGCGTGGGCAGCATAAGGAAACTCTGTTTCCAAAAATAAACAAATAAATAAAAGAAGGGAAAAAAAGAGTTATTGTAAAAATAAAGCCATGTAAGTAATATAATAAAATATAGGAGATACAGAAGGAGCATGACTGAAAAAATAAATGAAATAAAATATAGGAGAAATTTAATTATCTCTTTTTAAAAAATTCAAGTGTCTTATAACTTAGGGAAATTTAATTCTATTAGGATAGTTAGGTGTTTCTCAGTGTAATAAGAAACTTAAAAGTCATATTGAGGCCGGGTGCAGTGGCTTAGGCCAGGCGCGGTGGCTCACACCTGTAATCCCAGCACTTTGGGAGGCCGAGGCAGGTAGATCACCTGAGGTCAAGAGTTTGAGACCAGCCTGGCCAACATGGCGAAACCCCATCTCTACTAAAAAAATACAAAAATTAGCTGGGTGTGGTGGTGTGTGCCTGTAATCCCAGCTACTTGGGAGGCTGAGGCAGGAGAATCACTTGAACCCAGGGGCAGAGGAGGGCACGGAGGTTGCAGTGAGCAAAGATTGAGCAACTACACTCCAGCCTGGGTAATAGAGCGAGACTCCATCTCAAAAAAAAAAAAAAAAGTCATAATGGAGTGGGAGGCTGAGATGGGAGGATTGCTTGAGCCCAGGAGTTTGAGACCAGCCTGGGCAACATAGACCCATCTCTGTTAAAACCAAAAGAAAAGGCCAGCCACAGTGGCTCACGCCTGTAATCCCAGCACTTTGGGAGGCCGAGGCGGGCTGATCATGAGGTCAAGAGATCGAGACCATCCTAGCCAACATGGTGAAACCCCATCTCTACTAGAAATACAATAATTAGCCAGGCGTGGTGGTGCACACCTGTAGTCTCAGCTACTCGGGAGGCTGAGCCAGGAGAATCGCTTGAACCTGGGAGGCAGAGATTGCAGTGAGCCGAGATCGTGCCACTGCACTCCAGCCTGGTGACAGAGCGAGACTCTGTCTCAAAAAAAAAAAAAAAAAGTCATAATGGAGAAAATGTGACAGTTTAAACTCATAGAAATGAAAGGTTCTACATACCAATAGATACCATAAACAAAGTTAAAAGACAGTAGCAGTCTGAGAAAAAATATTTTATATATGTATGTAATAGAAAAAATTACTGTCCAAGCAAAGAGCTCTTATATATCAATAAGGAAAGGAAACTGGGCCAGGCACGGTAGCTCATACCTGTAAATCCCAGCACTTTGGGAGGCTGAGGTGGGACGATCACTTGAGGCCAGGAGTTCAGGACCGGTCTGGGCAACAATAGGAGACTCTTCTCTACAAAAAAAAAAGAAAAGAAAAAAGGAGCTGGACATGGTGGCTCATACCTATAATCCCAGCACTTTGGGAGGCTGAGGTGGGCGCATCACCTGAGGCCAGGAGTTCAAGACCAGCCTGGCCAACATGGCAAAACCCCGTTTCTACTAAAAAAATTAAAAAAATAGCTGGGTGTTGTGGCAGGCACCTGTAATCCCAGCTACTCAGGAGGCTGAGGCAGGAGAATCTCTTGAACCCAGGAGGGGTGCAGATGTTGCAGTGAGCCAAGATTGCATCACTGCACTCCAGCCTGGGTAATAGAGCAAGACTCCATCTCCAAAAAAAAAAAAAAAAGTCATAATGGAGTGGGAGGCCAAAATGGGAGGATTGCTTGAGCCCAGGAGTTTGAGACCAGTCTGGGCAACATAGACCCATCTCTATTAAAAGAAAAAAAAAAGGCCAGGTGCAGTGGCTCACACCTGTAATCCCAGCACTTTGGGAGGGCGAGGCAAGAGGTCAAGAGATCAAGACCATCCAGCCAACATGGTGAAACCCCATCTCTACTAAAAATAGAAAAATTAGCTGGGCATGGTGGCGCACACCTGTAATGTAATCCCAGCACTTTGGGAGGCCGAGGCGGGCGGATCGTGAGGTCAAGAGATCAAGACCATCCTGGCCAACGTGGTGAAACCCCATCTCTACTAAAAATACAAAAATTAGCCAGGCATGGTGATGCACGCCTGTAGTCCCAGCTACTCGGAAGACTGAGCCAGGAGAATCGCTTGAACCCGGGAGGCGGAGGTTGCAGTGAGCCAAGATCGCGCCACTGTATTCCAGCCTCATGACAGAGTGAGACTCTGTCCAAAAAAAAAAAAAAAAAGTCGTAATGGAGAAAATGTGACAGTTTAAACTCATAGAAATGAAAGGTTCTACATACCAATAGACACCATAAACAAAGTTAAAAGACAGTGGCAGTCTGAGAAAAAATATTTTATATATGTATGTAATAGAAAAAATTACCGTCCAAGCAAAGAGCTCTTATATATTAATAAGAAAAGGAAACTGGGCCAGGCACGGTAGCTCACACCTGTAATCCCAGCACTTTGGGAGGCTGAGGTGGGATGATCATTTGAGGCCAGGAGTTCAGGACCAGCCTGGGCAACAATAAGAGACTCTTCTCTATTAAAAAAAAAAAAAAAAAAGGCTGGGCGTGGTGGCTCACGCCTGTAATCCCAGCACTTTGGGAGGCCGAGGCGGGCGGATCACGAAGTCAGGAGATCGAGACCATCCTGGCTAACATGGTGAAACCCCGTCTCTACTAAAAATACAAAAAATTAGCCGGGCGCTGTGGCGGGCGCCTATAGTCCCAGCTACTTGGGAGGCTGAGGCAGGAGAATGGCGTGAACCCGGGAGACGGAGATTGTAGTGAGCCAAGATAGCGCCACTACACTCCAGCCTGGGCGAAAGAGTGAGACTCTGTCTCAAAAAAAAAAAAAAAAAAAAGAAAAGAAAAGAAAAGTAAAAGGAGCTGGACACGGTGGCTCATGCCTGTAATCCCAGCACTTTGGGAGGCTGAGGCAGGTGGATCACCTGAGGTCTGGAGTTTGAGACCAGCCTGGCCAACATGGTGAGACCCCTGTCTCTATTGAAAACACAAAAAAATTAGCCGGGCCTGGTGGCGCACATCTGTAATCCCAGCTACTCAGGAGGCTGAGACAGGAGAATTGCTTGAATCCAGGAAGTGGAGGTTGCAGAGAGCCAAGATCATGCCACTGCACTCCAGTCTGGGCAACAGAGCAAGACTCCGTCTCAAAAAAGAATTTTTTTAAAGTATCAAAACAGAAAAGGAAACTGAACAAAGATGACCAACAGGTCCTTCCTAGCCATCATGTTTAAACTGCTGCACCAGCTCCCCAGCATTCCCCGCCCTCTGTCCCTGCTTTTTCTTGATAACACTTATCTTCTAACATACCATAGACTTTATTTACTTATTTTGTTCTTCCCTACTAAAATGTAAGCTCTACAAAGACAGATTTTTTTTGTATATGAAGAATTGATTGTAAACACACAGAATTTGGAAACAGTCTCTTTCCTCAGAGCATTTTGAAGCTGTAGTTGAGGGGAAGGTGTCTGATTAGGGGATTGAATAGCTAGGTTGCAGTACATCCATTCAGTGAAATACTATGCAATGGAATATTATTTGGCCTTATTTTGCTCTAATATGAAGAAATATCAGTGATATGTTGTTAAATGAAAAAAGCAAATTGCAGCAAGTTGCAGAACTATATGTACTCTGTTTTTTGTAAAAAGAGAAAAGTTTTAAGAAACCAGTAGTTTAAAAACTTCACACTGTGACTTGTTTAGATCCAGAGCCTGTTACCTGAGTTAGATGTCATGCCCATTTTCTCTGTTCATATGGTGTCCTGGAATCATTAGGCATTATAACACCAAGTAATGCATATATAACTGTTAATACTTGCCCATAACTTGGTATCAGTTTCTTTTTCACAGATTCCCACAGGAAAAGAGTATGGCAGTGTATTTTACCTATAAAACATATGACCAATTCCATACTGATCGGGGGAAAAAATAGCATGTTGTATTATTTTGCTAGGCTGCCATAACAAAGTACCATAGACTGAGTGGCTTAGACATCAGAAATGTATTATTTCATAGTTCTGGAGGCTAGTAGTCCAGTAGTAGTCCAAGATCAATTTGTTGGCATGGTTGATTCCCTCCCTCCCTTCCTTCCTTTTTTTTTACAGGGTATTACTCTATGCCCAGGCTGGAGTGCAGTAGCTCAATCTCAGCTCACTGCAGCCTCAACCTGCTGGACTCAAGCAGTCCTCCCACCCCAGCCTCCCAAGTAGCTGGGACTACAGATACTCAACACCACACCCGGCTAATTTTTTTGTAGAGATGGAATTTCACCATGTTGCCCAGGCTGGTCTCGAACTCCTAGGCTCAGGCGATCTGCCCACCTCAACCTCCCACAGTGCTGGTATTACAGGCGTGAAGCCACCACGCCCCACCAAGATTGATTTCTTCTGAGGGGTCTCTTCTTGGCCATCTTCTGTGTCTTCCCATGGTCTTCCCTCTGTTATGCGTCTTTGTCCTGATTTCTTCTTCCTATAAGGACACCAGTCATACTGGATTAAGGCCCACCCTAATGACCTTGTTTTAATTTAATTATCTCTTTAAAGATGTTATCTCCAAATATAGTCACATTCTGAAGTACAGGGAGTTAGGAACTCAATATCTGAATTTTAGGGGAACACATTTCAGCCCATAACCTGTGTCTTATGCTAGAAGCTCTTTTGCTTCAGAGAGAGAGAGTGGTTCTGGGACCACTGACACCATCCTTTTGACTTTGGTCCTTCCATGCCCCTTCCAGGTAAGCCTGCCCACGGCAGAGATTGATTGCAGCCTGGCAGAGTACATTGACATGATCTGTGGTGAGTTCCTCTTTCCTTTCCTCGTCCCCATCTCTGGATAGAGACACTCTAGGCTTTTGGACAGGCTTGTTTACTCTGGGAAGATAGTATCTTGAGTTTCAGCCTTCACTTTAAGCCCGTTGTGCTCTTTGGCAGCACTCAAAGGTGGTGTTTGGCTTATGTGACTACCTGCTGGGTATTTAACCCCCAAAGTCATAGCGACACCCCATCTGCCAGGGCTTTGCCTGTGCTAGACAGAAGGGCCTCTAATTCCCGGAGTTTGTTTGCTTCTGTTCCTGGAAGTTCTTCTTCGTTTCAGCCATTCTAGACATCCCTGTCTACAAGAGTCGGATCCAGTCCCTCCATCTGCTCTTTTCCCTCTACTCAGAATTCAAGAACTCACAGGTGAGCCAAGCATCAGGGGTTGACTTAAGCTGTAGAGAGGATCACTATAGTTTCTACTGTTCTGAGCCTGCTGTGATTGCATCCTATAGCGATGTAGGATGTCTCTGCCCAGTTACCTTCGCCCTTTCCCATAATTAGGAGAGCAAAGGAGGCAGGGATGGAGTTTTCAAGGGGAAAGTGGAGGAAAAAAAAGGGTGGGTGGAAGTAGGAGTTGTGGGCCTTAGATGAAATCAGGTGAGGATCTACAGAGGACACTCGTTCTTTCAGAACCAAGTTCCCTCATGAATGGAAGCAGGAAGGAAATAAAGGGGGTTCATTTTAAAGAAATTAATTCTTGTTAAAATATAGCAATTAGCATATCCCTAATACTCAATATTCCCTCTCCTCTTCCTTGCAGCATTTTAAAGCTCTCGCTGAAGGCAAGAAAGCATTCACTCCTTCATCCAATTCCACCTCCCAAGCTGGAGACATGGAGACATTAACCTTCAGCTGAGACACTTCCCAAGCTGCTGTTTCAAGGCTGAGCTGGCCCCTCTGCCCCAGCTGAGATGGACAGATCGTTGTCAGCTACTTGATGTCCTTGCCCATGCCACAGCTTGGCTCAGGGGCAGTGCATGTCCTGCTGCCCTCTCTGCCAGAGGGCACAGAACATGTTTGTTTAATGAACCTGCCTGCCTCAGATTGCTGTCCCCGGGGAGTTAATGCATCTACACCACTGTGGGGATTTGAGTTATAAGAATTGGAATTTCTGAGATCCCATGGAGGTTAGATTGGGAGGAAAGCTTAAAAGATGTCCTTTTTGTGAGAGGGATGGAATTGTTTTCTTTCATTCGTAAAGTTAGTGAGTAAAGATTTTATAAATCAAATGCTCTATTATATTGTCAGATTATTCTGCTATTTAATATGAAAGAGAAAAGGCTGACTGAGCATAACGCAGAGACACAGGAACTTTGCTTAGTAATGGGCATTAAATGAAGAGTAGTTAAAGCAAACAAATTTTGTGAAATAAAATGAAACCCCAATCCTCCAAGATTGGCAGTCGAGGGGAATCATTTTTCCTCTGGAATTTAATTTTTCTAAGGGTCTCTCTTCAGTTAATGCCGCCTTCCTGAGGCTGTCTGGCTCCAGACCTGTCTGGTTCTGGTCTCAGGGAGCGTAGCTATTGCGGTAATCCAGGTGAGAGGTGATTGGGGTGGCAGTAGTAGAGATGGACAGATTCAGTAAATATTTTGGAGTTATGTCAGCCAAGCTCCAGTCAGGAAGTCTGAAACCATGCTAGTTATTTCTAACAAAGGGTGTTTAGCCAGGCACAGTGGCTCACGCCTGTAATCCCAGAACTTTGGGAGGCCCAGGCAGGCAGATCATGTGGTCAGGAGTTCGAGACCAGCCTGGCCAATAATATGGTGAAACCCCACCTCTACTAATAATACAAAAGTTAGCCGGGTGTTTTGGTGCATGCCTGTAGTCCCAGCTAGTCAGGAGACTGAGGCAGAAGAATCACTTGAATCCGTGAGGTGGAGGTTACAGTGAGCTAAGATCGTGGCACTGCACTCCAGCTTGGGCAACAAAGCAAAACTGCATCTCAAAAAAAAAAAAAAAGGGGGTGTTTAATATGGGGAATTGGCCAGGTGCAGTGGCTCATGCCTGTAATCCCAGCACTTTGGGAGGCTGAGGCGGGTGGATCACTTGAGGTCAGCAGTTCAAGACTGGCCTGGCCAACATGGTGAAACCCTGTCTCTACTAAAAATACAAAGAATTAGCTGGGTGTGGTGGTGGGCACCTGTAATCTCAGCTACTCGGGAGGCTGACAGGAGAATCACTTGAACCCAGGAGGTGGCAGTTGCAGCGAGCCAAGATCGCGCCACTGCACTCCAGCCTGGGCAACAGAGCAAAACTCTTTCTCAAAAAAATATATAATAATATGATAAATTGGTTACAAAAGTGTTGTAGAGGCTGAAGGAGCAAAAGGGAGAACGGAGGGTACTGAGGAACATAAAAGTCAAAGGGGTGGTAGTCATTGCCGGCGCTGGTAGCAGAGGTGCTGTCTAAAAAAACAAAACAAAACAAAATCGATACCATCAGCCTAATAGATACACAATAAACACATGGGTAGGAGAGGAACTGTTTCTTACAAACCCTTTAACTATGATCATCATGCTTGAGTTTAAGGAGCAGGCACGTTTGAGCTGATGACAAACTTTGAGCTGACAAAACTGAGGCTTACAGCAACCTCCACCTCCCGGGTTCAAGCGATTCTCCTGCCTATGCCTCCCGAGTAGCTGGGATTACAGGCATGCACCACTACACCC
The DNA here is from genome assembly GCF_000001405.40 of Homo sapiens. NCBI lineage: Eukaryota > Metazoa > Chordata > Mammalia > Primates > Hominidae > Homo > Homo sapiens. Next base: position 118,543,099 of record NC_000011.10, on the reverse strand, counting down.
GGCTAATTTGTTTTGTATTTTCAGTAGAGATGGAGTTTCACCGTGTTAGCCAGGGTGGTCTCAATCTGCTGACCTCATGATCCGACTGCCTCAGCCTCCCAAAGTGCTGGGATTACAGGCATGAGCCACTGCGCCCAGCCTCACCCAGCAAATTTTTGGTTTTTTGTTTTGTTTTGTTTGTTTGTTTGAGACAGAGTCTCGCTCTGTCACCGAGGCTGGAGTGCAGTGGTGCGATCTTGGCATACCGCAGCCTCTGCCTTCTGGGTTCAAGCAATTCTCCTGCCTCAGCCTCCCCAGTAGCTGGGATTACAGGCATGCACCACCACGGCTGGCTAATTTTTGTATTTTTAGTAGAGAAGGGGTTTCACCATGTTGCCCAGGCTGGTCTTGAATTCCTGCCTTTAGGTGATCTGCCTGCCTTGGCCTCCCAAAGTGCTGGGATTATAGGAGTAAGCCACTGTGCCCAGGCTTAATTTTTATATATATATTTTTTTGTAGAGACAAGTTCTTGTTATGTTGCCCGGGCTGGTCTCCAACTCCTGGCCTCAACTCATCCTCTGGTCTTGGCCTCCCAAAGTGCTGGGATTATAGGCATGAGCCACTGCGCCTGGCCCTCAATATTTATTTATGATTTGCTATTGTTTGCCTATTTGTCCCCTCCAAAACTCATGTTGAAATTTAATCCTCAATGCGGCCATATCAAGAAGTGGGGCCTTTAAGAGGTGTTTGGGTCACGAGGGCTCTGCCCTGATGAGTGGATTAATCCACTTATAGATTAATGGGTATTAAATGCATTGGCGGCTTATCATGGGAGTGGGACTGGTGGCTTTATAAGAAGAGAGACCTGACTTAGCATGTCCAGCCCCCTTGCCATGTGATGCTCTGCATTGCCTCAGAATTCTGCAGAGTCCCCACAAGCAAAAAGACCCTCACCAGATGTACCCCTCAACCGTGTACTTCCCGGCCCCCAGAATTCTAAGCGAATTAACGCAGGAACAAAAAACCAAACAGTGCATGTTCTTACTTGTAAGTGGGAGCTAAAAAGGCCAGGCACAGTGAGTCACACCTGTAATCCCAGCACTTTGGGAGGCTGAAGCCGGAGGACTGCTTGAGCCCAAACGTTTGAGACCAGCCGGGGAACGAAGTGAAACCACGTCTCTACAAAAAATACAAAATTAGCCAGGCATGATGGTATACACCTGTGGTCCCAGCTACTCGAGAGGCTGAGGTAGGAGGATCGATTAAGCCCGGGAGGTCGAGGCTGCAGTGAGCCGTGATTGTGCCACTGCACTCCAGCCTGGGTGACAGAATGAGACCCTGTCTTAAAACATATATAAAAATAAGTGAGAGCTAAACATGGAGCACACATGGACATAAACATGGGAAGAACAGACACTGTGGACCACTAGAGTGGTTGAAAAACTACCTATTGGATACTATGCTCACTACCTGGTGTGATACCAGGTAACAATCCTGCACATGTACCCTGTGTATCTAAAATAAAAGCTGAATTTTTTTTAAAAAATTTGTTTTTAATAAATGACCCAGTTTTAGGTATTGTTATAAGTAACAAAAAATGGACTAAGACATTCTTCTTTTGTTAGGTGAAGTTTCTTTTTCTTTTTTTTTTTTTTTTTTGAGACAGGGTCTCGCTCTGTCACCCAGGCTGGAGTGCAGTGGCGCAATCTTGGCTCACTGCAAGCTCCGCCTCCCAGGTTCAAGCCATTCTCCTGCCTCAGCCTCCCGAGTAGTTAGGACTACAGGTGCCCACCACCACACTCGGCTAATTTTTTGTATTTTTAGTAGAGACGGGGTTTCACTGTGTTGGCCAGGATGGTCTCGATCTCTTGACCTCATGATCCGCCCGCCTTGGCCTCCCAAAGTGCTGGGATTACAGGCATGAGCCACGGCGCCTGGCCTGTTAGGTGAAATTTCTAAACAGTGAAAAGTACAAATCAAATTAACATTTGATCAGTTTTTAAACAACAGCTTTATTGAGATCTAACTCACATACCATAAGTTCATCCTCGTGTAAGTGTTTTTAGTATGTTCACAAAGTTGTGCATCTATCACTACGAATTCCAGAACATTTTCATCACCCCAAAAAAGAACCCCATATTCACCAGTAGTCACTCCCCATTCTGCCCTCCCCCCAGACCCTGGCAACCACTAACTTGCTCTCTGACTCTGCAGATTTGCCTACTCTGGACATTTCATATAAATGGAGTCAAACAACGTGTGATCTTTTGGGTTTGGCCTTTCACTTGGCATAATGTCATCAAGGTTCTTTCATGTTGTAATCTGCTAGGTTTTGATCTGCATAACAAGCAGGAGTCTCTTATCTGTGTCTTCTGAAAAAAAGAGTGTTTGGCTTTCATCAACTTCTCCAATGGGTCTGTCACCCGACAAAGGAACAAGGAATCCCTGATCTAAGGGATGTGTATCGAGAATTGGGACAGTAGTTTGCCAGTCCACCCCCTACTGAATATTTGGCAAGATGGAAGCCTTGTCAGGAAGAGTAAACTTTCTGATAATTAAGACCTTGGGTGCAGCTGAGAGGAGCTCAGAGCTTGCAGTCTTGCCAAGGGGCTATCAAAGGAAGAGCCCCAGGACCTTCTGAGGGAGCATGGATGAGCAAGTCAAAAGAAGTGACAGCAAGGCCCTCTGGCTAAGAAAAATTTTGGAGTGGCAAGGAGCTCACACGCAAAATCAGTAGAGGCTAGAACTCAGCTCCTTTCAGGTGGCTGGCACGGCCTTAGCCATTCTATGGAGGAAAACACTGAACAAGAGAGAAAGGAGGAAAGGGCATGAACCAGAAGCCCCCACAGCCATGGAAGCCAAGCCAACCCGTAGTCCCAGCTAGTGGGGAGGCTGAGGCAGGAGAATGGCAAGAACCCGGGAGGCGGAGCTTGCAGTGAGCCGAGATTGCGCCACTGCACTCCAGCCTGGGCAACAGAGCGAGACTCTGTCTCAAACAAAAACAAAAACCAGAAGATAAATCTGCGCTCAAAACGTCATCCCATTTCTAGGCTTTTCCCACCTCATGATTCTCCAATGTAATTTTTTTTTTTTTTTTTTTGAGACGGAGTCTTGCTCTGTCGCCCAGGCCGGAGTGCAGTGGCATGATATCGGCTCACTGCAACCTCCGCCTCCCGGGTTCAAGCAATTCTCATGCCTCAGCCTCCTGAGTAGCTGGGACTACAGGTGCACACCACCATGCCTGGCTAATTTTTGTATTTTTAGTAAAGATGGAGTTTCACCATGTTGGCTAGGCTGGTCTCGAACTCCTGGCCTCAAGTGATCTGCCCACCTCTGCCTCCCAAAGTACTGGTATTACAGGTGTGAATGACTGTGCCTGACCAAAAATTAAAATAAAGAAAAAATCACAGCCCATCGACAGAGCCAATGAAAACTTACACTTGGGAAAGTACACCCTCCACAATACATGGTGCTGGGAAAATTGGATAGCCACCTGCAGAAGAACGAAACTGGACCCCCTATCTCTCATGGTATATAAAAATCAACTCAAAATAGATTAAAGACTTAAACATAAGACCTGAAACTATAAAAATACTAGAAAAAAACCTAGGGAAAACTCTCCTGGACATTGGTCTAGGCAAAAAATTTATGACCTGGCCAGGCGCGGTGGCTCATGCCTGTAATCCCAGCACTTTGGGAGGCCAAGGCAGGTGGATCACGAGGTCAAGAGATCGAGACCACCCTGGCCAACATGGTGAAACCCTGTCTCTACTAAAAATACAAAAATTAGCTGGGTGTGGTGGCACGCACCTGTAGCCCCAGCTACTTGGGAGGTTGAGGCAGGAGAATCGCTTGAACCCGGGAAGTGGAGGTTGCAGTGAGCCGAGATCACACCACTGCATTCCAGCCTGGCAACAGAGCGAGACTCCGTCTCAAAAAAAAAAAAAAAAAAAAAATTTATGACCAAGACCTCAAACGCACAGCAACAAAAACAAAAATAGACAAATGGGTCTTAAACTAAAAAGCTTCCGCACAGCAAAATAAATAATGAACAGAGTGAAGAGACAATCTGTTGAATGGGAGAAAATATTCACAAACTATTCATCCAACAGGGGATTAATATCCAGAATATGCAAGGAATTCAAACAACTCAACAGGAAAAGAAACCAAATAATTCCATTAAAAAGTTGGCAAAGGACAAGAATAGACATTTCCTTTTTTTTTTTTTTTTGAGACGGCCTTACTCTGTTGCCCAGGCTGGAGTGCAGTGGCATGATCTCAGCTCACTGCAACCTCTGCCTCCTGGTACAAGCGATTCTCCTGCCTCAGCCTCCCAAGTAGCTGGGATTGCAGCTACATGCCACCATGCCCAGCTATTTTTTGTATTTTTAGTAGAGATGGGGTTTTGCCATGTTGGCCAGGCTGGTGTCAAACTCCTGAGTGCAAGTGATCCACCTGCCTCGGCCTCCCAAAGTGCTGGGATTACAGGTGTGAACCACCATGCCTGGCCGACATTTCTCAAAAGAAGACATACAAACGGCTAACAGGTATATGAGAAAATGCTCAACATCACTAATCATCAGAGAAATGCAAATCAAAACCACAATGAGATACAAGCTTACCCCAATCAGAACGGCTATTATTAAAAAGACAAAGCCTGGCGCAGTGGCTCACGCCTGTAATCCCAGCACTTTGGGAGGCAGAGTTGGGCAGATCACGAGGTCAGGAGTTCAAGACCAGCCTGGCCAATATGGTGAAACCTCATCTCTAGTAAAAATACAAAAATTAGCCAGGCGTGGTGCACGCCTGTAGTGCCAGCTACTGGGGAGGCTGAGGCAGAAGAATTGCTTGAACCTGGGAGGTAGAGGTTGCAGTGAGCTGAGATCGTACCCCTGCACTCCAGCCTGGGTGACAGAGCAAGACTCTGTCTCAAAAAAATAAACAAATAATAATAATTACAGATATTGATGAGGATGAGGAGAAAAGGGAACTCTTATACTCTTATATTGGTGGGAATGTAAACTAGTACAACCACTATGGAAAACCATATGGGGATTCTCTCTTTTCTTTGGAGACAGGGTCTCACTCTGTGGCCCAGGCTGGAGTGCAGTGGAGTGATCTCAGTCACTGCATCCTCTGCCTCCTGGGCTGAAGTGATCCTCTTGCCTCAGCCTCCCAAGTAGCTGGCACTACAGGTACACACCACCACGCCCAGCTAATTTTTGTGTTTTTGTAGAGATGGGACTCTCACCATGTTGCCCAGGCTGGTCTTGAACTCCTGGGTTCAAGCGATCCACCCGCCTCGGCCTCCCAAAGTGCTAGGGTTACAGGTATGAGTCACCACACCCGGCCTGTAATTTCTCAGAAACTAAAAATAGGATTACCATTCAATCCAGCAATCCTACTTCCGGGTATCTCCAAAAAGGAAAAGAAATCAAAATATCAAAGAGATGCCTGCACTTTCATGTTTATTGCTGCACTATTCACAATAGCAAATATCCAGAATCAACCTAAGTGTCCATCAACTGATGAATGGGTGAAGAAAATGTGGGTGAAGGAAAATGTGGGATAAACAAAAGAAGTGAGTTAAAGGGTACAAACATATAGTTGGAATAAATTCAATGCTTGATAGCAGAGTGGGGTGAGTATAGTTAACAAAAGTGTATTGTACTTGGGTAATGGACACCTTGAATATCCTAACCTGATTACTACACATTATACACATGTCACACCAGCCTGGGCAATAGAGTGAGACCCTGTCTCTACGAATTTTTTTTTTTTGGACGGAGTCTTGCTCTGTCATCCAGGCTGGAGTGCATTGGCGCGATCTCGGCTCACTGCAATCTCTGCCTCCTGGGTTCCAGCATTTCTCCTGCCTCAGCCTCCCGAGTAGCTGGGACCACAGGCACATGCTACCATGCCAGGCTAATTTTTTATATTTTAGTAGAGATGGGGTTTCACCATGTTGCCCAGGCTGGTCTCGAACTTCTGAGCTCAGGCAATCCACCCGCCTCGGCCTCCCAAAGTGCTAGGATTACAGGCGTGAGCCACCATGCCTGCCCCCTCCAAATTTTTTTAATTAGCTGAGCACAATGGCACACACCTGCAGTTCCAACTAGTCATGAGGCTGAGGTGGGAGGATCCCTTGAACACAGGAGTTCAAGGCTGCAGTGAGCTATGATTGCACCACTGCACTCCAGCCTGAGTCATAGAGCAAGACACACACACACGTGCTCTCTTGCGCTCTCTCTGTATATACACATACATACATAGATATGTTACAAAATTTCAATGAACCTCATAACTTTGTACAAAAAAAAATCACATCCCAGTCTGAGCCTTCTGTTCCCAAGGGCAGGACAAAGGGGCTCAGCATACTTTAGCCCAGTCCTGAGGTGGGAAGAAGCAGCTGAGTGAGGACCAAGTGAGAATCAGATGCTAGTTATAGCCAAGAGCCCCTGAAATAGAAAATGCCAATCCGGCCATTGGGAACACTATAATTAAAGAAATATTATTTATTTTTCTGAAGCACATTTGGTAATGTCAGAGTTGAGTGGTGGGTATACAGGTGCTTGCTATATTTTTTCCACTGTGAGACTGGAAAACTTCATTTAAAAAACATATTAGGCCGGGCGCAGTGTGGCTCATGCCTGTAATCCCAGCACTTTGGGAGGCTGAGGCGGGTGGATCACCTGAGGTCGGGAGTTCAAGACCAGCCTGACCAACATGGAGAAACCCCATCTCTACTAAAAATACAAAATTAGCTGGGCATGGTGGTGCATGCCTGTAATCCCAGCTACTTGGAAGGCTGAGGCAGGAGAATCACTTGAACCCAGGAGGCAGAGGTTGCGGTGAGCCGAGATCACGCCATTGCACTCCAGCCTGGGCAACATGAGCAAAACTCTGTCTCAAAAAAAAAAAAGAAAAGAAAAGCATATTAGAAGGCTGGGTGTGGTGGCTCACACCTGTACTCCCAGCACTTTGGGAGGCCGAGGTGGGCAGATCACTTGAGGTCAGGAGTTCGAGACCAGTCTGGCCAACATGGTAAAACCCCATCTCTACTAAAAATATAAAAATTAGATGGGCGTGGTGGTAGGCGTCTACAGTCCCAGCTACTTGGGAGGCTGAGGCAGGAGAATCGTTTGAATCTGGGAGGCGGAGGTTGCAGTGAGCCAAGATCGCGCCGCTGCACTCCAGCCTGGGCGACAGAGTGAGACTCCATCTCAAACGAAACAAAATAAAACAAAAACAAAAACATATTAATAGAAGAAATGAAGCAGAGATATGTAAATGAATTCAGTCAAGTTTATTAAACTTGCTGTGTGCTCAGCACCGCCCTAGGCAGTAACATGAAAAACATTACAAAAGAAGATCTCAACAAGGGAAAAATATATTCTGTACTATATTAATTTCCAATCATTTACATGTTGCTTTTTAAAGTGTTCTTAGGTCACTTTGGGGTATGTGGTCTCCTTCTTTCTCCATGTTCCCCTAAAGCTTCCACACTGTTGAATTATGTGCCTGTGGCGACCATCCTCCAGGAAGGGCACCTTCCTGCTGATGAGGCAACCATGGGTTGGTCAGGGCTGGGGTCCCGTGGTGGAGGAGACATGCTGAGAGAAAAACCATCAACCCCGAGAGCTCAGGACACTCACAGTGAATCCCAGAAGGCCAAACGTGGGGAAGCCACAAAGAGGGCTCTGGGCCCCTCACTCACCCCCTCCCCTAGGGGATGTGCTTAAAGTGCTAACGCCGTAGGAAAATGATGCATAGCTACAAGCCGTCCTGGGTGCTACTAGACTCATCGCCTGCCTCTTCCTCCCTAACTTGTGCTAATACTGGGCGATGGCACAGGCCAATAGAAAAGTCTAGTGCCCAGTGAAGTAGTAGAGAAGGTCCAACGTGTAACCTAGAATTCCCAAGAGGAGGTGGGGACAGAAGAGAAGAAGTGAAGGGCAGAGACGTGTGCAGCAAAAAGGACGTTTGTGCTTGGCCGGTACCGCTGGGTCAGGGGTTGGTTTCTGTGCAAAGGGCAATTGGGTTCTGCACAGCTAGCAGGGTCCTAAATTTTACCTGAGGGAACAAGGCTACATAGCATAGGAAGGAGGAAAATCCATGCAGGGCCCTCCCTGTCCCCCACACAGGCACGCCCCCATGCCTACTGTACAAGGTGCTGTGGAGTACTGGGGTGGGGTATACAGCAGGCCATGCCACACTTGGATGCTGGATGACATCTGAACACCCCTGGCCAAAGAGCTCCCTCTGGAAGGGCCCAGTCATCACATGCAGGGCCCACCCTGAGTCAGCATGAGGGGCTTACGTCCAACTGGTAGCCTTGCCAAAGATACCTGTGCCCCTGCGGGTTACAGCCCAGTGAAATGCATCACGTGCATGACATGGAGGGCACCCCAGCCAGGAGGGCAAGCAAAAGTGGCAGTGGCATAACTTCTTCACGTTGGTGACCTAGCTAGGTAGAGGATGCCTTGGAGGAACGGGAGGGTGTCCAGAGGCCAAGAGAATACTCCTGTCTCGCCCTCGGCTCAGAGCCAGATCTCATCACTGCTCACGCTGGACACTCGATAGATATAGCCCAGCACTGGGAGGCGGATGAAACCTGCGGGATCAAAGAAGCCCGCGGGGACTCAGTAACGCTTGTTCCTTGGAATTTGGAGAGCTCTCTCTGCCTCCTGGGCACTTGGAGGCCTCTGGCATAAGCACAGGGCTGGGGGGCAGAGGAGGAGGGTGGCAGGCCCCTTCCCCAGTACCTTGGCTGGTGAGGAGGCCGCCGGGCTCCGGGTCCAGAAGCTCTGGCCGGCTGTTGTTCTGAGCCATCTGCCGGTCTGCTGGTTTCACTGCTGGTTGACAAAGAGGGCAGTGTTCAGGACGAGGAGTGTGCCTGATGAGGCCTCGCCCCTCCCAAGCACCAAGTTCTTTTTCTCAGAAGCACTTCTGGAGATTAAGCAGGGGCAAAGAGCAGGGCCCTAGATATACCTCTGGAATCTGGAGTGAGGTCATTGAGCTGAAGGTTGGACGGGAGGGACATGTTCTCCCGTGGCAGGCGCACGTTGTTGAGTTTTAGGTTGTTGGAGTCACTACAGGGAGGACAAAGTTCGGGATGGATATGAGTCCCGGCACAGGCACTCATGGCTGCCTCTACCAGAAACCCCAGGCTCCCTCCTGTCCCCATCCTGCATTTCGGTTAGGCTTGTCCACCCAGCCCAAGGAAGAGTTACCTTGATATCAGAGATGGGTGCCGGGAGGGGCCTGTGGAGAAAGAAACCATGTCCCTAATTCTCAGTGTGCCCTCCCACGCTGGGCTGTCCTACCCTTTCAGACCCAGGACCCTCAGGCAAGGGGTCTCTCAAATGCCCAGGCCTGGCCCTGGGGCCAGAGACTGGGTTCCCAGTGCTTGACCCTGCTACCTGGGATGCATGTCACCGTACCCATGGCCACCCCCTGGAAGTGCTCTGCCACCGTCAGAGATGACTGGTTCTGCCCAGCTGCACTTGCTGTCTTGGCTGCTGCTCAGCCTGACCTCATCCACACTGCCCCCAGTGTCCCTGGCCTACCTTTGGTTTTCTTCTCTTTTCTGCAGACCAGGCAGGCCACCAAGGTGCTGAACCCCACGAGGGTGCCCAGTGCAAGCCCAGCAGCCACAACAATGCCCAGCAGTGGCACTTCCACCCGGGTAGCCAGAAGCCCTGGAGGATGTCCTCTGTGTCAGGTCCCAAGTGGGTAGTGCCCCAGCCCCAACATGCCATAGGTACTACTCTGCCCTCCTTGCCCAGGGTGGCTGGGGACAGTTCATCCACAAGACCCAACCACAGGGCAACAAGTATTCCCATTTCTGTATGGGGACGGGACCCCTGAGCCCACCTGAAGCTTTGCAGGGCCGCTTGCTGGCCATGCTCACCTGGGGCTGGAAGCGACGCACTGGTGACACCCACGTCATTGGTGGCCACCACCGAGAGGTTGTGTGCCAGGCTGCGGAGCTGCAGCTGCACCGTGTGGTTGGTGAGCCAGGGGTAGTTCTGCGCATCCAGCACCAGGAAGTCAGAGGTGTTGACAGTCACTGGCCCATCCTGGTCGATCCAGGTGACATTGGCCGGCGGGTTGGCACGCACCAGGGCAAACAGGACAACCAGGAGGCCTGGGCCCTGAGCTTCCTGGTACTTGGCGCCGACTTGGGCAATCTCTGGCTTGACTGGTACAAAGCAGAGGCCAATATGCTCTCACCACAGCCCCTCATACTTCTAGCCCTTTCTTCCCAAACCCAGATGGGAGCCAGGGGCCTGGGCCTCTCCTCAGAGGGGATGCTGAGGAACAGGATGGCTGGGTCTGCCAGAGAGGCAGCATTTCGGAGTGATTATGAGTGTAAATACTAGAGCCAAATGCCCAGATGTGAATCCTGGCTCTGCTTCTTACCAGCGGGATCATCACCCTGGGCAGATTGCTTACCTCTTTCTGCCTCAGTTTTCTTATTTGTAAAATGGTGACGACAATAGTAATGACCTCATGGGGTTACTCAGAGGATCAAATGAGTTCATATTTGCAAAGTGCTTAAGTGTCTGCTAAATGTCCTGCGGACCACCTGCCTGGTGGGTGCTGGGGGTCCCTGGGCAAAGAACCTATCTCCCTGCCCACCTCAGGGCCACTCACATTGCACATTAAGGATGACAGAGGCGTTGGCTGATCGGCCACTTCTGGGGTCCTGCAGAGAGCAGTTGAGCTCATGCTGGGCCCGATGGGCAGTGACAGTGAAGGTGCTGGTGCCTCCAGAGAAGGCCTCCCCTCCCACGCTCAGCAGTCTTGAGGTGCTGGCCTCCTGCAGCTGTCCATCCAGATACCAGGCCAATCTGGGGGTGCCAGGCCCCCCTGCCACCCGGCAGGTGAAGGCGTGGCGTTCATTCTCCCGAAGTGCCCGCTCAGCCCAGGTCTGACCATCTATTTGTGGCTCCAACTCCCCCCAACCTGGAACACAGCAGGAGGCCTCTGGGAAGGGCTCAGGCACGGTTGGTACTGTGCTGTGACCAGGAATTGGCCCAGTGAGAAGAGCAGCAGGCCAAAGGAAAGGGCACCTGAGTCCTCTCACCAGGGACTGGCTGGTTGGACCTAGGGTAGGTGGGTGAAGGGGACAGGGACTCCAGGGCTTGGGGCCTGGAGTGGGTACCCAAACAGAAGTGCAGACAGGGGAGAGAGGGGGCTTTGGAACCCAGAAGGACTTGGTCAACGACTGAACAGGGGTGTACCTGAGCTCAGAAGGGCTGGCAGGAGCAGCAGTGTGTGCCGGAGGGCGGCTGGGCCTGGAGGCAGCGCCATGGTGGCCCGGGCCTAGGCCCTAGGCTGCTGAGAGAAGGGGGCGGGCCTGTCAGCCAGGTGACAGCAGGCAGGCCTAGCAATTGCTCCAGGAATTTACTCTCCAGAAACAAAAAGAACCATGTACGGAAACGCAAATGTAGACCAGCCCCCAGTGGCGAAGGCACGGACACGAACGGCAAAGCCCAAAGGCACAGACCCACCCAGCAGACACATGGACATCCTGCAGGCGCAGAAGCGAGCACTGACTCCAGGCTACAATACAAAGAGGCACACACCCGCAGATACGCAGAAGCAACGAGCATCCGTGCAACCACACCTTGCACACACGCACACTCACACACATACTCCACGCGCCCCTCCCCCAAAGGGATCGCCTTTCTCCTAATCCTATTCTCTCTCCTGCCCTGTTCCCATCCTCTCTCCTGCCCTGTTCTCTCTCCCATCCCTCGCCCTACGCCCCCTTTCCTGATGTTGGTGGCTCCGGTGGATGTCGGCGGAAGAGGAGAGGGTCGGAGGGTGGGGTCGCCGAGCATCCCGCCCCCGCCCCCCGCCACCGGGGCGGCTCACCTGGCTCCCTCCCCGAGCGCCGCCGGAGCAACTGCTCAGGTCTGATGAGCACCGCAGTCCGCTGCAGGGGCGGGGGCTGCGCCAGGCGGGGCCAATCGATGCCCGACCACGGGCCCGAGGGGCCCTTACCCGGCAGGTGGGCGGCCGCGGCTCACCACCCCCCGGCTGGTCCCCAGCCCGCGCCGAGTACCCCCGAGTGCCCTTCTCTCCGGGCGCGGGCAGGACGCAGGAGCAGGCGGAGTCGGTGAGGCCCGACGGCTTTATTGGTTCAGGGCCCAGTCCCGTCCCCTCGCCCGCGGACGCCCGGGTCCGCGGCGCTCAGCGGCTGTCACGGGGGCGGCGCAGCTGCCCCATCATGTCGGCCAGCATGCGGTTGCACAGCGCGGCGTAGGGGTTGAGCAGCACCAGCTGGCGCCGCGCGAAGGGGCTGCCCAGCCGTGCCGCCCTCTCGAAGTCCCTGCGGGCGTCGTCGTCTCGGCCCTGCAGCCGCGCCAGGAGTCCGCGCTGCACAAAGCTCTGGCGGGCGGCGCGGCCCCGGCCGCCGCTCAGCTCCACCGCGCGTTCCAGATCCTCCAGGGCGCCTGCGGGACCGACGAGACGGGCGGGGCGGGGGTCAGCGGAGGCCAGGGCGGCCTTGCCCGAGCCCCAGCCCACCTGCGGCCGCGCGGATCACCGTGGTTCTTGCGGCTCCCGGGCGTGGCCATTTACAACCCGCCTCGCACCTGCTAGAGGTACGGATCGTTATTCCCATTACACAGATGAAGACTGTGGAAGAGTTAAGCTCTACAGCCAAGCCACTTAGTGGCAGAGCTGGGACTGAAGTCCAGGTCTCGCCTTGTTCCTATTATTTTCCACCGCTAATACACGAAAACATGAACGTTGCAGGATTCTGAATGGCCACTATGTTTATGAGTCTGGCCCACTGCCCGGGCAAGTAGCAGCCAATTTATTCCACACCTGTTATTAAGCATCCACTATGTGCCAGGTGACTGACTCTGAATGTCAGGGTTCAAAAAATAATATTAACCGCACAATCATTTCTTACAAGTACAATCAAGACAGTTTCTCATTGTTTTCCTTTTGAGGGCCGTTTTCTCTTTTCCATTGCTTTCTTTAGAACACCTTCTCTCTCCCCTGTATCCTGGACTGATTGCCTTTCATCATTCTTTGGTTATCTCCATGTATCTAATTTCCTTGGTCCTGGAGCCAGAGCTGGCCTGCACCATTTTTATTGTTATTATTCTCATAAAATACTTGGGTTGGGCCTCAGAACTCTGAACTCAGAACTTCAGGCAGCCAGCCACCTTCTTAAAGTCCACCAGGCTGGCTTCTTTCGGGCTCTGCTTCAATTCACTCATGTTCTCTAGTCCCCCAAAGAGCCTGAGCCTCCGGAGAAGCGCTCAGAATGCAGTACTCCTTGGTTTCCCTCGGAGGAGCTGGTCTGGAGGAATCTCCAGTTGGAATCACCACTGCATCTCTCTGGGGTTTTGGTCTGCAGGCTGTCTCCAGTGATCTGGGGCAGATAAGCCTGGATAAGGGGCTCCTGGGAGGTTCCCATTGTTCCTGGAGTGGACTCAAAACTCCCTAGCCTGGCATTGCTGGTTCTGGGAGCACCTGTGTCACCACTGCTCCTAACAGTCAAGTAGTACTAGGTTTCCGTGGTTTATACCTTCACATTAGCCTCATCTTTGGTCCCCAGCATGGTCCCATTGTCTTCACTTAATTAGAATAACCTGAATGCAGCAGGAGTTTTGGACCTCTACAGACTGTACCTTCTCCACCCACCAACTAACTCCCACTCATCCTTCAAAACTCGCCCTTCAGGAACAGGTCCCACGCTGACCCCTCTCGAACTTGTTTTGCTGGTCTCAGAATTATGTGTCTGCCCTGCCTCCTGGACTGGGAGCTTTTCGAGGAGCAGTATCATGTGGGGATTAAGAGCACACACTCGAGCCCTACCACCTGGTTGACATCCCAGCTCTGCTGCTGCCTGACTGTATGATAGTGGGCAAGTTACTTAGCCTCTTCATGCTTCAGTTTCTTCATCTATAAACTGGGGATAACAATAGTACATACTTTTTAGGGTTGTTGTGAGGATTGATTTACTAGTTTGTATGTAAAGTGATTAATGCCTGGTACATAGTGACTGCTATATAAATGTTGGTGATCCATATACCTTTTATCTCAGTGTCCTCAGCACCAGCCTACTGCCACATAGTAGGCTCTCATTAACTGTTCCTTAATCAATGGAATGCAGTCTCTTCTGAATTTCACATTAACCCCATGATATTAGCAGGTCCCCTGATACTACTCCTACCTTATAGGTAAGAAGACAGGCTCCACAGGGGTTTAGCAAGGCCACCCCAGCCGCACAGCCACTTCAGTTCTGGTCTGTGCCCTCCCGTGGGCCCTTTTGCAGAGGATACAGGGCATCTCCCCTTACCTGCCACGTCTCCCTGGAGTCGCCGGGCCTGGGCACGGTTGTTGTAGGCTGAAGCCCTCTCAGGCAGCAGGCAGATGGCTTGGCCAAACCTCTCCAGGGCTGTGCTGAGGTCCCCAGCCTCTGCTGCCATCACCCCCTGCAGCTCCAGGGCCTTGGACTGTTCCAGCTGTGCTTGAGGGAAAACTTCATCTGGGCCAGGGAAGGAGCCAGGAGAAGCCAGGTGTGCAGTTGGTAGCAAGAAGAAAAAGCCACCTCAGGCTTTGGAATTCTGAGATCTGAGCCAGAGCTGACTGGGTATGGGTCACAGCAGGGGTCAGTTGCAGTGTTTGGGGTAGGGGGAGATGAGGTCACTAAGGCTGGGAGCTAGCATTGCCTGAGTTCCAAGAGACCTGGGAAGGGGCCTTGGTTGGTTCCCCATTGCCAAGAGAATGAAGCCCAGACTCCTCAATCTGTTAAAGAAGTTGCTCAAGTTCTTTGTGTATGGCCTCAACAGGCCATACGTTGCAGAGCTTGGATTTGAACCCAGGTCATTCTGGCTCCTGTCTGCATTTTACTCTACTACACCGCCTCTTATGCAAAGGCCACCATGACATTCCCAGATCATGAACATCACTTCTGACGTATCCCTCTGTGTTTCGGCCTGAGTTAGTAAGGTGTAGGCTTTACTCCTCTAGAAACAAAGGATCAAAAACTCCTTCATTAGGGATTAATGGAAAAGCCAGTGAACGCACTCACTGCGGAAGAGTTAGTTTGGAGCTTGGCTTGTGACAGTGTTTAACGGTTACTGGTTGTGCTTGCTATATTGGAACCACTCAACTGAGCAACCATGCCCTGCCTTATTTCAGTCTTCTGTTCTGGTGGTGGTATTCTCTGTTATGACAAAAATGTGAGAGTTTAACATCACCTGGCAGTTAAGCTTGGATCATACAGTCAATTAAGTGGTAAGTTCAGAGGCATGAGAGCTGATGGATCGAGAGACAAACCCCAGCTTACTCCTCTTGGCAGGACATCTCTTACCAAACCCCCATCAGTGCGCTAAGGAGCAGCCAACCTCTCTGATTCCAATCTCAATCATAATCATGGAACAAGGGGCCTTATAAAACCACCTCCCTCTCTGCTACCTCGGGAGGCCAGCAGGCCAGCCTATGTGCAGAGCTACACTCCAGATCAAATGCCCACCTTCTTCTCGTTCTTCCTTTTCTGCTTCCTCTCCGAGGTCCAATCCAACAATGTCTCCAAATGGGGTGTCAGGGTTGAAGATGGCCTGCAGCACTGCCTGATCATTTGGAGTCCCCATGGTGCTCAACTCCAAAATCCCAAAAGGTGACTCCAGATGAGAGAAGAGGGAGGGACGTGGTGAGGGTGGAGCCTCCAGCAGGAAGTTGATCTGAAAGGATGAGGACCACCCCTTCGTGAGGAGTGTCTCCCTGTCCATGGCTGTAGCATTTGCTCAACCTGTGGCCTGGAGGGTTGACCCTGGCTTGGCAGACTACTTGGTTATTTCTCAACTGCCCCTGCCCCCAGGAGAAACAGTAAACAAATCCAGCTTCAGCCTTAAGGTGGAGTGCAGCTAGAGAAGGTGTTCTCCAGCTTCTCCCTGAAATGCTTTCAGTTTATTATATTCACAGTTGAGAAAACCGATAAAAATCAATACTTAACCTCCTTGGATGAAACAGGGGAGCTATGTAGAAGGTAAAGGCCCTGTTCCTTTGTCCTCTTGACCCTGCCTCATATCCACAATTAATTAGGTCCTGAACATACATCACTGATGAATAAAGGAAGAAAATAGTCAAGAGAGCCAGTGTGGAGTGGACCTGAAGGTGGGCTACAGGGAATAATTTAGTGATGCCACCTTAAAGTAAAGGACTGTGGAAGGTACTTTGTGACCAGGTCACAGGCCATGCCCCTCCCGCTTTTCTCCACCCTCTCCAACCAAAGCCAAAAGGAAGCTTAACCATGTGCAGCAATAAACTTGACATGTTTATTAATTAAACTATCACTTAAATAAAAAAAAGTGCATAGAAAATAAACATGTTTAAAAACTCCTTTTTTTTACAACTATGTACACTTTTTACTTTTACATTCAGTCTTTCGTAGAGAGCTTTCAGCATTATTATTTTTTGAACTATTAAAGTATTTTCCTTCATCCCTGTCACAGGGAGTTAACACTGATGGACTTTAGACACATTTTCCTTTTTTTTTTTTCTCTTTTTCTCTAACCAGAAGCTTGGAAGAACACAAGGAAAAAAAACAGATCTGTTATACATGATAAAGTTGTCAAAAAATGTCTTATTTCTAGAAAAGAAGCTTGTCATCTGTTGAGCTCTTGAAACAATTATTCAACTACCTGTATTTACTAAAGAGACTGTTAAAAGTTCAATAAAAGAAACACCACAATTCTATTTTCTTGGTTGAAAGACAGAACTAGAGTACCTCGGAACAAGATACCAGGAAAGCACAGAACACAATTTTCCCCTAAATGCAGGTGGTAACCCCAACATTCATAACCAAAAATAGAGAAACAAGGAGGACAGGTACTGACTGGCAACATTCATGGGCAGAAAAAAATCCAGGTGACACCATGTCTGCATTTTTCTCTGATCCGAGGAATGGACTGTTCTACCATTCCTTTATGGTTAGAGGTTCCCCCCATTTCGGGAATCAGAGGAAAGTGAGCCTGACATCTTCCTGCCGCTACTAGCAACTGTAACACAATCCTTATCTATAGTGTTAAGAGAATTAAAAGCCATGGACTGAACTAGGCTTTGTTACATGGTGCATTACTATATTAGTTCCTATATATATCATATTTATATTTATTTGAAAACCAAAACAAACAAAAAGTTGCAAGTTTCCAGAGTGTGTGACTTGACTAGTATTCATGATTCGGCACAAAACCATCTGCTCCATAACCTTGTATTGCTTTAAAATGAAGGAAATGAAACATAAAATTACACCCAGCCCTTTGCAATGACCCGCTTTTCCTTAAAAACAAAAACAACTTGATTTCTATTAAAAAAAAAAAATCCCAAACCGAACTTAGAAGTTAACATCTGACAAGGTTTTGACCTTTAGTATTTTCAGATATTTGATTGAACGTCAGTCCTTTAGAAAGATACATTCATTAGAATATTTTTTTTATTTTTGTGTGTGTGTTGTATTTTTTTTTCCTTTTTTTTTTATTTTTTATTTTTTTTAAATCAAGGGAGCTACATGGTGCTCACTGCATTGGCCGGGGGTTTGACGGAGGCGAGCAGGGTGGCGGGCTGGGTCCCGGCAAAGGAGTCTGGTTGAAAACGTATAGCTGCCAGGGCTTCCCCCTTAATTCTTGTTATTGGTGTAAAAACAGAGGGGCTGTGCGAGAGGTGGTGGGTGGCCAAGGAGGGAGCCAAGAGACCAAGTTCCGGCCAAAGGGTCAGCGCCATGCAGCTATTCTGGTTACACAGTTGTCACTGGCCACCAGGAAATGCAGCCACAACAGGTTCTAGCAGCAAAGCTATAAGTGAGCTGGCTCTCACTGAGAACTGACCAGGTTTGCAGCTGTTACTCCTCAGGGATTTGGGATGCCCCTTGGGGGATTCTTGGGAATGACCCATCACAATTCCTCAATCTGCACTTTTGTGCGGAGATTCCCTTGGTCACTTTTGAAATGAACTCAGATGTGTTTGGAGATAGCTGTGCCGTTTTTGCCTTCTTTCCCTCTTGTAGGGAAACCTTCGCTTATTCCCCCAAGTTGCTGGCAGGTGTGCTGAAAATTTGGCAATGGACTCAAGGCTGAGCTAGAAGAGGAATTTCTCATTTTTGTGGTTGACAATTAGGGGGTGGAAAGGCAAGGCAAACCATCTGCAGCTGGCAGGAGAAGGAAGCTGTGGGTTCCTCCCCTGTCCTCAGGGTTTAGGGTTGGTAGAGAGTGAGGAGGGGCTCACAGTACAGCATGGCCTAGCAGGGCAGTAACTAGGTCTATTTAGCTGAGTTCCCCCCACCCCCTGACTGGCCTTTGGGTCTTTCTCAAGGTGAATTCAGGACCCATCAGTGCATTAATCATTTCAGTAACAAATGCAGCTTAAGGTTTTTTTTTTTTCTTTAAAAAAAATAGGAATACAAGGATTTACAAAAAAACCTCACACAGTGCAATAATAAAGGAAAGCAGACACTAGTGGAACCCCTAGGGCCACTGCATCTTGTTCATGGGCAAAAGGAGGAAGGGAGGTGAGGTCTGGGTAGAGTGCTTTTCCCAGTCCCCTGCTGGCACTTCTCCATGATGACAAGGAAGTCTCTGCCATCCTGGCCACAGTGCTGGGCTCCCTGCATGACAGTGAAAACAGTGACAATGTTCCAGCAAAGCCACCAGACAAAGTTCTTAAGGTCACAGGAGAGAAGGGAGCCCAGGATGGAAGGCACAGCAGAGCCATGAGTCCTGGGGCAGAGAGTGCTGGGCTGAGTCGTATTGCTTTGCTAGACTTCCATAGGAATGGGCTTCTTGCGGCGAGAAAAGGGTGCCCCACCCTCTACTTGGACTACACTACTCTGAAACCTTGTGGCAGAGGCAGAGAAAAATCTGCTTTATCGTGAGTGGTCAGACTGTGCTTCAGTTTCAACAGGCTGCCCCAAAAGAGGGCACAAGGTGATCAATGGGTTCTCTGCAGATATGAGGACTTGGTGGGCAGAGGGAAAGGAAAGAGTGGCCTATGAGGCAGATGGTGATGCAAAAATGTCAAGTTGCCATTCAACTTGTTGTTTGCTAACTCTGAAGTAAGAAAGATGAGGGAAATGTAAAGATTGCCGTCTCCCACCACTCTGGAAGTTGCGCCGGAAAGGAGAGAGGCGGGAAAGAAGAGAATCTGTTGTATCAAGATATTACTGTAGCCTTTTGAGGAGCTTCAATAGGGGAAGGAGGGGAGTGGCCCAATGGAGTTGGGTGACCTTCCTTCTCCATTTATTGTCAAAGAGCAAACCCAGGAAACATTTATGTCAACAGGGCACAAACAAGCTACACATTAAACAACAAAAAGTACACCTTCCAGGGGGAAGTTGGGCAGGAAAAACCAGACTTTGTGTGTACAGCTGAATATTTTCTCTAACTTCATCCTATGAAAATAAAAAATTATTAAAAACCGATCTTCTTTTAAATTAGGATAATACCGCGGTTTAAAAAATAGCCTTGTCATAAGTGCTTCTCCCTATGAAGTGCTTCTCATAGAAAAATATACAAAATATATTTACATTTATAAAACCTTAAATAGTAAACTGTAAACAGAACAGAGTAAAATCCAATGACTTAATTTAACAGGTTCAGGACTCTGTCTTGGGGAAAGGAAGAGAAGAAACATTTGATGCTGTTTTGACCACATCCTAAGGAGTAATCAGGGCAGTAGTGTCATTGAATTTACTTTAGCTGTGGGTTGCACGCAGGTGGCAGAGTTCCCTCAACATAAGGTGGTCTAGTCCCCAAGTTGTGGGCCTTGAAATCTGATTAGTGTTCTGCCTTCAACTGGACACTGACCGTTTAAAAATTAAGTCTTCCTATGTCTTAACAAGGGGAAAATAAAGTAACCATGTCTTAGGAATGGGACCCAAGGGTCATCCTGGCTGTGATACTCTCGTTGTTGCATGATTTAAATCCTATTTAAATAATCTTTTTCCTCTCCTACAAAATCATGCTACATATGTTTCTTTAAAACTCTCCATGGAGCTTTATGAAAATGTTTCCAAATTCTGTCTGGTTATGACCAATGGCTCCTGTCCACTTCCCCACCTGGAGTGCTTACAGGCTCAGGGAACTTTTTGCAGGCACATCCTATGCCCAGCAGGGAGTGTCCTTGAGCAGGCAGTCAGTCTCCCCTACAACCCGAAAGAAGCATGGGAAAGCAGTGGCATGAAGACAGGGGAAAGGAAGAAAAGGGAGTGAAGAGGGAATGGGAGAGGGAAGCCGCTCCTACTGTCAAGAAAGGTAATTGGCTGAGATAAGGCTCCTGGGGGCAACACTCCCACTCAAAGCCTGCAGGCTCAATGTTTGGTAATTAATTGGCACAACCCCATGACAGCCTTTTGACACCGGAGGTGCTAGGAATCCTGTCTCCCAACCAGAAGTGAACTCTCGAGTGGGAGGATAGTAGGGAAAACCACCAGACCTCTGTTTGTTCGACAGACGCTGTAGGTGGGGCCTGGCTGGCAAACTGTCAGGAATCTAACCAACCCTCCATTTGGGGCTTTGCCTGACCCACTCACTTACAGTGCTTGGGAAAGGGCCAACCTGAGGATGGCAACTTATTTCTGTGGAGAAATTCAGGCCCAATCTCCCAACATAACCAACCCTCTATAATAGGCTCCTTCCAGGCAAGTCTGCTAGGGACCCCATTCCCACTTTCTAACAGTAAACAATTGGAGGGGCCCCAGGAGAAAGCCGATCATGGATCTTTTCTTCGAGACCTCAACTCTGTCTCTGGGACTATGATCACATGTCTGATGTGAGTATAGGACATAAGAGAGCTCAGCCATCACAGAGGCCCCTCAGCTGTGCCACGCAATCCGGGAGCTCCCAGCTGCTGGAAAAGGCCTTCAGCGTTGCTTTGGATGGCCCCGCCTCCTTGCACTCCAACACTGGGGGAGAAGAGCAGCTTTAGTTTAGGAACTTCCGGCATTTCTTGGCGCCACAGTTGCAGGGCAGCTTGTTGCTGGCATCCTCAATGGGGAACTTATAGTCGTAAGTGAGTTCCTCTCCTCGGTAGATCTTACGCATGGCAAAGATGACAATGTGCTTCTGCCCATCAATATTGATGACCCGAGAATAGCAGTTAGGCTCACACGAGTGATTGATGAAGCGTGCAGCATTTCCATGCATGGTGGCATCCACTACCTCTGAGTCATCAATTCGGAACATATAGCAACCAATGCCCTGCACATGCAGAAGAAGGGAGAAGAACTTGTCATTTCTTATAAACTCAGCTTTAAGAACATGTCCCAATCTTCTCTTGATGTTACCTATAGCGGCTGAGAAAGTTTCTTCTAGTAAAATTTCCAGATTTCTCCCAGTACTATCTTTCAAGATGCTTCCACGAGGATTTCCTAGATTACAGGCCACTAGTCTAGAGGTTTCTAATGTCTCTGCAGGAGAGAGAAACCTAAAACTTGTATAGCTATTTGCTTCTGATACTAGGAGCCACTCAGACAAACCTTCTAAGAGCAACTTTCTGTACTAATCCTCAGAGTGGATTCTGTATTTTTACTGGGCCCCTCACAAATTTCAGAGTTTATTTTTTTAAGAAAGGTCTCTGAATTGATAACATACACTATTTCTTTTGTGATCCAGGGGTCATACTGGTCCCTTTCTACAGCAAAACAAAAGAACTGTGTGAGTGCAAGTGGGAGACTTACCTTGCTGTCGTAATACTTTTCCCGCTTGTCAGTCTGGATGGAGCGGATGACGTTGCCGGCATACTCAATCACCATCTCACCTGCATCAATGTTTCTCTTACAGAAAAGACCCCGGCCATGGATGGGAGACCTAGGACAAAGATGGAAAAGAGGTCAGACACAAATTTTGCAAGTAAGGTTAAGTGCGTGAATACATGAATAAGTTCTCCTGGTCTGTTAGTTCCCCAGGAGGGACATATACTTGAGAAAATAAAAATTTGGACCCACTTGATTTGGCCATCTAACACATGGCCAAAGATGAAAGTTATTTCCATTCTGTGACCCGCTGGAAGCAGTAATATTTTAATGCTTATTATGTTAAAGTCCTTGTTCAACACAAGGAGGTGCAGGATCCCAGGATATGAGGGTCAATAAATAGTGTCCGTAAAATCCTCACTTACTGAGTGAGGAAGGTCACTCCAGCATTTGGTCTGCTTTGATTTTGAAAAACTGCATTCGTTTTCTGTAATTCTTTCTAGAATTTTAGTCATACCTGTAGACACCAACTGCCTCCTTAGAAGTCTTTTTTAAGTGCCGGAAGCGCATGGGCATTGGCAGATCCATGCTAGTTGCCCTCCTAAGAGATAAGACATACTATTAACGAATTTTTTTCAGGAAATAATGTTTTGAGTCTTGAATCGAAGGTTCCTAGAGACAATTAGTACACTCTTTGTTTAATGCCAAACTGAACGAGTGCCTTATAAAATGAGCGCCCCCCTTTTTTTTTTGAGATGGAGTTTCGCTCTGTCGCCCAGGCTGGAGTCCAGTGGTGCGATCTCGGCTCACTGTAACCTCCGCCTCCTGGGTTCAAGCGATTCTCTTGCCTCAGCCTGCTGAGTAGGTGGGACTACAGGCGCGCGCCACCACGCCGGGCTAATTTTTGTATTTTTAGTAGAGATAGGGTTTCACTATGTTGGTCAGGCTGGTCTCGAACTCCTGACCTCATGATCTGTCCGCCTCGGACTTCCAAAGTGCTGGAATTACAGGCATGAGCCACTGTGCCTGGCCAATGAGTCCCATTTTTAGTATATATAGTACTTTCTGACCATGACAACTATGGTGGTACAACCAAAGCTGACAGAGTATACTATCATTAAAGAAAACAGGCATCTTACAGTTCTTTGAATTTCTCCTCTGTACCTTATATTCCTCACTCCTTACCAGGCACCTACTGCTACTTCAACACAAATGGTTTTCAGTCCTTTTAAATCTTATCCAGGAAATTCTGATGCAAACAAATTCCTACGTAGTGCCCTGACCAGCTGGAGGAGAGGGAAAGCAGTTTCTAATGACTGCTCCCCACTCAAGACTTACCGAGCTGACTTCAGCTGTACCTCCTCCTCTTCTTCATCATTGGGGTTGTATTCAGGAGGCTGACGATGTTTAGAAGCCAGGAAGTTAAACATGTCAAATGCTGACTTCCTGGGGCCAAAAGATTAAAACATATTTAGAGAAATGCTTTAATAAAGCAGTAAAGGATGATGGCATTAAAACTGGAAATCTCAAAGGGTATGTGGGAAGATGACAGTGTCATGAGATAAGAAAATCGAGACCCAAAACTGCTGACAGAAAAGAAGGGAACTTGCCTGAGGTGGACTTCAGCCCTGGCTGAGCCGTGAGGGTTCAAGGGGGGTTCATTGGCCTCCTCTGGCTTGTGGAAACGGAATTTGTAATTTCGACAGTGCTTGGCACCAGACAGCTGCTCAATGAGGAACACAACTGCATCATGGAGAATCCCCAGCATCCTCAAACCGTTAACACCTAGAAGAATCAGAAGCACCAGGGAAGTGAGGAGCGCAGTCAACAGGAAACAGCATGGTCCTACAGAAATGCCTATGCTATAGTCACTCTGCCAGAGGCTGCTCCAGGGTGAATTATAGTACATATTAGCTCGAAATTAGCATCAGATAGCCATTAAAATGATGCTGATACAGATCTATCAATATGGAAAATGTTTGTGATAGACGGCTAAGTGAAAAAAGCATGCCACCAAACTATGGACTATTTTGCTTTATTACACAGAAATGCTATATGCTAATGCTATATACACGTGTTATTTCATTTCGTGCTCATAATGACCACACAGGGCAGGAATTACTAGCTTCATTTTCAGGTGAGCAAACAGGCTTAGAGAACTGATGTAACACTCCCAAGGCTACATGATTTGACAAGATATGAACTCTGGACTGCATAACTACAAATATAATCCATCTAGGAATGGATTATCTAGGTTCTATAAGCTTATGTTCCCCCAGATACCTCACTAAAGTTTAATTTTCTTTTTTTTTTTTTTTTTTTTTTGAGATGGAGTCTCACTCTGCCACCCAGGCTGGAGTGCAGTGGCATGATCTCAGCTCACTGCAAGCTCCACCTCCCGGGTTCACGCCATTCTCCTACCTCAGCCTCCCGAGTAGCTGGGACTACGGGCGCCGCCACCACGCCTGGCTAATTTTTTTCGTATTTTTAGTAGAGACGGAGTTTCACCATGTTAGCCAGGATGGTCTCGATCTCCTGACCTCGTGATCCACCCGCCTTGGCCTTCCAAAATGCTGGGATTACAGGTGTGAGCCACCGCGCCCGGCTTTTTTTTTTTTTTTGAGACAGACTCTAACTCCGTCACCCAGGCTGGAGTGCAGTGGTCCGATCTCAGCTCGCTACAACTCCACCTCCTGGGTTCAAGCAATTCTCCTGCCTCAGCCTCCCAAGTAGCTGGGACTACAGGGGCACGTCACCATGCCCAGCTAATTTTTTTGTATTTTTAGTAGAGACAAGGTTTCACCATATTGGCCAGGCTGGTCTTAAACTCCTGACCTCAGGTGATCCACCTGCCTCAGCTTCCCAAAGTGCTGGGATTACAGGTGTGAGCCACAGCACCCAGCCAGCCTCACTAAAGTTTAAAAGCAATGTTAATACACCCCTAACACAGAACTCTTGTGTTGTTATGATGAATGTGTGGAGTAATACACTCAGTAGCTGCTTTGTTCTACTCACCGTCTCATGCTGTTAATGAGCATTTTTTATTTATTTTTATTTTATGAAAACAACATTTATATAAGTCTGCTGGCATTGATGGTGAAAGGCTTTCATTTTAAAATTATTTGGCTTTTTCCATTAAAGGGACAGGGCACAATTACAACTGCCACACTTCTTTTTGACACTAGCAAATAGCTAATGTTCTTTACATTTTTATTAAGTAAACAATATTATTTCATTTACGAATACTGGTTTGGTATTATTAATAGATATAGAAACAGTAATGGTGTTAATTTTGGATCAGGTATCCATTTCATAAGTGTAATTGTATTAGGACTGCAATTGCACATATGCAATTCCAACAGACATACAGTTTGCATTATGAAGCATATTTAGAGATGTAACCTTGGTGTAATGTCCTGGTGCAGAGGAAATAGCAGATGAAAAAGCAGACGATCATGCCACTGCACTCCAGCTTGGGCAACAGAGTGAGACCTCATCTCAAAAACAAACAAACAAACAAACAAAAAGAATGTTGTCTCTAGATAAGCAATATTCTTTTTCTAAGAGACAGGTTTCACTTTGTTGCCCAGGCTGGAGTGCAGTAGCATGATCATAGCTCACTGTAACCTTGAATTTCTGGGCTCAAGCTGCTCCCGCCTCAGCCTCCCAGGTAGCTGGGACTACAGGCATATATGCCACTGTGTTTGGCTAATTTTTAAATTTCTTGTGGAGACAGGGTCTTACTGTGTTGCCCAGGCTGATCTTGAACTCCTGGCCTCGAGTGATCCTCCTTCCTTGGCCTCCCAACTTGCTAGGTAGGATTACAGGTGTGAGCCACTGCACTGGCCCCTGATAAGTGACATTCTTATGATCACAACTGTTGGTCCCTTAAGAATTTGGCTTAGGTATGTAACACTATGTAACACAACTGTATAAGATAAGAACTTAAGCCATATAAGGCAATGGCAAACTCTTTTTTCTTTTCTTTTCTTTTTTTTTTTTTTTTTGAGACAGAGTCTCACCCTGTCGCCCAGGCTGGAGTACAGTGGTGCGATCTTGGCTCACTGCAAGCTCTGCCTCCTGGGTTCACACCATTCTGCTGCCTCAGCCTCCCGAGTAGCTGGGACTACAGGCGCCCGCCACCACGCCTGGCTAATTTTTTGTATTTTTTAGTAGAGACGGGGTTTCACTGTGTTAGCCAGGATGGTGTCGATCTCCTGACCTCGTGATCTGCCCACCTCAGCCTCCCAAAGTGATGGGATTACAGGCGTGAGCCACCGCGCCCAGCTGGCAAACTCTTTTCTACAGACCACTAATTTTCCTTAATAATTTTTTCCTGGAAGTTCTAGATTGCTGTGAATTCTTAGGTTAAAAAAAAAAGACATTGAAAAACATACTACATACTCAAGTATATTTTCACAGAAAGTTCCTTTTAATATGTACACTGAATGTTCAACTCTCACTCACCAGAGAGATTACAATGAGATTAATATTGTGTTGATAATGGGAAAACAAAGATGCATTATGTGTGGGCCCCCGTCTGTTCTTAAGGAGCTCACAGCAGAGGAAGGCAGAGACGTATACAAACCATGCAATGTGCAGGTGTCCAAATTAAGGTATAATATAAAGTACTATGGGAACTCTTAAGAAGGAACAATCTGTTCTGCTTGTGGGAGACTCATTTATTCATTCAATAAATATTTACAGCACACCTAAAATATCCCAGGCACTCTTTCCATCTTTCCACTGTGCCAGACAGGACCTTAGGAACTTACAGGTGAGCAAGACAGGCAAGGTACCTGTATTCATAGAGCTTTTACTTCATGGAAGAGACAGACAATAAACACATCAAAGATATTCCCACTTCAGGACTTTTTCATCTGCTGTTTCCTCTGTGTCAGGACTTTAGAAAACATAGTTAATTTAATTTAATTTTTTTTAAGAGAGTTTCACTGTGTTGCTCAGCTGGTGCCGTGGCTATTCACAGGTATGATCTTGGCACACTATAAGCTCAAACTCTCCTTCCTCAGCCTTCTAGCTTGCCTCGAGGACTTTCGCTTTATGTATATGCATGATTGGCTTCTTCTCATCATCACTCAGGTCTAAGCTCAAATGTTGCCTCATCAAGAGATTCCAGATTTCCTGTCACCAACTACCCACCTCTGTGTCACTCTCTATTTCATTTCCCCATGTTATCTTCTTCATGGTACTTACATATACATATACACCACTAGAATATAAGGGCATGAGGGTAAGGACAAGGTGGCAGCACTGGAAATGGAGTATAATGGACAGGTTTTGGACTGGGGAACACAAGGGTCATTGTGGTTAACCTCCAGGCTAAACCTTCCACCCCAGATGATTAATCTAAGACAATCCTGGGAATCCCAGTCCCTTTGCCAGAGACTGGCTTAGAAATGGACATGGGGCTGGGTACCTGTACTCTCAGCGCTTTGGGAGGCCAAGGTGGGTAGATTACCTGAGGTCAGAAGTTCGAGACCATCCTGGCCAACATGGTGAAATCCCGTCTCTACTAAAATACAAAAATTAGCTGGGTGTGGTGGCGTGTACCTGTAGTCCCAGCTACTCGGGAGGCTGAGGCAGGAGTATTGCTTGAACCCGGGAGGCGGAGGTTGCAGTGAGCCAAGATTGCACCACTACACACTCCAGCCTGGGCAACAGTGTGAGACCCTGTCTCAAAAAAAAAAAAAAAAAAAAAAGGACAGAAAAAGAAATGGACATGGTACCAAATTCTGGTCTGTGAGATGTCCATTTGTTCCTAAGCCTCTCCTGTTCCTCTGAACACTGTGATGACTGAATGTTATTGTGGGAACTGCTGCAGCCATTTGCTATCAGCTTGAAGATGAAGTTTTACTATAGATCGTAAAGTGGAAAGAAGAAAAGAATCTAGGTATTTGATGACATTGCAAGCTCCTGTACCAATCAATCCTGACACGTCTGTCCCTACCTCTGGACTTTCTGTTATATAAGATGATAAATTATCTCACTCTTTAAATCAGTTAAGAGTTGGGATTTCCGTAGGCACAGGAAGAATGATCAAAAAAGGTTAAAGAAAAGAGGTGACCTTGAGCAAAGTCTTAAAGGATTAACAGGAGTTTGTTGTGTAAACCAGGGAATTTGGAGGGAAGAGAGTAGATGGAGGAAATAGGTCCTGGTGGAGGGAACTGCATCAACCATGTTATGCTGATATGAAAGCACATTTAGGGTAAGTAATAAGAATTGCTTGGGGGCACATGTTAAAAATTCAGCTTTCTCAGCTCCAAGCCCAGGGATTCTGATTCACACCTATAGGCTACACTTTAAGACACATGGATGGGCCGGGCACAGTGGCTCACGCCTGTGATCCCAGCACTTTGGGAGGCCGAGGTGGGCAGATCACAAGCTCAGGAGTTCTAGAGTAGCCTGACCAGCACGGTGAAACCCCGTCTCTACTAAAAATACAAAAATTAGGCCGGGCGTGGTGGCTCACGCCTGTAATCCCAGCACTTTGGGAGGCTGAGGCGGGCAGATTACCTGAGGTCAGGAGTTCAAGACCAGCCTTACCAAGATGGAGAAACCCTGACTCTACTAAAAATACAAAATTAGCCAGGCATGGTGGCACATGCCTGTAATCCCAGCTACTCGGGAGGCTGAGGCAGGAGAATCGCTTGAATTCGGGAGGTGGAGGTTGCGGTGAACCGAGATTGCGCCATTGCACTCCAGCCTGGGCAACAGGAAAGAAACTCTGTCTCAAAAAATAAAAATAAAAATAAAAAAATAATAATAATACAAAAAATAGCCGGGTGTGGTAGCATGCGCCTGTAGTCCCAGCTACTCAGGAGGCTGAAGCAGGAGAATCACCTGAACCTGGGAGATGGAGGTTGCAGTGAGCCGAGATCACGCCACTGCACTCCAGCCTGGGTGACAGAGTAAGACTCTGTCTTGGAGAAAAAAAAAAAAAAGACACATGGATGGATCTGGAACAGTAAATAGTGTAGTGTGGCTGCAGAACAAAGAATCTTGAGCAGTGAGGGAAGTGGGGAAAGCTGAGACTGAACAGATGAATCCGGCTGAAGAGGACCTCGCCATGTAAGGATCCGTAGACAGGAAACCTCAAAGAGCAGGGCTGGGTCGCTACTCAGCGACTGTATCCTGTGTTTAACATGGTACCAGGCATTTTACAAGTGGTCAGTAAATATTTACTAATAACAAATACGTAAGGGTTGAAGATTATACTCTGTAACTAGTAGGCAATAGTAAGATTTTGAGGCACCTCTGGAGACTCTGAGGGTACAAGGAGGTGAGATAGGAGACTCAGTTATAGGGCTTTTTAACATTGCATGAGAGAATAACAAGGGATATGTCAGAGAAAAAGAAAGGGATGTGACTTATATTTTTGGGGTAGAATTTTAAAAATTATGAGCAAGACTTTTTTTTCTTTTTCTTTTTTTTTTTTTTTTTTTTTGAGACAGGGTCTTGTTCTGTCACCCAGGCTGGAGTGCAGTGCCATAATCTTGGCTCACTGTAGGCTTGACCTCCCAGGCTCAATGCGCTCCTCCCACATCAGCTTCCCAAGTAGCTGGGACCACAGGCATGAGCCATCATGCCTGCCTAATTTAAACAATTTTTTTTTATATAGAGATGAGGTCTCACTCTATTGCCCAGGATGGTCTTGAACTCCTAGACTCAAACAATCCTCCCAAGATGTTGGAATTCAGGTGTGAGCCACTGTGTCCAGCTGAGATTGAGTACCCTTTCATGCTATGGGCCATTTGTATTTTGTGGGAGATAAACTGCCTGTTGGGTCTTTTTCTCTTTTTTTTAATTAAAAAAGTTCTGAAAAATTTTAAGTATAAAAAAATACACAGGGTGTTATAATAGCCATGCATGTACCTGTCACATAAAATGAACAAATGTTAGTATTTTCTAAAGTGCATCCAAATATTTTCCTTCCCTTCCCTCTTAAAGGAAGAACATCACTGATAAAATTAAATTCCTAAAAAAAAAAAAGTTAAAATTCCTGTAAGTACCCATTCACCCACCTTTCCAGGAGCAATCTGAAAGGAGGTAGGAGAGGTAGATATGGATAAAACAAAGTCAATGGAAGGTTTCTACCTTAGCTTAATTAAAACCTTCTTCTTCTTCTTCTTCTTTTTTTTGTGACAAAGTATTTATCTGTCGTTCAGGCTGGAGTGCAGTGCTAAGATCATAGCTTAATACAGTCTCATACTCCTAGGCTCCAGTGATCCTCCTGCCTCAGCCTCCAGAGTAGCTGGGAGTACAGGTGTGCATGCCACGGTGCCGGCTAATATATATTTTTATTTTTTGTAAAGATGTATTCTCTGTATGAAGCCCAGGCTGGTCTTGAACTCCTGGCCTCAAATGATCCTTCTGCCTTGGTCACCCAAAGTGTTGGGATTACAGGTGTGAGCCACAGCATCCACTGATTAAAATCTTTAGTGTTTGCTCAAAACAAGTGTATTAATAAGTTTGTATGCTGCCTAAATTTAATATGAAGTCTAATACCAATGGTAAATGATTTCAACTTTAAGAAAAGATAACATTTCACACTACAATGTCTAAAATAAAAAAAAAAAAACAAAAAACAGGTAAGTGTTGGCAAAGGTGGAGAAATGGGAACACTCGTGCATTGCAGGTGGAAATGTAAAATGGTATAGCCACTTTGGAAAAAAAACCTGGCAGTACTTCAAAAAGTTAAAGAGTTACCATATGACCCAGCCATTCCACTCTGAGGTATATACTGAAAAAAAATAAAAACATGTCTACACAATAACTTGAACATGAATATTTGTGGCAACATTATTCGTAGCAGAAAATAGAAAAAACCCAAATGTCCACTGACTAATGAATGGATAAGCAACATATGGTATATCTACACAATGGAATATTTGGCAATAAAAAGGAATGAAGTACTGATGTGGAAGGGAAGATGTAACAGAAGGGAAGAACCTGGAAAGTATTCTGTTGAGTGAAAGAAGACGGTCACAAAAGGCTACATATTGTCTGATTTCATTTATATGAAATGTCCAGAATAATCAAATACATAGAGACAGAAAGTAGATTTGTGGTGGCCAGGGGCTGAGGAATGACTGCTAATGAATAGGGGGTTTCTTTTAGGGATGATGAGAATGTTCTAGAATTATAGAGTAGTGGTGGTTATACAACTCTGAATATATTAAAAACCACTGAATTGTATGCTTTAGATGGGTGAACTGTATGGTATATGAATTAAATCTCAATAAAGCTGTGAAAAAAATTTTTAACTGATTTTTTTTTCACAGAATCAACTCTGCCTTAGGCGAACAATTTACCATAATATTCTGAGACAGGAGTGGAATAACACCTCCAGCCATTACCTGCAAATGAGAGCTGCTTTAGGCGGGCATTTGATCGAGCTTCCTGGACTTTATCTGTCAATGACTTCCAGGCATCTGAAAGGAAATAAAGAAAACCCGTAAGCCAGAAAATATGCACGTAAACCCTTCTTAATACCAATGATGTGCACAAGCACTGCTTAGAATCCCTACAGTGTGAACACTTGCCCTCCTAGAGCAGTGTTTTGTTATTTTTCTTAGAGTTTAAGTCAGTTCATTACATGTGAAAGGAGCCGAAAAGGTACACTCCCCAGCAGGGCTTCTTTCTGTTGGAGGACACAGAAGCACTAAGGAAAGTCAGACCTTCTGAAATGAACTCTGAATCCCCAACGCATTCACATCCCTTGATGGAAGTCTGGGTCTCACACCTGAATGTTTGGTATTTTTATGTTCCCTGTACCCCTAATCAAAACAGCACTAGTAATAATGATTTAAGCAGGACTGTGGGAAGATCATAACCTCTCTGTTCCTTAAAGTTAAGAGGCAGAACTAGAAAATCCTTACAGTTCCTTCCAGCTCTAACCCAAGATTCTGTGATCTTTTCCTGTCTGCTAGGCATTTCCACATGGATTTCTTACATCACTCCACATCAATGTCTTCTGTGGAACCCCCATACTCCTTACTTATCTCCTTTGTTCTCCATGCATTATCTTTTGTTTTAGTCACCCAGGCCTGAATCTTTAGGGTCATCTTTGACTCTCCCCTCTCCATATTCCACCAAGTGTACTCATTCTTCTTTCCTTTCCTTTCTTTTCCCACCGAATGTGGGCTTTATTACCAGACATCTCTACTCTAGCAATACTCTCATTAGTAAACTCTCGTCTTTGAGCATCTCCAGTTCATGCTCAATCTGTCTCATATAGAGAGCTTATCACATTATGTTTCCTGAAATTCTGCTTCTATTCACTCCCTCAAGTTTTCAAAGTCCTCAAGGTTTGGCACTGAAAGCCCTCTAAAACCTGTGCCCTATCCACCTTCCCAATTTTCTCTTTCACTATTACCTCACATGGATTTCAATGCCATCTCACCTGACACTACTCTAAACCCACCAAATGCAGTCCTGCCTTTCTAACTTTGCTTACCTCCCTTCTTCTTCCTAGAGAGCCCTGCATTCTTCTTTGCCTAACCCAAATTCCATTTTCTCCTTTAATAGAATCTTCTATTTATCTTCATGGGTTTTTGATAACCCTAACTCACCCATGGTGACCTTTCTCTTCTTTGAACTCTTCTAGTACTTACAGCCTAGAGAACATTTACTAGTCCTTCAAAGGTGGATGAACACTTAGATGCTTGCGATACAAAGATGAATAAGAAAATAAAATTCCAGCCCTTATGGAGAGCTCGCTGTTGAGTGAGTGATAAAAGTAAACAAACACGGACAAAACAAAATGTAAGCTATGAGAGAAGAACATGTAAGATTCAAAAGGAGGGAGAGGGAGGGCTTAGCTACCTCAGAAGGTCAGGGAAGACCGTCTGAGCTGGATCTTGAAGGGTGAGCTGGAGCTCACCAGGTGATTGAGGGCAGGGAGAGAACTCCAGGCAGAGGAGAAAGCACGTGTGAAGGCACACAAGGGAGAGAGAAGGGCACAGAAGGCGCATGAGGGAATGGCAAAAAACAAGGCTGGAGGGGGAAGCAGAGTTCTCAGGGGCTCCGCTAAGGTGTGTGCAATGTTGAAAACATAATCTGTATCATTAACTTTTCATGTAAAATATGGCTATTTCTCCAATAAGACAAACTTCTCAAGGACAAGGAAAATGTATGATGCCTCCAGGTATCCCCCTACCATCTAGCATAAAACAGCCACCTAAATGGTGCTAATACTCAGAAAATGAAGCTCTAGCTGAAACAGGGCTTCTGCTGATGGGTCAACCTGATTTAATCCACTCACCTTCAATACTTTCTGCACAGATCTGAAAGCCATCATCACTGGAAATTTCAAAAACAAGTCCTTTCTTGGGTTTTTTCTCAGTAATGCTTTCCTTCCGCTTTTGTTCTTGCTGAAGCCAAAGCATCAGTGGGGAGCTGAAATTACTTTCCTCTTCTTCCACTGTTTTAGGTTCTAATAGGGAGAAAATAGATAGTGGTTGCAGTAACAAATGCTCACTGAGCACTGACTACATGTAGAGTACTTTACATAAATGATCTCTAAGCCTAACAACATTCCACAGTTGGTTTATTATTCCCATTTATAGATAACAAACCCAAGACTCAAAGAGCTTGCCTAGGTCATTGCTAGAAAGTGGTGACTAAAACCAGATTTTTTTTTACATGAAGTTATGCTCTCTGTGGTAGAATTTCTAGTATGACGATCTGATAGTTTTTCAATAAGCAACTGTCCTCAATAGAGTTATACCCAGAACTCTCTAATCTTGAAGTGACCATTTGTTTCCTAATCAAATTCATTAGAACTGATGGAAAATGCCATGGAGATGTATCTGGTATTGTAACCAAAATCTGACTATCTAATAAAAATGGTTCTTAGTTTTCTTTAGTAACAACTAAAAAGTGAAGTCAGGTTATTACTAGCTATTTAAGCCTCAGTGCTGGTAAAACCAGTACAGCAGAAGAGTATGGGTATGGTCTTGAGTCCTTAGCTGACAGGTGATCACACAATATGTACTGGAAGAACACTGCACCGAGAGACAGGTGCGCCAAGTTTCAGTCCAATGTGGGCCAAATCACTTAACTTCTTTGGAGCTTAGATTTTTTTTTTTAAATGTAGAAAATAAGTAGGTAAAGTGGGTGATTCTCATAATCCTTTTAGCATTGATATTCTCTGATTCTAACCTTTTACCCACCCACATACCTGCACTTTCTTGTTCATTTGCTGGATTTTGGGTCACCTGAACTTCCGGAAGAACAGCGACTTGCCTAAATAAAAACCAAATGTAAGATATAATATCAGCTAGTTCTTCAATTCAAAGAAAAAACCCAGAATTTTCTATACAGCTGTGGTATACAAAATAACTGCTAGAAAATGAGCCACAGGGGGCTTTCTGTAGAACTTGTTGAATGAATACAACCACCACACCACTGTATGGTACATAACATAAAACTCTTTTGTGAGATTCTTTACCAAATACTGACATTAAGTTTCTGTTTTTAAAGTTGTAAATTGCGCCCTTGAAATTCTTCTCATACTCAGTATTAGAAAAAAATGAAAGGACACTTGTCAGAAGCAATTCTAAAGTTACTTAAATAAGTAAGCTGGCTTAACTAAAACTAAAAAATAAGCTGCATGAGCTTATAAACCACAATCAATTTTCACCTTTTTTTTTTTTTTTTTGAGATAGGTTCTCACTTTGCTGTCCAGGCTGGAGTGCAGTGGCAATCACGGCTTGCTGCATCCTCCAACTCCCAGGCTCAAGCAATCCTCCCGCCTTAGCTTGGACTGTGGATGTGCACCACCATGCCTGGTTAACTTTTAATTTTTGTAGAGAGAGGGTCTCCCTATGTTGCCAAGGTTGGTTTCAAACTCCTGGGCTCAAGCAATCCTCCTGCCTCAGCCTCCCAAAGTGTTGGGATTACAGGCATGAGCCACTGTGTCCAGCCCCAGTTTTCACTTTTTTAAACTAAATAAATTCTGGAAACAATCCAAATGTATATCAATAGAGGACTCATTAAAATATTGTAGATCCACACAATAGAATTGGCGGCAGCGATTTAAAAAGTGAAGCACACCTACATATATTGGCACAGAAAGATGTACATAAGTGAAAAACCAAATACAGAACAGTATGTACAGTATTATTCCTTTTATGTAAAAAAGTGTATACATATTCATATATATACCACGTTATATCTTTATATGCAGAGAGATGTCTGCATAGATAAAAACAAATTATTAGCAATGACCACCTCTAGGGAGTAGATTGGGCGGGGGTGAGGGGGACAAATAGGAAACTATTATCCATTATTTAAATAATTCTTGTTATATTTTTTGTTTACTTGTTTACAAGCCTGTACTATTCTCATTTAAAAAACTTTGGCAAGAAAACAAAAATCAATGTGAATCAGGAAGAACTATTTTTTACCTTTTTTTTGGAAACGGAGTCTTGCTCTATCGCCCAGGCTGGAGTGCAGTGGCGCGATCTCAGCTCACTGCAAGCTCCGCCTCCTGGGTTCACGCCCTTCTCCTGCCTCAGCCTCCTGAGTGGCTGGGACTACAGGCGCCCGCCATCACGCCCGGCTAATTCTTTTTGTATTTTTAGTAGAGACGGGGTTTCACCATGTTAGCCAGGATGGTCTCGATCTAACCTCGTGATCCACCTGCCTCGGCCTCCCAGACTACTAGGATTACAGGCGTGAGCCACTGCGCCCGGCCTGGAAGAACTATTTTTTAAATGAGGTGGACAAAACTGAGAGCTTAGTCTTAAAAGACGAATTCTTCAGCTTACCCTGCAGGTTGCCCACACTCCTTCTGGGAGGACTGCTCCACGCTAGCTGTATCCTGCTGCTCAGCCTCTGCTCCTGGAGTCCTGGAACACAGGCATTTGTATCTTTTCAAGACAAACCACCAGTAAATATGTACTGAATGTGGAGGTGAGTCGAAAGAAATGGCTCTATCAGGATCTGATAAAGTCTATAAGCCAGCAAAACTGACCTAAGGTCATAAAGGTTAGAATAATGGTTACTTTGAGGGGGCACTGACCTTATAAGAGAAGACACCCTTGTGGGTTGCTAGAAATGTTCTGTATCTTGATCCGAGTGGTGGCTACATAGGTGCACTCCACCTAGGCTGGAGTGCAGTGACATGACCATGGATCATTTAGCCTCTAACTCTTGGGCTCAAGCAATCCTCCCACCTCAGCCTCCTGAATAGCTGGGGCTACAGGTGTGCAACACCACACCCAGCTGTTTTAAAAAATTTTTTGTAGAGACAGGGTCTTACTATGTTGCACAGACTGATCTTGAACTCCTGAGCTCCAGCAATCCTTCTGCCTCAGCCTTCCAAAGTGCTGGGATTACAGACATGAGCCACTGTGCTTGGCTTTCAATGATAAAGTTTTAAAAAAAGGACTCTGTGGATCTACAAGAGGGAGCTTTGCCCTCAAGATAAGAATAATCATTCTAGTATAAGCCTCAGTAAAAAAGAAACAGGAACAAACAGCAACACTGTTTGAAATCAGAGCAAAAAGTGATTAGATGTGGTTCTATTCAAGAGACAAACTGCCCATGGATGGAACTACATTTTGTTACATAAATCACCACTCAGAGAGAAAAAAAGTCAAAACCCGGAAAACTCCCAGGTAATGCAACTTGAACAGAAGAGTGTCTCTCCCGGACTACCACATCAACAGCCCCTAATTTACAACATGAAATCCCACAGACCCAGCCTAGCTAGTATTTGGATCTCTCACCCTGTGCCTGAGGTCAGGGATGTCGTTTCTTGGTCTGGAATGTGTGCTTCAGAAGAACTGGTCCGCAAATGGGAAACTTTGTGCTTCTTGCCATTCCCTTTGTCTAGAGGCAGCTGAAACCGTTTGGTTTTTGGTTTGGGTTTAGTGGGACCCGGCACTGAAGGGCTTGCTGACCGCTGTCCAGAAGATGGAGAGGATGGAGAACCCCCAGGAGAGGTGGGGCTGGCTTGCACAGCTGAGGATAAAGCCTTGTTCTGCTCCAGTCCCATGCTATTAGGAGCGTCTACCGTCTGGGTAAAGTTGGATACCTGGGGCCCTGAAGCAGAATCAAGATCACGCTGGGAAGAATGAATCCCAGTTTTGCTGGCAAGGAGCTGGTTCACATGCTGAAGCTGATAGTGTTCGTCTGCTTCCCCAGAAGGTGAAGCGGCTGTTATGCCCGTAGTCTGAGTGGAGGGGAGCACACAGATGCTAGATGCCGCTGTTATTGCAGCAGTAGAGGGGGTCTGTGATGTCCCCAGTTGTGGAAACATTCCTGAACTTGGCGGTAAAGCCACAGGCTGGTCCTGAATCCCCAGGCTCTGCTGGCTAGCTTTGATTAAAAGATTGCTTATTGAGCCAATATCTGGGGTACCAAGCAACCTTGGGTTGGTTAAGGTGACGTGTCCTGGAACTGACGCACTACTTGTAGGGGTTGTGGTAGTTTGCATGGATACAACATTCAAGACAGAGGAACTGGATGCCAAGCCAGACACAGACCCTGATGTGAGGTGGCTAGTATCCTGGCTTATTGTTGATGTGCCTGCCGCTGTGGCAGCAGTTCCTCCCACACTCTGTGGTAACAGGGGTGCCGGTTCAAAATACATGATGCTAGATTTAGATCTTTTTATGATGTTGGGGACAGTTCGGTGAGATGAAGTATTAAGTGACCCCAAATCTAACAGACTTGGATGATTAGGAAGCTGGGAGGGTGTGAAGTTAATCAATGTCATATTAGAAACCACATCAGAAGGGGCAATGTTTGAAGGGGTACTAGAGGGAGCAAGTTTTTTATTCTTTCGGGTCTGTAGACGAGATATGGGTCTTTTCTTGAGTCCAGAGGATGGAGTGGCTACTGTGGTACTGAGGTCTGTCCTCTGGCTGGATTCTGAAACCAAAAGTTGGGGATCCGGAGGAGGCTGAACCCCAATAAGCAGGCCTGAAGGAGGATTGCTGATGTTTGGTGGGAAACTACTTTGAGTAGCTGCAGGGAAGGAATGTAAGTGCTGGTGATGAGACATGGGTAGCAATCCTTTGCTAGCAGAAGGGAACAAAGATTGAGAAGTTGGCAAGCTTGGATTTAGTCCTGTGGTAAGGGTGAGACCACCTCCCATGGGTCCCAATACTGAAGTATTTGTCTCCATCACACTGGGTGTAGAACTAACAGAAGAGGTCAATTGGATTTTTTGGGTCACTCCATTTGGAAGAGTTTGGAGAACATAAAGTGGCTGCATGTTCTGGTTAACAACTATGAGTTTCTCAGTGGCTGGCTTCAGGTGGGGTGGAGTGGTCTGGACAGCTGCATTGGAAATCTGAGACGGGCCAGGACTATCAGTAGAATTGGGCACATACTTCTGGTTCTGGATGGGAACAGTTGGGGAAACAGGTACCTGAAGGCCAGGGGTGCTACTGTTCCTAGTTAAATCCTGATTGTTGCCATGACCTTGCTCTACTGAACCACAAGGAGGGCTAGAGATGTGGTCTGCATCCATGTGTCCTTGGATAAAATGATCAGGAGTCATGTGGCCTTCAGGAGTTGGATCTACTCCTGGGCTCAGCAGTGCTGGGTCACTTTCAGAGGAGGCTACAGATTTTTCTGTGATGGTTACTCTCTTCTCCCCTGAGTCTGAGATAACAGCTAGTCTACTGGGATTCTGGCTGGGGACAGTGGGACTCCGGGTGGTCAAGACAGACAGATCAGATGGTAGCTCTAGAGGCAACTCAAACTGTTCCTCTGCTGAGATAGAGGAAGAGACACTACTATCCACAGGTTCTGTTGTAGGCAGCTGCTGAGAAAATACTTCAAAAAGACCCATGTCTTTTTCACGATTACTGTCAAGACCCAATCCTTCACCAAGATTCAGGAGTTCTGATGAAGATGACTCTGGGCTCTCACCCAAAGCCTGCATGGATGGAGTATTCTTTAGTACAAAGTCCATAATGTCTGAAGGCAGGATATTCCCACAGTCATCACTGTTGTTATTGTCTGAATCTGATTTCAGGAGCTCAGTATTATAGGTGTCCAGTAAATTTTTGTCGGAGGGGGTACTTGTGTGGACTCTGCGGCTTGACTCCAATGAGCTGAGCTGAGCTTCCAAGGAATCTTGTCCCTGTGTTTTAACTCTGCTTACAGAATGGCAGTTATCCATCTTTGGCTCATTTTTGTGGCCAACAGAACTCTTAGTGACATGTTCTTTCTCCCCAGCATCTTCAGGTCTATCAATCTTTAAGTTCTCTGTTCCATTTTCTTTACCATTTCTTTTTGGAATCTGGCTGCTTTTCCTTGTTGTGGCTGTGACACTAGTATCACTCTCTGTCCCATCATCAACACCATCCAACTGTGAGATTTTTGGAAGATCACACTGTTCCTCCTCCCGAAATAAATTATGGGATGCCAGTCGTTCCTCTCCACCTGAAGAAATCACTGTTCTAGTGAAGTTGTAATAGTATAAGTCGTCTTCATCTGAAGTGCTTAAGTCATCGGCCCCATCCACCTGTCCTTCAGCTGATCTCTTGCCTCGCTTCTTCCCAGTTGAGCTGCTGTAGAATGGAATGTCTTCTTCACCATAGGATCTTACTCCATAGAGTGGGGTAAGCCCAAAAAACATGTTAGAACGTGCACGGGCACTGCGACGGGGATACCTCCTTTTAAAAGAGCCATCCTCCTGAGGTTTGGGGCCATCTGGAAGCATTAGGTTTCTGTCCTGTACTGGAAGATTCTGATAGTTGTTACTTTGAGAATCCTGGCATGAGGTATTATTGGGGCTTGGTTGGGCCACTGGACCATCTCCTGGATTTTCAGAGGCTGAAATTGGTTCTGTGGGAGATGTTGACTCTATTTGCAAAGGGGAAGCAGGACTACTTTCTTTCAGGGCATTTTTGGATTGACTCTCATTTTCCATTTTTAGAGGTGTCAGTGTCACTTTGACTGTGCGTTTCCGTGGTGCCTGTAATTCCTTGGCAGATCCTTCTACTTGCATGGGTGGAGCTTTGGGGACTCCTGGCATAGAAAGGCCTTTATCACCAATCTTATCAGAAGAAACATTGTTACATGGTCGTTGGCCCATATACTCAGGAGTCAAAACCTCATCCATAAACTCTGGCTTCAAGTTTCCTTCCTCACCAGTTGTCACCTGACCAGGTTCCAAAAAAGATTTACTGGAATGCTTTTCTTTGAAAGTTTCTTTACAGGATTTTTTCCCTTTCTGTCTCCTATCTCTGGAACTAGATCCCATATGTTCGTTGATAATGGATGATCTGTTGCTCATTCCAGATAGCTTCAAGGTTTTGACTTCAGTATCTTCATCTGGAGAGGAGTTTGCTGATTGGGTAGAATCTGTGTGTTGGTCTCGATCATTCCTTTGCCCTCTCAAATGGAGGTGTGGGAAGGAGAGGGCCTCTTTAGAAGAAAACGACACTGAAGAGGGTTCAGCAAAGGAGCCGATTTTACTAACATTCAGTTCTCTAGATGTTGTGTTATGAACCTGTGGGGCCAGTTTAGGAATTCCAGGGTAAGCCACATTATGTGCAGATCCCTCTGAGCTCTTGGAACTCAGCACTTTGGTCTTCTCTCCCTTTAAAGAGGAGCTCTTGGACACCAAGTCTGAAGCACTGGACTGCTTCATTTCTGAAGATGAAGATCCATCCAAGTGACTGTTTTTATTGCCTACAGTAACCACTGTCCTTTGCAAATTTGAAGAGGTGGAAGTGTTTTGCCCTAAACTAGTACTTGAATTCAGTGGCCCTAAGACATGATCAACTACTTTGGCACTTGATTCAAGATCAGTAGCGGTCCCGGTGGTGGAGACTGAGGAAACATTATTCCTAGAGTAAGTATTCCCAGTTCTCATTGGAGACATTATCCGGAGTTTGGACCGCTGGGGTGATAAGGAAGAGGTACTGTGACGCCTGGAGCCAATGCTTCGAAGTCCAGAGGAGAGTAAAGGATCACCTACTGTGACTATTTCATGAGTGGTTGGGGTAGGACTTCCTAAACAAGAGAGAAAAAGTAATAAATGCTATTGTAGATAGAACAAATGTGTAGAAGTCACTGGTTTCAATGATTTGACTATATATATATATATTTATAGGTAACTGGAAATCTACATTTTCTATTTATTTATTATTACTTTTTTGAGACAGTGTCTCACTCTGTCACCCAAGCTGGAGTGCAGTGGTGCGATCTCGGCTTACTGCAACCTCCACCTCCTGGGTTCCAGCGATTCTCCTGCCTTAGCCTCCTGGGTAGCTGGGATTACAGGCATGCACCGCCACACCTGGCTAATTTTTGAATTTTTAGTAGAGATAGGGTTTCACCATGTTGGCCAGGCTGGTCTTGAACTCCTGACCTCAGGTGATCCACCTGCCCTGGCCTCCCAAAGTGCTAGGATTACAGGCATGAGCCACCTCACCCACCCGGAATCTACATTTTCAATCAGTAAAAGTCACCAAGATAAAGTTGCCTGAAAGAATTACAAATTAGTCTTTGGGCTGATCTTCTTAGGTCAAGTAGGTCAATAAAGTCTTTTACCTGCAGAAGGCAACGGTCGACAGCCAGGGGATCTCTGTGTTGGAGAATAACTGGGTGTTCGAATCCTGGGGACCTTTGAGATGACATGATAATAACAGGAGCCAGAGGTTTGTGAATGAGGAGGTCGGTCTGGTGATGGAGGACTTATAATTTCAGCTGTGTTTTGACTCTCTTTTGATGAACTTTCTGTGGCAGGAAATAAAAACTCTTAACTAAAAAGGCCCAATTAAAATATCAAACAAATTAACCAATAAAAAGTCAGCTATCAGGTAAATGTAAAACTAGAAGCAAATGAGACTTCCCAAGTAAATGACTTTTCCCCCAGCTTTCAATCATAGTACTCCCTGAATCGAATTCAAGTTCCATCACATCTTTTTTTTTTTTTCTTTGAGACACAGTCTCACTCTGTCACCCAGGCTGGAGGGCAGTGGCGTGATCTTGGCTGACTGCAACATCTGCCTCCCTGGTTCAAGTGATTCTTGTGCCTCTGCCTCCTGAGTGGCTGGGATTACTGGGATTACAGGTGCCTGCCACCATGCCTGGCTAATTTTTTTGTATTTTTAGTAGAGATGGGGTTTCACCATGTTGGCCAGGCTGTTCTTGAACTCCTGGCCTCAAGTGATTCACCTGCCTCAGCCTCCCAAAGTGCTGCGATTACAGGCGTGAGCCACTGTGCCCAGCCTCAAGTCCCATCTTGATTCAAGACTAACCTGTAAAAGATGTTGGACTATGGGCAATGGTCCTGTTTTCATCATGTTCAACAGTGCTGTTGATATCCGGCTCTACGACTGGAGGACGGCACTCCACTATCTTGCATGTATATACACAGCGCTTGCGAGCATCTGTGGTGCTCCAGTATACCCTGGAACACCTGGGTAAACAGATTTGGGAAAATCATCATAAGGGAGAGGATAGAAGCAGAAACTAGCATTTTTCAAAACCTCTCTTTATCCTAGGTTCCCTGGCCCTCTTAATTACAGAGTTTAGCTTTATTTTATGGGTTCTTAGTATAGATTCCCCTAGTTAGGTTGTTCCAAGCTTTTTGAAGTCCTTGGTTTTTCTTAGCCTCTCAGAAAATAGCCTAAGATCTTTTTTTCTTGTACCATAAGCAGGCACCAAATATAGTAAAACATCCTAAAAGCAAGAGAAAGAAAAATATTAACCATTACAAAAATTAGTTTTGGCCTTCAGGACCGAACTATTGCCTTACAATGTATACAAAGTACGGCCTGAAAATAAAACAAAGGGCAAACCTGAGGTGTTTCCTTTGGGAGAAGAGCCCCATGAGACAAGAGAAATGTAACTGCTTCAAATCTGCTGAATGCTAGTGGAATCTGGTTTGTGTGAAAAGCTGCCAGCTAAATGTGGAGCACAGACTGTGTCATAGGAATAGGAATACAGAGTAAGTTGGAGCATATATTGCAAAATGAGACTCCAACGCGGGAGTGGTAGAAGGGGAATTTTGAACTTATATTGTTAGCTTGTTAGACATTTTAACAACTTACTTCATATAGGTAAGATTATAAATTCTTATTGAAAAATTTGATCATTATTGTGTGGATTTATAGTTTTAGAAGGACTTATAAACTGTAAAGTTGGGAACAGGGCATGAGCTGTTTTATCCATAAAAACAATCTGCACTTCTGCATGGAGATGAATGGAATTTGGAGGAATCTTAAGAGACTGACCTTGTGTTTTCTACTAAGGTTTTATTTTTAAGTAATTCTGAAATTATGTCAATAATACTTTCCTTCTATAACTGGATTCCGCTAACATAGTCCCAATCTACAAGCAGACGAATCCGAGAACTAGCAAAATAAGTGATTAATTTTTAGTAGCAGTTTAAAGTAGCTAACAGGTATGCCTCTACATTTAATGACCTGCACATGGCTTCAGTGTGTTCAGGTTGTGGGGCTGCTCTCTTCTCTTTATAGTGCTACTTACTGATATCCAATAGGAAAGAGCTTATCTTCACAGTCGGAGAGATCATTTAGAATTCCTAAGCAGTCGATTGTCATAGACCCTGACCAAGGAAAGAAGAACCGATTAGAGAAGATTATGAGCGTCATTTTATTTTTTTGAGAGAGTCTCACTCTGTCGCCCAGGCTGGAATGCAGTGGCGCAATCTCAGCTCACTGCAGCCTCTGCCTCCGGGGTTCAAGTGATTCCTGTGCCTCAGCCTCCCAAGTAGCTGGGATTATAGGGATGTACCACCACTCCCAGCTAATTTTTTTTAGTAGAGACAGGGTTTCACCACATTGGCCAGGCTGTTCTCCAACTCCTGAACCTCCAGTGATCTGCCCGCCTCAGCCTCCCAAAGTGCTGGGATTACAGGCGTGAGACACCACACCTGGCTGAGGGTCATTTTATAACTGAGGACCAGAAATTTCCCCAATGATATATACAGCCTTCCCCAATAACCAAGGCTAGGTCATACCAATCATCATGTGGATATTTTCTGGTTCCAAGCCATTGAGAAACTTCCTTCTCAAGCTGATTCCTTCAAAGTCCACAAACACTCTTCTGAAAACTTCAAATCCATTCTCAGGAACCACCTTAAATAAAACCCATGGTAGCTGTTAATAGGCTGTCCCTTTGCACATTATACTTATGATCCTGACTGTCTCAGAGTGGAAGGCACATAGCATATCTCAAAAGCATCCTTCTGTTTCACTTAGCAGGACACTTCTGTATTTCCCAAAAGAGGTGGTGCCTCTAGGAACACCAAGTAGAAAAGCAAAACAGTTTATCATCTTGCTGTATTTTTGTTTTTCTTTTGCATTTCGAAATAATTCAAAAAGCAACTAAATAAGCCATGAAAAGACTTGAAGGAAACTTAAATGCTATGCAGAAGAAGCCAGTCTGAAAAGGCTATGTACTATATGATTCCAACTATGTGAAACTCTGCAAATGGCAAGACTATGGAGATAGTAAAAACATCAGTGGTTGCCCA
Source organism: Homo sapiens (assembly GCF_000001405.40). Classification (NCBI taxonomy): domain Eukaryota; kingdom Metazoa; phylum Chordata; class Mammalia; order Primates; family Hominidae; genus Homo; species Homo sapiens. The sequence goes on along the minus strand of NC_000011.10, from coordinate 118,498,904 downwards.
GGGTTGGGGAGAGGCAGGGATGAATAGGCAGAGCACAGAGGATGTTTAAGGCAGCGAAAATACTCCATATGATGGTATAATGGTGGATATACATCATTATACATTTGTCCAAACCCACAGAATGTACAACACCAAGAGTGAATGCTGATGTAAACTACAGGAGTCAGGGTGATAACCATGTGTCCAGTGTAGGTTTATCCACTGTAACAAATGCACCACTCTGGTGGGGGATGCTGATCATGGGGGAGGCTGTGCATATGTGGGTGCAGGGGGCATATGGGAAATCTCTGTACCTTCCAGTCAATTTTGCTGTGAACCTAAAACTGCTCTAAAAAAGTCTTTTTTTTTTTTTTTAAAGCAACTAAAGCTCTCTCACTTCGCCTTTGATCAAATCCCGATGTCGTTGGCAATATACTTTTTTATCATCCAGAAAGACACAGTTCTTGGCTCGGGAACACATGAAGTGATAGTTGCTGGTGCAGGATGTGAGACAGCAACCCACGGTGGCTCCTGGCTTTTGGCAGAATTCACATCTCTAAAAATCCAAAAAGAACAGAGTCCTATTCAGACTTTCATATGTTTTAAGACGTTTACCGTCTCCTCTATAGACTCATCCCATTCTACAGTTCCTACAATTCATTTTATCTATTGATAAATTGAAAACAGATAAAATTTATCATTTTATCTGTTGAATTATGTATATCAATACTTGTTGGCTAACTACCCTGATGGCACTGTGAAAAATATCAGGGAGGCCATATTCACCCACAGGAAGAATATCTGGAAACTGAGAGGGAATCTCTTTCATAAAATTTACCCATAAGGTCTTACCAGCTGCTTGCCCCTGATCACAGCCATATGCACATTCTTTAGTGATCCGTCATCATCTTCAAACACTTCCGCTGACCACAAAGCACAATTTACATGTGTCCACTCATTTTGGCCAATATATAGTAAACGACCAGCATCCTATAAAATAAAGAGATTTCTTTTTTCCTAAAGAATATAATGCCAAAGGAGGTTTTCCTCGGCATTAGCTTTTCCAGTGAAGATAACCTCAAGAAAGCAACTATAATTCTTTAATGGAGGGAGGCACACAGAAATCAGAATTCTTTTTGCAACGTTGCTCTGTTTCCACTTCCTTCTTTTCAAGATTACTTTTTCCATAGACTGAAACTATTTTACAAATCTAGAGAATAAAAAAATGAGCTGGGTATGGTGGTTCACGTCTGTAATCCCAGCACTTTTGGAGGCTGAAGTGGTAGGATCGCTTGAGCCCAAGAGTTTGAGACCAGCCTGGGCAACATAGGGAGACTTTGTCTCAACAAAAACAAAACAAAAATTAGCCAGGCATGGTGGTGCGCATCTGTGGTCTCAGCTACTCAGGAGGCTGAGGTAGGAGGATCACTTGAGCCCCGGAAGCCGAGATTGCAGTGAGCCAAAAGCATGCCACTGTACTCTAGTCTGGGTGACAGAGCAAGACCTGGTCTCAAAAGGAAACAAACAAAAAGAGCAATAGGTGGTAAGTTTATAAAAATGTGCAGTGACATCTATAAACTGTATTTCAAAGCCAGTTCTCTCAGATGGTATTTAAAAGCTTTTGGCCGGGCACGGTGGCTCACGCCTGTAATCCCACCACTTTGGGATATGAGGTGGGTGGATCACCTGGGGTCGGGAGTTTGAGACCAGCCTGACCAACATGGAGAAACTCCGTCTCTACTAAAAATACAAAATTAGCCGGGCATGGTGGCACATGCCTGTAATCCCAGCTACTCGGGAGGCTGAGGCAGGAGAATTGCTTGAACATAGGAGGCGGAGGTTGTAGTGAGCCGAGATCACGCCATTGCACTCCAGCCTGGGCAACAAGAGCGAAACTCCAGCCTGGGCAACAAGAGCGAAACTCCGCTCAAAAAAACAAAACAAAACAAAACAAAAAACACAAAAAACTTTTAAAAAAATTGTAGCTTACTGTGTGTGCCAGGCACCAAATAGAGGCTTTACATACATTATTTCATTTAATCCTCACAGCCACTCTGAGGTAAGCGTTATTATCTTCATTTTAAAGATGAAACTGAGGGTCAGAGAGGTTAAACTACTTGCCAAAGTCAATAAGTAGGCAGTTAAGCACAGAAATGTATTCAGGCAGGCGGCAGAACTCGGGCTCTTAACGATTCTGCTATCCTATATGAAACACAAGCTTTTTAATATGCAACTTAGATTTTATTAACTTTCACAAAATATTCTTGAGGAACTTCCATTAGAAATTACTAGACATCAAGGGTTTAATTTAAGGCAAATCAGTCACCTTTTAATCAACAAAATCAGTCATTAAAAAACTCCAAGTGCCATGAACTAAGTGACAAAAAATAAGTTACAAATTAATAAGTTATAAGTTATAGGTAAATAAAAGTTATAAATTAGTAAGTTATAAGTAAGTTCATTAAATAAATGGCACCCAGTCATCAAGTATGGACACAAGGACAAACAGTTCTTTTGGAGTATGTATTAACTAGGGCCCTGTGTTGCAAAGTACTTACATTAGCACTGTCATCACCATAAGTCAAACATAACGCACACTGTCTATTGTCTTCTATGCCTGGGGGTGGGTTCAGCTCTGGACTGTCTTCTCGACTCCTATCAGTACCTTGAAATCCAAAAGACTCCCATCAATACCTTGAGATCCAGTTAAAATTGGCAATACTATGTCTGATTTCAAGGAAAAAAGAAATAATTCAGCTTACATAGCCCACAGCCTATAAAATAACCACTTTTCAAAAAGTGTTCAGAGTTACGCTACCTCATCATCTATGTTACAATACTCCAGAGTATTTATATCAAGTCCTCATTAACACCTCAAGTGAAGCAAAATTAATGATGGTATTACATTTAAGGATGACCTGAAAATTCCTTTCTGATATCCAAGTATATCTAATTTTAGTGAATTGGATTCACGAAGTCAATCATCTGCATCTAGAGGGAAATGGGTGACGACTCTCCTTTTGGTGGCTTACTCAAAATTGGTGGTGTAGGAGGATGCAGAGGAGTTGGTGAGTCTGGTTCTCCAGGACCTTTGGGTTTGGGAGCTGGAATGATTTTCTTCATTAAAGGAGGCTGCTCAGTGTGGCTGTTTTCCTCTCGCTCCTGCCACTGAGCATAATTATGGTCAAGTGAAGGTGGAAGCACTGCGTTTGGTAACATCCCACTGCTGAAAATAATTGATTCAACAAGCATTTATTGAACTCCTACAGTATACCTAGAACTGTATAAAATAAATTCTTGATATCACCTGTTGCCCCATGTAGGAGCCATTCACAGAATATAAGAACAAGTCACAGCGTTTGAAAATTGCTGAAGTACACAGAACTCAATATTTTAAAAAATATCTCAACATATGACTCTTGGTTAAACTTGCTGAAACAAATGATAACCCTATCAAAAACTCAAAAGAGGCCGGGCATGGTGGCTCATGCCTGTAATCCCAGCACTTTTGGGAGGGTGAGGCAGGCGGATCACCAGGTCAAGAGATCAAGACCATCCTGGCCAAAATGGTGAAACCCAGTCTCTATTAAAATACAAAAATTAGCTGGGCATGGTGGTGCCCGCCTGTTTTCCCAGCTACTTGGGAGGCTGAGGGAGGAGAATCGCTTGAACCAGGGAGGCGGAGGTTGTAGTGAGCCGAGATCATGTCACTGCACTCCAGCCTGGTGACAGAACGAGACTCCGTCTCAAAAAAAAAAAAATAAATAAATAAATAAAATCAAATCAAAAGAATTTACTGGAATAAAAATTAAAGGTTACATATGGAAAATCAAGAGCAGTACAAAGCACCATTTGAACTATCAGTCAAACAGAACCCATTTATAACAAGGCCAGCTACATGGCTGTACCACACATGTATTGTACATTTGTCACAATTAAACCAAGCTCCCTACAATAAAACAAATATAAAAGTAAAGAACAAAAAGGCAATTGCTTATAACAAACATTAAATGTAGTCCTCAAAACCACACCGAAAAGGCATTTCAACCAATTCATTTCTAGTATTAAAACCTTTTGGAAAACTGCAATCTAGAAATATGAGAACTCTCAGATTTCTAGCCGATGAGGAGAAAAAAAAGTTATGCTAAATTCACTTACTTGCTTGATACTTTATTTGGCTCCCAAAACCTGGACTTTTTGACACTGAACCATGGAAAAACACGTTCCATTTGCTAAAAGAAAACACAAACAAAATGTAAATATGTAAACACTCATTTAGATACCACATGAAAAATCTTCAAACCAGCTTCTCTGTTAATACGAGGATAATTTCAGGCCACCAAGAGAAAGATCCATCCACTCTGGCAACCTCACCAAGTTCCTCTCAAAGAATCAGGGGATCAAATTAAACCAAAGATGTTTTATACACACCACAAAGCAAAAAGTAGAAGAGAACAAGTTCATTGTATTCACAGGGTAATTACTTATAGGTAAGCATTAAAAACATGAATTAGTAATATCATTCACCCGAATGAAGAAGGACTTGACCATGCTGTTGGCTTTTTTAATTTCTGGCTGTCCTCCATCTGAATTAATGGCTGCTTGAATGATCTTCACAATATCATCACTGAACTCCAACTGTATACAAAAACAAAATGTTAATTATTCTTAAAACAGTGTGCTCTGAAAACCATTTCCTCTTCCCTCCTTAATCATCCAGCACAGAGATCCAACAGAAAACTCACACCCTATTTTAATGTGGTATAATACTCTTTGGCTGAGACCTTTGAGATTCAATTCACGATTAACCTGTGGCAATTAAGAGATGCCAGGCTAATGAGGTAAGAATGCAAACAAATTGGCTGTATCATGATAAATTATCCAAGCAGGTCCACAGTTTTTATTTTGGATTAAAATAAATAAACAGTGGCTCACGCCTGTAATCCCAGCACTTTGGGAGGCTGATGTGGGTGGATCACTTAAGGTCAGGAGTTCATGACCAGCCTAGCCAACATGGTGAAACCCAATCTCCGCCAAAAATACAAAATTAGCCAGGCATGGTGGCACATGCTTATGTAATCCCAGCTACTTGGGAGGCTGAGGCAGGAGAATCACTTGATTACGGGAGGCAGAGGTTGCAGTGAGCCGAGATCATGTCACTGCATGCCAGCCTGGGTAACAGAGCGAGACTCCATCTCAAATAAATAAATAAATAAATAAAAATAAACAACAGAATCGCAAATATAGATCATGAGATAATAAATAATCATTTCCTATACATACTTAAAATCATAAAATTAACAGGCATCTATCTACAAATGAAGACCTTATAAAGAAAGGCACATTATTCAGATCTGATCTCAAAAGGGGAGGGAGAACCAATTAATTTCATATTAGCATTTCCCACATCAACAGTTTCTTAGTGCTTCCTCTTAATATAAAAATAATTTTCAGAAAACTGAGATGAAAGCCAAATAAAAGAACTATTTTAAGACATTATCTTCCCTATCACAACCCTTCTTCTGAAACACAAAGCTAAAATAACTCATACATTTTTAGGTATCTAAAGCCACGTGACATTTCTAAATATAATACAATTCATTTTTAAATTTACTTATACTCAGTTTCATGCCCCAAAGGTCCAAAGAAGCTTTATTGGCACTAGAAATTCTGATGGCTCACTGTAGAAACATACCACAGATGTGTAATTCCCTTGGTCCATCTTCCTCTTGACTCCTTCTAGATCTAAAGGCTGCTGATCATCCTGTTTGCTGACCTCAGTAAGAACTGGTGGATCAGGTCCTTCGGGGGAGCTGCGGGAAGGTATACTCTCCTCTGTCTCGGGATTTAAGTCTGGAGGCTTGGCAGCCTATTGCCAGGAAAGATATGTTGCTTTTATCTAACACTAAAACCAAGGTGTCCATGTAAATTCTATTAAAATTAATAAAGATGGTACTGAATGATTAATATTGTAAAACCCAAGGAACATGAAAATAATCAGATTTCTCAAATAGAAAAGGAAAGTTAAAAATGAGACTGTTATGTAATAGCTTAGCTAGGGTAACTTAGGAGCTTTTCTTGATAATTCCAAACCTAGTATGAAGAAGCTGAAATTGTGTTCAGTTCCTTTTAACATAGAAAGCAGCTAATTTTCCTATTCAAAAAATGGAGCTCTATTAAAAGATAAAACAGCAGCTTAGCTCTGAGGTAAAGTGATCCATGCGGTTCTTCTTCTTTTTTTTGTTTTGAGATGGACTCTCGCTCTGTCACCCAGGCTTGAGTGCAGTGGCGCGATCTCGGCTTACTGCAAGCTCCGCCGCCCAGGTTCACGCCATTCTCCTGCCTCAGCCTGCCGAGTAGCTGGGACTACAGGTGACCGCTACCATGCCTGGCTAATTTTTTGTATTTTTAGTAGAGACGGGGTTTCACCGTGTTAGCCAGGATGGTCTTGATCTCCTGACCTCGTGATCCGCCCGCCTCGGCCTCCCGAAGTGCTGGGATTACAGGCGTGAGCCACCGCGCCCGGCCCCGTGTGGTTCTTCTAATGACTACTTTATAAATGTGTAAAGTTCACAACTTACATAAACAGAAAGTGTTTTTCCAGTTGATTACTATAACTGTCCCCTAACTACGAATCCTGCCTCTAGGCTCAGGTGTCTCCAGTCCTTCCTCTCCACTCAGTCAGAACAATATTTTTTCTAAGAAGCAACTCTGATCAGGTTACTGTCTTGGGTGAAGTGCTTCACTGGCTCCCTATCACCTTCAGAGTATAAAGTCCAAATTTCTCATTGTAACAGCAAGACCTTTGAAGATACAGCTCCTTCCTATTTCTTACGCTAAAGAAGGTCCTATTCTTGGCTCTAAATATTTTCCTAATGGTTATAGCCAAAACAAGTAACTAAAAATTAAGTGAGGAGAATGAAGTAAAACAAAAGAAAAACACTAGGTAAAGACTACCTAAGAACAAGCTCTCAGAAAAAAATGAGACTTGGCCTACCTGCCGGTAGCGTAGCAAATGGCTGGTAGTCCGAGAATTCAACAAAGCTGTCAGAACTTGCTTCAGAGAAATCTGCAGCTCTTTTTCAAGGGCCAGTCGCCACTCTGCAGGGTGCCGCTCAGTACAGTTCACACAAGTGTAGGCCACACTTTCTGGCAGATTAGATAGAATCTCATACATCTCATCTAAGAAAACAAAAACCTACCATGATGAGGTCCTCTGAAGAATGAGAGAGAGGAAGAAGAGGAAACTATTCCACTGAACTTACTATAAAGCCATATGTTGGGAACCACATTAAGATTTTAATGTCCTCATGGATATGACACATATTGATCTCAAAAAGTGGCATTATTAATTAACACTAATCCTGAATTTGGTTATTGAGAATCAGGTTATGGAACACACAAAGGACAGCAAATAAATACTTTAAAGGCATATATTCAAGATAAGTGAGCACAAATAATACAATGCTGCTTATTCTAGAGACTAAAAAATAAATTTAGAGATTTCAAATAACAACACAACCATAATTTTAGGTTTAAAGTGCTCTAGAGGCTAATAAATGTAGTAGTACCTAGAAAGAAGAAAACTGAAATAAAAAGACTCCAACCTTCTGTACCTGAAAGATTCTCACATTTGGAATGGACCCAGCGATCACACTTTCCACATTGCATCATCTTACTCTCATAGTCATCATCATCATAACATTTGTCACAGAGAGGGCAGAAGTTTCCTGAAAGCAAAGCAAAGTTTACAGCAGTGCTTTGGCTCACATACCCGTGTTTTTACGGCCCTCGACTTGCATTTACCAACCCAATCTAAATCTATATTCTTCTGGGATCATGAACACCAGCATGGATCTACTGTGGAATGTTCACACATCTGCAGTCTCAAGATTATTCTGAGCCCCTCGAATACTCACAGAAAAGCTTCATATGCTACTAGTTTTCTTTAGTTTACTAGTTTTCATTTATAAAGGTCATGAGGTAGATTTTAAAGATAAAACAATAGAAAAGAATGGAAGAGAGAAGTTTCTCACACATTTGTAAGAAATATTTAAATATTTAAAAGAAGTGGCAATATGGAAGTCAGAAACAGTACATGTAAGCTTTTTCCTTATTTCTAGGGCATTTACATTAGAGCTTAGAGGAGCACTTCCTAAGATTCAGTACTCTGTATAACCTTCATAAATTTTCTTTATATACAGAGATCTCCTATATTATTTTTTACTTAATGAACTTCTTCAAACTGATCTGCTTATCTTACTTAAAACAGTGAACTTTATATGATTATCCTAAGTCAGTAATATAACAGGTTTAATGTATTAGTTATATTAATATTTTTTTCTAATATAACTACTGAAAGAAAATGTTTGGGTAGCAACTAAAATAATGTCTGAAATAATCAAATATATAATATATATATCACACTTTGGGAAATACTAGCTTAGAGGATTTCTTTGTGGTTAGTTATAATGAAAAGTCCCCTTAACACTTCCCGTATAAACTAACAAGACATTTCTAGTTGCTAAGTTCTAAACAGGAACTTAGGAAATGTGTCTAAATGGTATCCTTGACATAATGTGTGAGACTTTTTATTTCATTTCACTAGAGTCTAGTTCACCTCCAGAACACCAAGTACAACCTCCGAAAGCTGGCAAAACTGGCTTTTTTGGGTACCTTTAGCAAAGAGCTTGGCGCAATCATGACACAGTGAGAAATCATGAGACCACTGTGCATCCCACCCTTTGCCTGGAGTTGTGGATCCACAGCTCTTACAGCGAACACACTTGGTACAGATCTAGAAAAGAAGAAAAGAAATTCAATAGGAATTTCTTGTTTTTAATATCTTTACTTAACTAAAAAGATCTTAAATGCATCCATTTATAGATTTAATTTCTCTGCTGAGATGATTTCCTAGTAATGAGGCAAAAAGATTGTCATACTGACATCCTCAAGCATAGATATTTGTAATACAAGTTACATAAGTCCAATAGTCACATGGTGGTTCTCTATAAAAGAGCATCATGTGTATAACTCACCCAGACTTTCTTCTTCTTTGTGGGTTTGGTGGGGTAGTTTGGTCCCAGGCACTCAGGGTGATAGCTGTTTCGGCACTTATTACACTCCAGCAGCTGCTGTAAGAAAATATAATGGCAAAAAGATAAGCATCATATTACCTTCACCCAACACCTATTACTTAGTACCCCATTTCACATTTACTGGCAAGTAAGTACAGCACACAATTATGAGTTTAAATTTCCTCATACATTATTTACTCCCAATTAAAGCATTGAGATAGATTTATTTCCTGCCAAAGGCACTCAGTGATGAGTATTCATATTAGGTAGATTTGACTTATTTTTGGAATTTTATTCAACATCATGTTTTCTGCTATAGTCCCAAAATTAAAACACAAAATAGGCAACTGATTACACCCAATTAAATGCTAAAGACAGACTAAGTAAAAAGAGAAATAATATAGATACAAAATCTTAACTGGAAGACAGAAATACAAATCAAGAAAGAAAGCAATACTCTAAGCACAGTCATCCTTGGTTTCCATGGGGGATTGGTTCCAGGACCCCCAGAGGATACCAAAGTCCATGGATGCCCAAGTCCCTAGACAAAATGGTGCAGCATTTGCATATAACAAAATGCACATCCTCCCATATAGTTTTTTTTTTTTTTTTTTTTTGAGATGGAGTCTCACTGTGTCACCCAGGCTGGAGTGACAGACTGCACCACAGGCTGGAGTGGCTCACTGCAACCTCTGCCTCCAAAGTTCAAGCGATTTTCCTCCCTCAGCCTCCCAAGTAGCTGGGACTACAGGTGCCCACCACCACACCTGGCTAATTTTTTGTATTTTTAGTAGAGATGGGGTTTCACCATGTTGGCTCAGGCTGGTCTCGAACTCCTGGCTTCAAGTGATCCGCCCACCATATACTTTAAATTATCTCTAGATTACTTATCATACCTAATACAATGTAAATAGTTGTTATACTGTATTGTTTAGGAAATAATGACAAGAAAAAGTCTGTTCACATAGAGTACAGAGGCAACTACTCATTTTTTCCCAGATACATTCAATCCAAGGTTGGTTGAGTCCAGGGATACAGAACCCACTGATACAGAGGCCCAGCTGTAGTTCTATTACCAAGTTTTGTACCTTTGTAGCCTGATGTTGCCTTCCACAAACGTGACAGAATTTGCAACGACGACAACACCAATTTTCCAGCTGGTCCTCCAGAGGGCGCTCGTTCTCCTCTAAACAAAACTTGTGGAAGGGCTCACAACAGACTTGGCAATACACAAACTATAGTAAGAACATGGGAAGATAGAAGTATGTCAAATAATATGTAGAAAAACATAATCAACCATACCCTTCTTATATACTTTGGGTTTTAGTAGTCCACTGGCATATATTTAATTCAATACATATTCATTAAGCAATGACTATGTAAAAAAGTACAGTATTGGACACTGCGGGAGATTCAGAGTACTAAAGTGGTAATACCAGTGGAAATAGAAAGTAACAAAATAAATATAATACAAGATTTAACAGAACATGCTAAGTGACCTAAGAGTGGTATAAACAAAGAGCTATGGGAATATAAAGGAGTGGGGTGGGGGAAATAGGGAGGGTTTAAACGTTTTCTGTAATATACGAAACAGTTGTAAGGTCTGGTTTGTCCTTTCCATTTGTAATTTTATTTTTTTAATTGTTTTAATTTTTATTTATTTATTTTTTTGAGACGGAGTCTCGCTGTCGCCCAGGCTGGGGTGCAGTGGTGCGATCTCGACTCACTGCAACCTCCGCCTCCTGGGTTCAAGCGATTCTCCAGCCTCAGTCTCCTGAGTAGCTGGGATCACAGGCGCGTGCCACCACACCTGGCTAATTTTTTGTATTTTTAGTAGAGATGGGGTTTCACTGTGTTAGCGAGGATGGTCTCAATCTCCTGACCTTGTGATCTGCCTGCCTCGGCCTCCCAAAGTGCTGGGATTATAGGCGTGAGCCACCACGCCCAGCCTCCATTTCTAATTTTAGAAATAAGTTATTTTCATATTGATATAGGATTTTCAAAAATACTAACTAGGATAATCCAGAATTTTCTTTTGCCATAAAGGAATTATTGGGACAATTGGTCAAACCTAAATAAGGCCTATAGATCAGATAATAGTAATGTACCAGTGTGTTAATTTCCTGATTTGGTAATTATACCATGGTTAAATACGAGAACGTCCTTGATTTTTAAAAATATACACTAAAATATTTAGAGGTAAAATGGTTTATGTCTGCAACTTGTTCTCAAATTTTTAGATACATGTGTATCTACAGGTAAAATGTGTATATGTATTTTATTTGTTATTTTGTAAAATATATACACACAGAGAAACATATTAACACTTAGGGAATTTGGGTGAGGGGTACTTAGAATTCTCTGTACAACTCATAGTTTTTTTGTAAGTCTGAAATCATGTCAACATAAAAAGTTTAAAAAATTCGCATGGAGGAGAGTTTATCAAGCACTGGTCATGCTTTAGGAGTGCAGTGCAGGCAGCATGCTATTCTCTAATTTATATTTTAGGAACCCTGTGAGATTGCTATGTACAACTATAAAGAATTTAGATCAGAACAATTATACCCTGAAAAAAAATCTGTTTAATCCCAGAAGTTGAAGGACTGGTGCTATAAAAAAAGTTATTCCTGTGGGTGGCATATATATGGGTGCAAAGCACTGTATTAAGACGGAAAAGAGGATACAGTAGACCCCTGGCACTTGTAGACTGAATATTCTCAGTCTCAATGATATCTGAACTTCTGCACTTAGAACAATAAGTTGTTCGTAATAGGGACTAAGAGAATATTTGCTTAGTAAATGAATAGTAGGCAATAATTTGTAATTTTGCTAGTAATAACTTCAAATGGCAAGTGGGCAGGGTTGACTTTCTTAGCTAGTTTGTGTCTCACTGACTGCTCAACATTCAGATTTCAACCTAGCTTGGATTTTCTTATTTTTTAAATTTTTAAAAATTTTTTTGAGACAGGGTCTTGCTTAGTTGCCCAGGCTGGAGTGCAGTGGCGTGATAATGGCTCACTGCAGCCTCGATCTCCTGGGCTCAAGTGATCCTCTCACCTCAGCCTCCCAAGTAGCTGGGACTAGAGTAGCTGGGACTACAGGCACATGCTACCATGCCTGGTATTTTATTTTTTTTTTAGTAGAGATGAGGTCTCACTATGGTGCTCAGGCTGGTCTTGAACTCCTGAGCTCAAGCGGTCCTCCTGCGTCAGCCTCCCAAAGTACTGGGATTACAGGCGTGAGCCACTGCACCCGACGTGGATTTTCTTTACCACCTTTGAATACATATCTTATGTGGTAAGTAATAAGCCAAAGAGGTATCTGCCAGGAATTTAAGAACTGTAAAGGATGTAGGATATGTCCCTTATAAATGACAAACTACTGCTTCCTATTTAAAATTGTGCTACTTTTTCCTTCCTCATTGTAAAGGTGGTACATACTGCAAAAAACTCAGAAAGATTAAAAAAAAAAAACCAGAGAAACAAATAAAGGTCACCCATAATCCAACCACACTCTTAATATTTTGGTGTGAATCCTTCCAGATTGTTTTCTAGATATATACTTTAAAAACACTTTTCCAAACTAAGATGGGATTGTGCTTTATATATTATCTTGTAACCTGCTCTTTTCACTCAGTGATATGTCATGGACATCTTTCCATGTTATTACTGCAATTACTTTTGCACCAACCTAATAATATTAATATATATTATCTTTAGGACTTCATATTTGCCATTATATATGCCCTACACTTTTATTTTTTTTTGAGACGGAGTCTTGCTCTGTCGCCCAGGCGGGAGTGCAGTGGGGCGATCTCGGCTCACTGCAAGCTCCACCTCCCGGGTTCATGCCGTTCTCCTGCCTCAGCCTCTCGAGTAGCTGGGACTACAGGCGCCCGCCACCACACCCGGCTAATTTTTTTGTATTTTTAATAGAGACGGGGTTTCACTGTGTTAGCCAGGATGGTCTGGATCTCCTGACCTTGTGATCCGCCTGCCTTGGCCTCCCAAAGTGCTGGGATTACAGGCGTGAGCCACCGTGCCCAGCTATATGCCCTATGCTTATTTTAACCCATGCTCCCTATAGATGGACTTTCGGGTTGTTTCCAGTTTTTTATTATTATGAGCAATATTGAAATGAACACTTCTTTATATCTACAGATTTGCCAATTTATCTAATTATATCCATAAGTGTTTGAAGTGCAATTGCTATGTTAGAGGATATACCTATTTTAAAGATAGATATATATTTCCAAATAATTCCCTCAGAAAGAAAGATTGTAACTAATCTATATTTCTTTCCACCAACAGAAAGTCCCCATTTATTCAGGATTCTTTTTTTATCATGCTTTAATTTCCAGTTTTTGGTCACTAGAGGGCTAAAAAACAGACACCCTCCCTTCACCTCCCCCTGCCACCCAACATGTATTTATTTCTAATTTTGTGAATTATCTATTTCTGTCTTTTGCCTATTTTTTTTTCTGGATGTCATTCCTTTTTCTTATTAATTGGTAAGAGCTCCTTATAGATGAAGAGGCTTTGATATACAATATAAAATAACCATCAATAGCATCCCTTTTAATAGACCACTGTATAATTTTTTCTCTTATTTAGACATCTAACAGAAAGATCAGAACTCTAATAAAGACTGAATTTAAGAGAGATGGGATTATTGATCTTTTCACTCTCAATAACTTTGCTACTCTAATAGCAGATTCCTTCCTAAAATCTCTAAAATACTTCAAAACATTTCTTTAGCTGGTTTAAACAGGGAATAGTACCTGCTAAATACCAACAAAACAGACTATAGTAATTTCATCCACAGAAAAATAATTTATGTACTTCCTGGGGTACAAAGAAGCAGGATGCCTTACCTCTACATGCCCACTACTGGCACAGAGAAAGCAAACCACCCTGGGTGTTATAGGAACAGAAGTCAAGATTCCTAAGCCTCCCATCTCCCACACATTTTCTGCTTCACAATCCTCCTGTGGAGAGAGAAAGGTCACTTAGGAAAGTTTTACAATTACACAACTTTGGATGGAAAATAAGGATGAAAAGCATAAAATTAGTGTGACATCACAATGTCAGAGTATTTCATTTCAATGAGTCCAAAAATAACTGCTGCTTTAAAAAGTTTTAATCTCAGACACGGACTATTAAAAGGCTCACCTAGTTGTTCAATTCATATTGAATATATTGCGAAAATACACTGGGATTGAATTTCTCTTACAGTTTTGCTGACTCAAGGAATCATCATGGTTTGATACTTTCCATGTGAAGGAATTACTTCCTCTGATACTGCTCAGGATGGATAGGAATGTTTCATTATGTATGTTCTGCAGTCAGTTCACAAACAGTGACCTAACAACACTGACCAAAGCTCTCCCAGCGCTAAACCCACCTGCTAATGGGAGTTCTTATTCATTCCCCCAGTTGGTGCTGATTTCCTCTTTCAACACCTTTGGTAGTAGCATTTTCTTTATTTAAAGTCTTTGACACTCAATATACTTTATGATCACTGAACACCTTTACCTTAAAGTCCACTCTGATCCTGTGGACTCCATCTGCTGGAATTTTTTGCTTAGAACTATTGCCATTGGAGAGAGTGCTGAGGATGTTCAAAGTGCCTGCATTCTCCTGCTTATTGACCGGAGGTGGTTTTTCCTAAGGAGACAAAAGATGAATATAGAACAAAATCACACCCTATTTGCCTTCACATTTGCAACAGATAATAATGCAAATGACAAATTTTATTAATAGATCTAAAAAACATGTTTCCAACATAAACAAATAATCTTTGAATTTTTTTTTAAAAGAGACTGGGTCTTGCTTTGTTGCCTAGGCTGCAATACAGTGGCACAGTCACAGCTCACTGCAGCCTAGACCTTGTGGGCTCGTGATCCTCCTGCCTCAGCTTCTCAAGAGTAGCTGGGACTACAGGTGCATGCCACCATGCCTAGTTGATTTTTAAATTTTTTATAGCAACTGTGTGTCACTGTGCTGCCCAGGCTGGTCTCCAGCTCCTGCCCTCAAGTGATCCTCCCGCCTTGGCCCCCCAAAGTGCTGGGATTATAGATGTGAGCCACCACACTATCTCTTTATCCATAATAAATAAAAATAGTGAATACAGGGAAGGGTGATTTTTACAGACAAATAATTGCTAAAGGATGTTGGGGTCAAAAAATAATTACGCCAAATGGCCTTTAGAATAAGCAGATTCCTAGGCTAGAACATGTGGGGCCACAAAGAAGGGAAAAGCAACAAGGAAGAAACCAAAAAAGAAACAGGCTAAAGCCTAAACTTTTTATTTTTTTTTGAGACGGAGTCTCGGTGTCACCCAAGCTGGAGTGCAGTGGCGCGATCTCGGCTCACTGCAGGCTCCGCCCCCCGGGTTCACGCCATTCTCCTGCCTCACTCTCCTGAGTAGCTGGGACTACAGGCGCCCGCCACCTCGCCGGGCTAATTTTTTTGTATTTTTAGTAGAGACAGGGTTTCACCGTGTTAGCCAGGATGGTCTCGATCTCCTGCCCTCATGATCCGCCCGCCTCGGCCTCCCAAAGTGCTGGGATTACAGGCGTGAGCCACCGTGCCCGGCTACTTTTTTTTTTTTTTTTGGGATGGAGTCTAGCTCTGTTGTCCAGGCTAGAGTGCAATGATGCAATCTCGGCTCACTGCAGCCTCCGCCTCGCAGGTTCAGGCAATTCCCCTGCCTCAGCCTCCCAAGTAGCTAGGATTACAAGCACCCACTACCACAACCGGCTAATTTTTGTATTTTCAGTAGAGACAGGGTTTCACCATGTTGGCCAGGCTGGTCTCCAACTCCTGACCTCAAGTGATCTGCCTGCTTCGGCTTCCCAAAGTGCTGGGATCACAGGCGTGAGCCGCTGCGCCTTGCCAAGCCTAAATTTTTTTTGGAGACAGTGTTTTGCTTTGTCACCCAGGCTGGACTGCAGTGGTACAATCATAGCTCACTACAGCCTTGAATTCCTGGGCTCAAGACAATCCTTCTATCTCAGCCTCCTGAGTACCTGGGACTACACGCAACTGCCACCATGCCTGGCTAACTTCTTCTTCTTCTTCTTTTTTTTTTTTTTGTTTAAATAAAGACAGGGTCTTGCTATGTTGCCCAGGCTGGTCTTGAACTGCTGGCCTCAAGCAATCCTCCCACCTCAGCCTCACTAAGTGTTGGGATTACCAGCGTGAGCCACCGTGCCCAGCTAAAAGCCTAAACTTGAAGTTTCTTAATTTTAAGAAATTCCACTGCCATCTACATAGAAGTCAAGGATAAGGCTTTTCCCTACAAAATAGAATACATCCCTGAGAAATGGCAGAGAAACAAATCTCTCCTCACCTTTTCTTTTGGTTTTTGTTTTACAGGGATACTTGGGCGGGGAGCCACTTTTTTCTGTTTGCTCTGCTCTGGACCTAAAAAATTCAGAATAAATTGCAGTCAGATGCTGGCAACGACTACTTTAGTACTGACTGACCTGTGAAGAAAGGGCCATTAGAAAAAAAAAAAAAAAACTATTTAAACTCTAGGCTTCGAACAGGAAATTAAAACAATACCTCCAATTTAACTGTTTTTTTTGTTTCTGTTTCTTTATTATTAAACATAATAGTTAGAAAGAGAGCTGATTTTCTTGAACTGAAGACTTCAAATCATACATTTCCTGCTTTCAAATGCTGTTTGAGACATCAGTGCTTTTTTGTTAGTACTTGTGGTTCAGCAATTCCTTCTTGCCCTCCTCACTCACCTGATTCTGGTGGTGGAGGCTGCTTTTTCTTGGGCTCACTAGGAGTGGTTTTGGGAACTTCTTTTCTTGGCGGTCCTGTAGTAGGTGGCTGAGGCGGGATGACCAGTGCTGGCTGGGAGACCTGCTTGCTTGACTTCCTGGAAGCTGGAGTGGTGGCCTGTTTGGATTCAGGCCCAGGGGCCGAGACATTCCCTTCTTCACTCTTTTCCTCGACGGGCTTTCGTGGAGGAGGCTCACTACTGCTTTTCTTTGGGGCAGGATCCTCTCTTGCTGATGGGGTAGGTTTCTGACTAGAGTCCACCACGTTCTTCACAACACTGCTCTCTTTGCTGTCTTTCTTTTCACTGGTCTTAGACTTTTTCTCTTTCTTTTTCACAGCTGAGGGAAAAACACAACAACATCATCTGTCTATAGTGAGAATAATTTTATTTAAAATAGAATTACAGAGCCACCATATGATCCAGCAATCCCACAGCTAGGTATATACCAAAATAAAGGAAATCAGTATATCAAAGAGATATCTGCACTCTCATGTTTCCTGCAGCACTATTTATGATAGCCAAGATTTGAAAGTAATCTAAGCATCCATCAACAGATGAATGGATAAAGAAAATGTGGTACATATCCACAATGGAGTACTATTCAGCCATAAAAAAGAACGAGATCCTATCATCTGAAACAACATGGATGGAACTAGAGGACATTATGTTAAGTGAAATAAGCCAGACACAGAGAGACAAACATCACATGCTCTCACTCATTTGTGGGAGCTAAAAATTAAAACAATTGAACTTATGGAGATAGAGACAGAGAGAATGATAGTTATGAGAGGCTGGGAAGGGTAGTGAGGTTGAGGGGGAAAGTGGGGATGGTTAATGGGTACAAAAATATAGCTAGATAGAAGTGAATGAGATCTAGTATTTGATAGTACAACAGGGTGATTACAGTCAACAATAATTTACTGTACCCTTAAAAATAATTACAAGAGTATAATTAGTTTGTTTGTAACACAAAGAATAAATGCTTGAGGTAATGGACATCCCATGTACCCTGATGTGATTATTACCCATTGTATGCCTGTATCAACATATCTCATGTACCCCCATAAATATATACACCTGCTGGCCAGGTGCAGTGGTGGCTCATGCCTGTAATTCCAGCACATTGGGAGGCCAAGGCGAGAGGATTGCTTGAGCCCAGGAGTTCAAGACCAGCCTGGGCAACATGGCAAAATCGTGTCTCTGCAAAAAAAATTTACAAAAATTAGCTGGGCGTGGTGGTGCGCACCTGTAGTCCCAGCTACTAGGGAGGCTGAGGTGGGAGGATGGCTTGAGCGTGGGAGGTTGAAGCTACAGTGAGTCATAATCATGCTACTGCACCCCAGCCTGAAAGACAGAGTGAGACTCTGTCTCAATAAACAAATAAATAAATACACCTGCCATGTATCCACAAAAATTAAAAATAAGTTAAAAAAATACATTTAAAAAATAGAAGCGTAGAAATGTGACACAACATTCTCAGTTTCCTGCAGTTAAAAGTTAGCATTGAAAGGCTAAAGAAAGTTAATGCCAAGTTGATCAGGTGAAATAGGTATACTTTATTGCTCTAGGAAATATAATGAACTATGATTTTTATATAAATTTAAAAAATTTATTATGGAAAATTTCAAAAATATCCCCCAATACAGGAAATAGTCCAATCAACCCCCATGTACCTATTACCTAGCTTCAACAATCTACTCCCTGAGAAAGAGTTGTACTTTAAAAAAAAAAGTATTCTCTTCTACTGGGTGTATACAACTATACACCATTTAAGCAAGGAGCATTTGGGGGAAGACCTTTTTAACAACACTACCTTTAGCTTGCTTCTGCAGGTAGGCTTTGGAAGGCATCCATTGTAGATTCTGACATTTTCTCATCCTAGGAAAACAACGAATAAACCATGAAACAAATTAAATTTAGAAGAAAAGCACTGAAACAAGTGTTCATTTTGTCTGCAACAATCAGTGAATCTGTATTCAGGTTCACATTTTTATAGTTGAAAAAAGGACTGCTCATTACTCAGATTAAATCTGAGCCTTTGAATCCCTGGATCAGCAATTTCACCTACCTTTAGGATCTAAAAGGAGCAAATATCAAATTATTTTTGAAATGGGACTCAAATTTCTTGTAATCCAACACTGACTAGCACCACACAGAAAATGATCAGTCAGTATTTCTTGTAGTCGCATCAGTCCTACTCTCTTACGATGTTAATATCCATCAAGTAATCTTAACACAAAACAGACTAAAATTATCAAACAACTCCTTTGTCTACCACTATAATGCTATAATTAAATCTGGTGGCTTTGATATATACTTCACCCCTAAATTTAGATTTAATAAAATTCAAATGTAATCTGAAGTCTACAATTGCACTGAATCCACTTTAACTCTTAAATTTAATGCAACTTTATCTTGCTATCATGTACTTTTTTGTGATCTGTGAATTAGTTTACTTCTTTCCACTAACAGGACTGAGACAAGATTCTTGTTTAAGGTCAGACCAAACCAAAGCACAGAACTACTTCTTGTCTCCTAGAAATTATCTCCCCTGAAGTAAATAATGTAGCATTTCTCCCAACTGTTCTTTATATTAATCACTTGCATGTGACTCACTCATTCAGCAAATATCTATTGACACCTATTATTTGTGCCAGTAGTTTACAAGATGCTTAATCACCAAAATTTCTGTTTATGCTACTATCTCGATCTATTTTAAATAAAGTATGCCAGATGGCAGAAAGTACCTCCACAAACTGACTAAAAAAGAGGAGAAAAAGTAGAGTAATAAAAATTTCCACATAAAAAATTCCATATTAGGGGATGGCTAATGGGTACAAAAAAATAATCAGAAAGAATGAATAAGACTTAGCATTTGATAGCACAACAGGGTGATTGTAGTAAATAATAATTTAATTGTACATTTAAAAATGACTGAAAGAGTATAATTGGATTGTTTGTAATACAAAGGATAAATGCTTAAGGGAATGGATACCCCACTCTGCATGATATGATTATGATGCATTGCATGCCTGTATCAAAACATCTTATGTATACCATAAATATATATACCTACTATGTACCCATAAAAATTAAAACAAAACTTCTTAAAAAAAGAAATTTCATATGAGGCCAAGCACTGTGGCTCATGTTTGTAATCCCAGTACTTTGGGAGGCCAAGGCAGGAGGATCACTGGAGCCTAGGAGTTCAGTGTTGGCAGTGAGCTATGATCATGTCACTGCACTCCAGCCTGGCAACAGAGCAAGACCCTGTCTCTTAAAAAAAAAAATTCCATATGCATGAACATATTCTAAGAGAGAGTGAGAAAGCACAGATATTTATGCAAGGTATCTCCAATGTTTCCTGAATTGTCATAATTTTGTTGGGTCAACATAATTTCAGTAGACCCAACAAAAATTATACATAAAGTTGTCAGGTTTTAAGTAGAAATCCTCCAGAGCTACAGTCTGATATGGTAGCCACTAGTTACACATGGCTAAAGTTAAACGAAATAAACAGTGTGGTTCCTCAGTCACACTAATCACATGTCAAGCGCTCAATAGCCACATGTGGCTAATGGCTGCATACTGAACTAAACATTTCCATTATTGTTGTCTACTATTCCAATAGAACATTTCCATTGTTGCAGAACATTCTATTAATGACAGCATGGCCCCAGAGTATTTCTTATTTAAGCACAGCCCACACCACAAAATCTAACTGTAACAAGTCTTGCAACTCAATTACAACCACATTCAGTTTCCTGATGTATCTCTGCAACAAACTAGGGATAAATAAGCAACCTTTATGGTTGAGAGGTCAACATCTCAGAGTGAAACACCCACTTACTTGCAGCACTGCTTCTTTATATTGCGACCACCAAACTTGGGCTTATCTAAGCAATTAGTACAAACACCACAGTCCTCAGGCACCTGGCAGCCGGGACACTGCCCACACCGCCTCGATCGACGTCCTTTCTTTACTGGAGGTTCCTGGGGTGCCTTGTTTCTAGTGACAGGTTTAATTGGTTTGATGGGTGGAGCAAGAGGTTCAGCATCTTCTGAGCCAGCAATTGATGACTTGTCTGTTAAAGAAATGTGGCATTAGTTCCAAGGGAGTACTGAATTCAAACCTGGTTTTAATTGGTACTCCAAAAATGAAATACATTAAAATAAAATATTTATATACAGAACTCAGAATCTATTTTAAATAATTATTTAAATGTTTAAAAATGCCAATAACTTGGCCAGGAATGGTGGCTCATGCCTGTAATCCTAGCACTTTGGGAGGCTGAGCCAGGCAGATCACCTGAGGTCAGGGGTTTGAGACCAGCCTGGCCAACATAGCAAAACCCCTCTCTACTAAAAATACAAAAATTAGCCAGGCATGGTGGCACATGCCTGTAATCCTAGATACTCAGGAGGCTGAGGCAGGAGAATCGCTTGAACCTGGGAAGTGGAGGCTGTAGTGAGCCGAGATCGCACCACTGTACTCCAGCTTGGGCAACACAATGAGGCTCCGTCTCAAAAAAAAAAAAAAAAAAAAAAAAAAAGCCAATAACTTGCATCTTGATGAAAGCAAAATTCCAAATACTGAAAACAAAAGTCTAATCTAAAATCGAGAATAGAAACCAAATGCTTCTAAGGATTCTTCAAACCTCTAAATTTGTTCTGAGTGGCTACTCTGCACTTAAGAACTATATGACAGCCATGAGAATGTGCCTCCCACTCCCCTGACAGTCCACTTTTACTCAAAGACTCCTGGACAGCTTTGCCAAATCTTTCTCACCTGCACAGCAGTCTAGGAAGATTCTGCCTTCCTTCCCCTGCTCCTTCATGGGGGTGAGATGGGCAACACAGTCTGACAGCTCTCCCAGCCTTCCCTGGCTACCTCCCCGTTTTCCTTCTCAGGCATTTCTTCTAATAAAATCCTCATGTATTTAATCCCCTCTTGCCATCTGTTTTTCAGAGGACCTACTAACTATGAAGAGCCTACTGGGCATCCCCAGAATAATCAACAAACAAATCAAAAGTCTGTTCCGACTCCAAGATTGACCTTCTTGACCTACCATCATTCCCCATGGAAGACAAAATCTTTTCTCGTTCTTCCCATGGTAAGGCACTCAGGGTGGGCATGTCATCAGGAAACACAGCTCGTTTTCGGCCAAGGGCAACAGCTGCTCTTCTGCAGACATGTTTAATCCGGGGTCCTCGCACAGAGGTCTCTGATGAGTCACTTTCTTGACCCTGAATATGAGGCAATCCAAAAACAATAACAACCATACATGTTGAAATTATAACTGAACGAAGCCAAGGTATACTTAATCAATTTCAGTATGATTTAGAATCAAAACACACAACTCTAATTATTCCCAGCTGATAAATCATATCAAAACAGAAATCAACTATTACTGTATCCTAATTGGCAGCACAAAAAAAGGCCTCTAATCAAAAAATAAAAAACAGCTTGAGGTGGGAAGATCATTTGAGGCCAGGAGTTCAAGACCAGTATGGGCAACATAGCGAGAACCCATCTCTACACAAAATTTAAAAATTGGCTGGGCGTGGTGGTACACACCTGTAGTTCTAGCTACTCAGGAGGCTGGGACAAGAGGATCACTTGAGCCACCCTGGGTGACAGAGTGAGACCCTATCTTAAAAACAAACAAACAACTAAGCTTCTATTCCCAATTATACTACTATTTTAAATTCCCCTCAAAATTCAAGCTGCCAGTCTATATTATCAAAAAGTTCAGTGTGGTATAAATACGGCTTATCTAACCAAAAACTATTTCTTATATTTCCTTGATCATCAGAGAAGTAGGGGTGAAATAACTTATAAATGAAAGTATAGGTGGTGGCTCACGCCTGCAACTCCCAGCACTTTGGGAGGCCGAGGCGGGTAGATCACCTGAGGTCGGGAGTTTGAGACCAGCCTGACCAACATGGAGAAACCCTGTCTCTACTAAAAATACAAAATTAGCTGGGCGTGGTGGTGCATGCCCGTAATCCCAGCTACTTGGGAGGCTGAGGCAGGAGAATTGCTTGAACCTGGGAGGCGGACGTTGCAGTGAGCCAAGATCACGCCATTGCACTCCAGCCTGGGCAACAAGAGCGAAATTCCGTCTCAAAAAAAAGAGAAAGTATAAAAGGCTCCAAAAGAAATGTCTCAGATTTTAAAGAGCCGCTGCTCCTATCACAAAAACATCCAACATGGTGTTAAAAATAAGTCCCATCACATTCCTGCTACAATTCTCAACTGGCAGAATTAGTAAATGTAACTATGGCCCTAGGTTGAATAACATTAATTTTATTTATTTATTTTTTTAGAGACGGAGTCTCGCCCTGTCACCCAGGCTGGAGTGTAGTGCCGTGATCTCGGCTCACTGCAACCTCCGCCTCCCGGGTTCAAGCGATTCTCCTGCCTCAGCCTCCCGAGTAGCTAGGACTACAGGCGCATGCCACCATGTCTGGCTAATTTTTTGGATTTTTAGTAGAGACAGGGTTTCACCGTGTTAGCCAGGATGGTCTCGATCTCCTGACCTCGTGATCCACCTGCCTCGGCCTCCCAAAGTGCTGGGATTACAGGCGTAAGCCACCGTACCCAGCCCGTGAATAACATTACAAATATAAGTTTATGGCCATCTTAACCTAACCTGATTTGCTGCCATAAATAGGCATCTACTACATGACGATTTTTTTAAAACCCTAAAGATCAGCAACTTTTCTCAGAAAAGGCCAGTGACTAGCTTACTTTGTTAAACAAATAAACAAAACAATAAAAAAAAAACAAAAATGCTGGTCTTTGTAAAAATATTTGGCATCATCTTAACTAACTGAATTCTATAGCTTTCCTGTTCCATGGCTCAAGGCTAAGTGCTTCTAATCTGTTTGTTTATTTATTTATTTATTTATTTTGAGATAGAGACTTACTCTATTGGCCCAGGCTGGAGTGCAGTGGCGGGATCTCAGCTCACTGCCATCTCTACCTCCGGGGTTCAAGAGATTCTTGTGCCTCAATCTCCCCAGTAGCTGGGACTAGAGGCATGCATCACCACGCCCAGCTAATTTTTTTTTTTTTTTTAGTAGAGATGAGGTTTCACCGTGTTGGCCAGGCCAGGCTGGTCTCAAACTCCTGACCTCAAGTGATCCGCCCACCTTGGCCTCCCAAAGTGATGGGATTACAGGCATGAGCCATCGCACCTGGCCAGTACTTCTCATTTGTATTCTGCAAAAACATATTATCTATTGCTCCAATCCCTCACTACTCAGAGGAAGAGAATGCTCCCCTCCGGTTTTCTATTCTATCGGGGATAGTAAAACAATTTGACTATTAAAATGTACCTTTACAATTAAGTCCCTGGTTTAATTACATCAAACTTATAAGGTACAAACAACTCAGCATCCTCTGTGATATAGTCCCAACCTTAGTTCATTCAGCCTTAGTTCACCAGTTTTCCACAGATGCCAATCCAGCTATCCAGTATTCCTCAAATATATTTCTTACTTTTCCATTTCTACCCACACTGTTCCCTCTACTTAGAATGTTATGTCCTGCCACTTTCTACCTATCAAAATCCTACTGGTCCTTGAAGGACTACTGCAAATACCACTGCCTCCACCATACTTTTCTTGGTTCTCATAACTGGATGTAATTGAACCACTTAGCCTAAAACTTGCCCATAGAAAGGGCTCAATAAACTGTTAGTTTTAATAGGCAAGGTGGAAAAGAGTACCTGTGCTTTGGGCTGGTCGGTTTGTTTAAGACTCTTACTCTTCTCAATCTTGCAGAGCTGAGCTTTGGCCTTTTTTAGGAGGCTGGCAACCCTCTTGTCAGTCATTGGAAGCTTGTCTGCCTGAGCCAACATGGAGCCTATGGAGGAAGTGGAATGTTTAACAGTGCTAGATGAAGGAGTGGAAAGGCAGAGGGTTTTCTCCTTCTCCAGGGATGGGGCAGTTGGGCCGAGGTCCAAGTTGGTTTTTTCCAGATTTCCTCTCCCTTTCTTTATAAGTATTTTGGTTTTGACAGCTGTTGTATCCCCAAGAGTCACAGAAGTAATATCAGTCCCAGAATCATGTGATGAAGACTTCTTCCGCCCTGTTGCTTTTTTGGCAGAAGATGAAGTGGCAACATCTTCACCAACAACCTTCTCTTTGGAAACCCTACCCACAGGATACAAAGCAGAACTACTCTGAATTTCTGATCCCTTTTTCCTTTTCTCTTTCCTTGACTCCCGCTTATTCTCCTTTTCTCTCTCCCGGTCTCTCTCTCTACTCTTGTCCTTCTCCACGCTCTTGTCAGCATCTCGATCTTTGGACAGCTCCTCGGGGGCCTTGTCTTTATTTCTCCCTCTTTCAGTCTGAGAGCCTGGGGTAAACCAAGGGAAGAGAGGAGTAGGACTACTTGATGAAAATGGCTCTGCCGGAGCACTAGTCTGCTTCCTTGGTCTCTGATTTTTCTCTGCAGATTCCCCAGACTGAGTCAGGGAATGAGAAGGAAAAGTAAAAGTTGGGTTTAAGGCACTAGTGGCAAGAGGACTAACAGAAATGCTTAACGAGGAAGAGACAGAAGACGGGGGGGTGAGAGGTGAGAGCTCAGAACTACTAAGCCTTCCACTTCTTGTCCTCATGGAGTGAGAAGGAGATCTTGGTTCAGATCGAATAGGACTAAACACTTTTCTTTTCCTTTTTCTATTGGATACTCCTGAAGAAGATGTTCCAGCAGAAGTTCGATTACTAGGCAAGGTTACAGACTCAAATATTCTAGAGTGAGCCTCACTTGGAGTAAATCTTGGAGCTCTCAGAAGAGGGCTCCTTTTGTGCATATCAAACCTTGTTCCAGAATGGAGTGGCGAAAACAATCGGGCTGAAGCAGCGGTACCAGATGCAGAAAAACCAGATGCAAAGCCAACGTCCTCGGGAGTTAGTGGAGGGGGTCGGAAATTATCAAATATTGGTTTGCGAATAAGACCTTCTTTGGCATACTTTGCTGAGGAAAAGTATTGTGGCTCTGACCTAGAATGCTTTAAAGAAGTCCACCTAAATGTCGGTTCTCGCAAAATAGATTTTCGCTTCCCTTGCATAGGAGCAGTGGAAGCAGGCAAAAATGGTGATGCTAAGGGGATTGTTGGAGGCATAAGCCAAGGTGTGTGGTCAGAGATACTGGAGGCTGGCTGCAGTGGTGGCGGTGGAGTCAGCAGAGGTGGAGGTGGAGACGAGGAGGTCTGCTGCTGGGGGGCACTTTGTAGAGTTGATAATTTTTTCGTCGTTCTAGATCCAAAACTTCTCTCCGACACTGAATACCTTCTGCTTCTCCTATCATTACTCTCATTTTCTGGGGACTGGGAAATGGGCAGTGGAGGATGAACTTCAGGGGTATCGCTCCGCTCCTCAGGAAGTACCTGAATCTCCTCAGAAGCCTGAGAGTCTGTGGAGGTATCAACACTGGGGCTACTAGATCGAGAGGAGTCTGAAGACATTTGAGAGGAGTGCTGAGAAGCTGCACTTGATTTTTCAGAAGATCCACAGGACGGGGCACTGAATCTACTATTCGGTGTAGACTCTAATCGGGCAATTTTAATTGGAGGGTCATAATCCTCATCCTCTATAAACCGCCGAGGGGTCTTAATGATCCGCGAGGAGATAGCACTGACAACAGGCATGATGAACTGTCGAATATTTTTGACCTGTGTCTTCACCTTTCTTCCCTGCAGCTGAGCTGCTTCTTTTTCAATTTTCTTTTGAGCCCCCTTTTTTGCCCTCTGTAAGAGTTGCTTAGCAATGGTTGCATCTGTCCTTTTTGAAGAAGGAATAATCCTAACTGGCTTAATCCTTCGAGGGCTTTGTCTGACAACTGTCTTATCTTCTTTTGTAAGTGGAGGTGTTCCTTCCTTGTCTTTCCGGACTTTCTGGGGCTTTTCCAGTTCAGAATTAATGAGGAGACCCGAAGGGGTCTTTATCCTTTCTGTTGATGGAGGCCTTCCTCTCCGTCGTACAATTTGTACCCCCTTCCTTCCTATTTGAAGCTTCCCTGTCTTAAACTTAGACTTGAGAGGAGAGAGTTTACCTGCTCTTAATTTTTTAATCTTTGTGGCTTGCTGAAACGTAGCAGAAGGTGTCCTTTTAATTTTTTTCAGGCTATCTTCTTTGTTTCCCTTTGGTAACTCTGAAATGTCCTTTCCATGTGTTATTTTGATTTTTACTCCAGGGAAGGTGGGAGGTCTTCCTCTCTTCTTTTCTATACTTTTAGAATCTTTCTTCTTGATCTTATCTCCAGATTTGGTCTCTGATTTATTTAGAGGGGAAAACACAGATGGATCTGAGAGGATAGCTGAATTTCGGTCAGAGCCACTTCTAGGTCTCCCACGAGGTTTTCGAGGACTAGTTTTAACTGTGTATAGAAATTAAACAATGAAGAGCATATATTTAGCTGTGTAGTTTAGGTTTTAACTAAGCTGAATATAACTTAGCACTGGCCATTTTGTACTGAGTTCAACTTGAGTCTAATGAGTCAATCAAACATCTTAATTGTGCTTAGTTTCTTTTCACCCAAAATTTGCCTCAAAGAAGTCAGCAAATAACATTCCACCTGAAAGAACATTTAATTACTTTTTTGATACAAAAAGATAATAAAAAGTTTTCAGTTGAACAATTA
The DNA here is from genome assembly GCF_000001405.40 of Homo sapiens. NCBI lineage: Eukaryota > Metazoa > Chordata > Mammalia > Primates > Hominidae > Homo > Homo sapiens. The sequence goes on along the minus strand of NC_000011.10, from coordinate 118,471,397 downwards.
ATCCACAAAACTGATTTTCTTACAATTTTAGATGAGCAAGAAGGTTTTTTCTGAATTCAAAGGAATTGTAAAGAAAAAACATCTGAACTTCCTCGCCATATCCTAGCCACCAAGATTAACATTTAAGAATATGCTTCTAGTTAGTCATCCCATCTTTTCAATTCAGAATTCTGGCTTTGAACAAATTTGAATACGCTGCTCTTCAATCATCAACATACCAACTCCTTGGGCAGCTCAGAGTCCCATATTTCAATCTGTTTTGCCAAAGTAGACTAAGAAAGTTTTACTGAATAGAAAAATGTTCATTTATGACACATCAGAATAAGACCACTGAACTCAGTGGCATGTGAACTAATCAGTGAAGTGACATAATGTGTCCACTAAATCTACTCCCCTGCTTAGAGGTTCTTGAGCTAGTCTCAAGTTGCAAAAAGATTTAACCTTAACTGATGTCAACAGCAAAATGACAACTTATTAAATCAAAGTTCTATTCTAAATAAAAGGAATTTGCCAATTTATAAATAAGCTCAGTTTGCTGCTTTTCAAGCCATTCAAGAAAACAAGACTGTTTCTAAAACACCTTGTATAAACCTGTATTTTAAAAAGTAGTAAGACTAGGCTATTTTATCAAATCTTCTTTTCCCTTTTGATAACATTCTTCTGAGACTAAAACTTCCCTTAATAGGCACCAAAAGAGATGAACATTTTTACAATGGAACTGCTTGCTAACAGAACAGAAGTCAACAAAGGTTTTATTGTTGAGCTTTCTAAATATAAATGCATTCCTCATCAATTAATTTATGAGACTTCCTTTAATAGATTAAGGATTCACAGCTCCTTTCTCAACATATCCTAATTACAACAAAGGTAATAAACTAGGAGACAGCAGAGAAACCATGTCTCATTTCTCAAATAATGAAGCATATCGAGATGGTTTCTTAGAAAACAAGACAACATTCAAGGTAGACTGGTAGTCATGAAAAAAAACTTAAGAGGAAACTACCATGAAAAAGTTGTGAATTAACAAAATAAAACTCCTGCCCAGAGCCTGGGTGACAGAGTGAGACTCCGTCTCAAAAACAAAAACAAAAACAACAAACAAACAAAACAACTCCTGCCCGGAAATACATCAAAAGATTCCTTACCATTGTGGTAGACTTGAACCTGGCCAATCAGAGGGCTTTATCAATTCTGAAAACCTCTTCTATCCTACTTTTTAAAAAACTCTTTTGGTAGATAAGTAGAAGCAGCAGAACAGAGAAGAGTCCCAGCACTGCTGCTAACTTCCCTGATCCACAACATATCCAAAGAACTCTCAAACTGGTTATAAATCATTACTCATGTATTTCATGGACCTCATTTTTTCATCTATAAACAAACAAACAAAAATCCCAGATGATCTCTCTAATTCCTTTCCTATATGAAGTTTTAAGACTTCATCACATGTTAAAGAGAACACTGCTACTGTCTGAATAGCACAGATACTGGGACACTACTGGCCAACTGCCCCCAACTAGAATGACAATACCACTCCTCTTTAAGAAAAGAAAAACTGTCAACTTGGATGTTTGAATTAGATGATAATATATGATGACTCTTAAGTGAGACCCTAATGCTAGCACACATCACAAGCTAAGTCAATGTCAAAAAGCAGAAACAGCTAACAATATCATATTTAGCTGGAGTGTCTATCCACATAAAATCAAAGAAAACCATATATGAAGTCAGAATGGCAGCACAGATGGGGAATGCATTTTCATCAAAAGATACATAGCTTTCTCCTATACAGAACTGAATTAGGCAAGCCATTAAATGTTATTTCCATTGAGGGTCTTCTCTTAGGAAACTGCTTGTAAGTCTAGAATTTCAAGATATTCTAGATATTTTGTTGGTGAGAATAATGACAAATATTGCTAATTTTCCATTTTTTTATTTTAATACAGCCTTTCAAGAATCAGGTAAAAATGTTTCACATAATGCCAATATTTTGTTTTTGGTTCTTTGACAATAGTGGACCAAATTTCATCCAAAAAAAATAATGGCCAAATTATTCCCAAAGACATATACACTACCACATAACACAAAATGTGTAAATCTGAGGATACTCTTACTAGGTTACCTTCACTTTGCCTACCAGATTTCCCAGTAATTCTGTGGAAACCTACTTCCCATGCCCCAAGTAGTTCCCAGAGAGAAAGAATAAACCCAATGTGGCCTGATAGATAAGAGTCCCATAAAGAAGTCTAGCTGGGGGGAGGGGGGAGGGATAGCATTGGGAGATATACCTAATGCTAGATGACGAGTTAGTGGGTGCAGCGCACCAGCATGGCACATGTATACATATGTAACTAACTTGCACATTGTGCACATGTACCCTAAAACTTAAAGTATAACAATAATAAATAAATAAATAAATAAAAAGAAGTCTAGCTCATCAGCCATTTCCTAACCCAAGTATGGTAGAGCATCCTTTACATGTAAAGAAGGCAAGAGGAAGCCACAATCTCCTAACAAACAAAACTTAAAAGGCACCATGCACTTAATTGGCCGTACCTGAAGGAGACCTTGTGGGACTTCGCACTCTGACTTCTTCATCTGAGCCAAAACCTAAGAATTGCTCATCCTACAACAAAGGAAAATTATTTTAAAATCAGAAGCAAAAACGTGCATACAAACACATCCCAAAGAAATGCCCAGAGGAGACACAAATGAATTTGGAAAAGTTGCCTTTATATATTAATTATCATCATTCCAATGGATACTATAAAATAACTAATATTGAAATAAATGGACCCAGCCATACAGCTTTATTACAGACAAATAGGAGCTGTGTAGTAACTGAACAATGCATTGAAATGTCATCTTTGGTGCATAGTACACAGAGGATAGTCCTAATTTCAAACTATAGATACAGCCCAAAACAATTAAAGGACAACTTTAAATCAGGTAAGCAAATAAGTATAATGGCAGAAACATACAGCCCCAATACAACAAACAAATGCTTTTCAAAAAGTATTTAAGTCTACAGACACATAAGGAGTAATATAAACAATATAATAATCTCTTGCCTTCTAAATATTAATAGAGACTGAAAGTGCCATAATTGTCAGTTCCTTAACTCAGGAATTGACATTTAGATGTGATTTCTGTACATTTGAGATCCAGAGAGTCTCAACATGCATTTTATGGTATAATTTTAAAAATGCCTGTGATAAGAGACTTAATGGTGGGCAGCAGCGTTTGTGAAAGGGATCATGAATTGACTGCATATAGGATGAAATCCTTTACTAAAACTTAGGGAAGCATCCTATTTTCAGTTATAGTTGGAAAGGACAAAAAGCAAAAGCTTCTGCTTACCTCTAATTTTAACCTGCTCTATAAAAAAAAAAAGGATTTGTTTAACCTATTTTGCACAAGTTCTCAAGAAAGATGGTCTATTTAAACAAACTGATTAATAGAAATTCAATGATTCAGAGATTGAGTTCTTTCCAGAGACAGACACAGAATGATAGAATTTCAGATTCCAGAAACAAAATCCACATAAAACAAGAACAAAATAAGGAATGAAGAACAGACATTCTGGAACCTCCAATTTATAGTGGTAAGTCCCAAACTGAGTTCCAATGACAAAAGCATTAACATTTTCCTCTCGAGAGGTAAGAACACATGTATGTGGACAACATCAATGATTTTCTGAAGGATTATTTTCTCAGTTAATTTAAAACTAGAGTCAGGTGCTAACTGTCTTAGCCATTTTTCAGCCATGACTATATTAAAAGACATATATAACTTTTAGGACAAATTAGCAGGTTCATCTCTTAAATTTAAATGCTTTAGAGGAGCAAAACATTTAAGGCCCAGCCTTTGCATACTAGGCAACTGAGAGAAAAGTCTTACTGGCATCTAAAAAGGCTTTTGCTCTGAGATTGCTAAGATTAAAGTATTGGACTATTTAAGAAAAGGCTGAAATTCTCCTCTTCAAAGACATCTGAAAAAGTATTATAATTTTTTTTTTTTTTTTGAGACGGAGTCTTGCTCTGTCACCCAGGCTGGAGTGCAGTGGCGCGATCTCAGCTCACTGCAACCTCCGCCTCCTGGGTTCAAGCGATTCTCTTGCCTCAGCCTCCTGAATAGCTAAGACTAGAGGCCCTTGTCACCATGCTCAGCTCATTTTTGTATTTTTAGTAGAGACAGGGTTTTACCATGTTGGGCAGGTTGGTCTCAAACTCCTGACCTCAAGTGATCTGCCCACCTCGGCCTCCCAAAGTGCTGGGATTACAGGCATGCACCACTGTGCCCAGCCATGAAAAAGTATTATAATTCTAAGAATGTATGAAACCTAAATTTAAGGAACACAGACTACAGTAATTTTTTTTTTAATTACATATTTTGCTCAGGCTGGTCTTTAATTCCTGGTCTCAAGTGATACTCCTGCCTCAGCCTCCTGCATAGCTCGGACTACATACATGCACCACTATGCCTGGCTTACTGGAGTACTTTTTACAGTTTCTTCTTTCATCACTAATTTAAATTCTTACACGTAAGTTCTTTTTTTGTTGGTTTTTTGTTGTTTTTGTTTTGTTTTGTTTTGTTTTTTTTGAGGCAGAGTCTTGCTCTGTCGCCCAGGCTGGAGTACAATGGCGCCACCTCAGCCTCCCAGGTTCAAGAGATTCTCATACCTCACCCTCCCAAGTAGCTGGAATTACAGGCGTGTGCCACCACACCTGGCTAATTTTGTATTTTTAGTAGAGATGGGCTTTTGCAATGTTGGCCAGGCTGGTCTTGAACTCCTGGCCTCAAGTGATCCACCCACCTTGGCTTCCCAAAGTGCTGGGATTTACAGGCGTGAGCCACTGTGCCCAGCCAGTTCTTTTTACTTTAAAAAAATTTTAAGTAAATTCTTACTGTGAACATTATTTGTGAATAAGAAAAATTCTCTCTTGGCCAGCACAGTAGCTCATACCTGTAATCCCAGCGCCTTGAGAGGCCAATATGGGAGGACTGCTTGAGGCCAGGAGTTCAAGGCTAGCCTGGGCAACATAGTGAGTCTTTACAGAAAATTTTAAAATTTGCCAGTGCTCACTCTGTCACTCAGGCTGTACTGCAGTGGTGTGATCACGGCTCACTGCAGCCTCAAACTCCTGGGCTCTAGCAATGCTCCTGCCTTAGCCTCCTGGGCAGCTGGGACTACAGGCATGTACCAGCACTCAGCTAATTTTAAAATTATTTACAGAGACGGGGTCTCACTATGTTGCCCAGGCTGGTCTCAAACTTCTGGGCTCAAGTGATCCTCCCATACTGGCCTCCCAATCTAAAAAAAATCTAAAAGTAATTTTAAAATAAAAAAATTATCTCTCTTCATCTTAAAACAAGTTAGTATATAACTAACCTACAACATGTGAATCTGAACCCCAAATAAATTTCTGGAATCATTTTCAGGGTTTACACTTGTAGGCTACAATGTTACCAAAAAAACAAAACAAAACAAAAACAGCCAAAACTCCTAACAGCACAATTAATATAAAATCTTATCACAATAATGAAATTCCATACTGTTAACTTTTAAAATGTACTTTCAGGCAGAAAAAAAAGACATTAAAAATAGTAACCCTAAAATATATTTTGAGGAAAAAGCAAATAAAATAGGTAATGGCAAATCACTTCAGAAACAAAAAAATCATAGAATATTATAATTGTAGAGGGGGCCAATCCAGTCTTCTCATACGTGATGCCAGTGAGGAGAGTGCTGGATGTGGGGAGAGAAGGGTTGGTTTAGGGTCTCAGTCTGATTCTCTCAGACTATGTAATCTTAGACAACTCACTTACTGTATCTATCCCTCAATTTCATTTTTTATTTGAGCACTGTAAGGAATAAATAATTTATGTGAAATCACTTGGAAAGCTATAGGCAACATACATATGATGGGACTTCAAAAGGTTCATGGAAAATGGAATTAAAAGATAAAAATTAAAAATATAAATTTTATTTCTCAACATAATCTCCAAGGTCAAGACACTTTTGTAAGCCATGATACCAGCTATTTAGCCCATCCCTAAAGAACTGGGGGTCGTGGGAACTGAAACATTTTAATGCAGTCTTTTTTACATTATTAACTGAAGAAAAATGGGTGCCCTTCATAGATTTCTTTTTTTTCTTTTTAAGATAAGAGTTTCACTCTGTCACCTAGCTATAGTGCAGTGGCACAATCTTGGCTCACTGCAACCTCCGTCTCCTGGGTTCAAGCGATTCTCCTGCCTCAGCCTAGATGCTCCGCCTCCTTCATAGATTTTTAAGATTGGGAAACAAAAAAGGCAAAGGAGACAAATCAGCATACTTAATGATACTGAATGACTTCTCATGAAAATTCTCACAAAGTTGCCCTTGTTTGATGAGAGGAATGAGCAGGGACATTGCCATGATGGAGCAGGACTCTGGTGAAGCTTTCCTGGGCATTTTTCTACTAAAGCTTTGGTTAACTTTCTCAAAACACTTTCAAATAAGCTGATGCTATCATTCTTTGGTCCTCCAGAAAGTCAACAAGCAAAATGCCTTGAGCATCCCCAAAAAACTGTTGCCATGACCTTTGCTCTTAAACAGTCTGCTTTTGCTTTGACTGGACCACTTCTACCTCCTGGTAGCCATTACTTTGATTGTGCTTTGTTTTCAGGATCGTATTGGTAAAGCCATGTTTCATCTCCTGTTACAATTCTTCAAAGACATGCTTCAGGATCTTGCTGCCACTTGTTTAAAATTTCCATTGAATGCTCTACACTTGTCTGCAGCTGATTTGGGTGCAATGGTTTTGGCACCCATTTGGTAGAAAGTTGCTCAACTTTAGGTTTTTTTTTTTTTTTTTTGAGACAGAGTTTCCCTCTTGCCACCCATGCTGGAGTGCAATGGCACAATCTTGGCTCACTCACTGCAACCTCTGCCTCTTGGGTTCAAGTGATTCTCCTGTCTCAACCTCCCAAGTAGCTGGGACTACAGGCATGCACTACTACACCTGGTTATTTTTGTATTTTTAGTGGAGATGGGGTTTCGTCATGTTGGCCAGGCTGGTCTCGAACTCCTCACCTCAGGTGATCCACCCACCTTGGCCTCTGAAAGTGCTGGGATAACAGGCGTGAGCCACCACGCCCAGCCAACTTTAGTTTTTCAGTCAGAATTGTGTAAGCTGAACCAATTGAGATGTCTATGGTGTTGGCTATTATTTGTGCTGTTAATCATCATTCCTCTTCAATTACGGCATGAACAAGATGAATTTTTTCCTTGCAAACTGGACAGTCTGCTACTACAGGCTTCATCTTCAACATCATCTTGTCCCTTCTTAAAATGAGCCATCCAATTATTTATTTGGGGCATTGTCCCCATAAACTTTATGTAAAGCATCAATGATTTCACCATTCTTTCACCCAGCTTCACCATAAATTTTATGTTTGTTTTTGCTTCAATTTTAGCAGAACTTATGTTGCTCTGATAGGGGCTCTTTTCAAACTGATGTCTTATCCTTCTTAGTGCCTCAAACTACATCCTGTTCAGATATGTTATGACAAGTTAGTGCAAGTTTATTTTGGTGCATACAAAATTTTGAAATTCTGCAGTTTTTTCATAATATGTATTTTTCCATGAGTTTTCTTTGAAGTCCCCTCACATAGTAGTTCTTATTGTTGTGTTTGAAGAAAATGAAGCTCTAAAAGGCCAAATGACTTGCCCAAGATCACACAGTTAGCTACAAAGAACCTAAGTGTCTAAACTGGCTGTAGAATAGTTTTCCTACCATAATAGATACAATATAAAACAATAAATATTTAAAGGAATTGAATAAGTTGTCTAAAGTACAAAAATTGCTATTCTTTTAGCTACTGTAAAAGTCACATGATGGCCATTTTCAGATCCTTCAAATTTCTGATTAATTCATTCTTTTCCTGAATTATACTCGTGGAACAACCTGCTAATCTATGCATTTCACAAAGACATCTGGGGATTTCCCAACACTTACTAGGGGACTACATTGCTAAATACACGCATTTTATGTTCCAAATGCTACAATGATTGACAGCTCAAGCAACTATACATATAATAATCAATAGGTAAAGTATTCAACAGGTAATAAAAAGTTATTAATCTTTAAAAGAAATGGGCTGGGTGCAGTGGCTCATGCCTGTAATCCCAGCACTTTGGGAGGACAAGGTAGGAGGATTGCTTGACCCCAGGAGTGCAAGACCAGCCTGGGCAACATAGCAAGACCCCATCTTTATTTAAAAAAAAAAAATAAAGATAAATGTAAGAGATACACACTGTTAGGTTCATTATTAACAACCTAATGAGTCATTTTTATATATTTCAAACTTTTACAAAATGTAACTATATAATCCTAACTGCAATGTATTCCAAAACAAGAGTTCCACTGAGCTGTCAGGCAGTTTAACTGCCAATATTTAAAGTTTCTAAGTACTTTCCAAAATGACAGGAAGCATTAATTCGTTTTCCTTCTGGTCTTGTACTTGGAATAAGGAAATAAAAAATAAGTAGTCAGGCCGGGTGCAGTGGCTCACGCCTGTAATCCCAGGACTTTAGGAGGCCGACGTGGGAGGATCACAAAGTCAGGAGATCGAGACCATCCTGGCTAACACGGTGAAACCCTGTCTCTACTAAAAAAAATACAAAAAAATTAGCCGGGCGTGATGGCGGGCGCCTGTAGTCCCAGCTACTCAGGAGGCTGAGGCAGGAGAATGGCGTGAACCCGGGAGGCGGAGCCTGCAGTGAGCCGAGATCGCACCACTGCACTCCAGCCTGGGCGACAGAGCGAGACTCTGTCTCAAAAAATAAATAAATAAATAAAAATAAGTAGTCAAAATGAACTATACTTTTACCCAAGAACTTTCTTTGCACTTGAAATATTGATTGATTTCTTGAAGCATGCTTTAAAAAATAAGTACCCATTGTTTAAATAATCCGGACAGCTTAGCCAAAAACAAAAGCTGTCATTGTTATGTTAAAGAGCTCCAGTCTTCTAACTTGGAACTTCCAAGCCTATGTAAGAGCCCTAAAAAACAAAACAAAACAAAACAAAACAAAACAAAAAAACTAAGTAAAGCCAAGTTGAGAAAGCACTGGGAAAGAAGGCTACAAGAGGGTGCTGCAGCCGGGCATGGTGGTTCACACCTGTAATCCCAGCACTTTGGAAGGTAGAGATGGGTGGGTCACCTGAGGCCAGGAGTTCGAGATCAGCCTGGCCAGCATGGTGAAACCCCGTCTCTACAAAATATACAAAAATTATCCAGTTATGGTGGCACGCGCCTGTAGTCCCAGCTACTCGGGAGGCTGAGGCACGAGAATTACTTGAACCTGGGAGGCAGAGGTTGCATTGAGCCAAAAGCTCACGCCACTGCACTCCAGCCTGGGTGATAAAGCAAAACTCCGTCTCAAAAATAAATAAATAAATAAAGAGGGTGCTGCAAAAAAGTCCTCCTTTCACTGCACTATCATGAGCAACAGGCTTCTCATCTTGCTCCATCACTCTCCTTAAGCACATGGGATCCCTGGAGGTTGGAAACAAGGTAAGAGTGTTGGCTTCCCAAGGATTTAAACTTATCTAGAAATCAAAAGACTACAGTAATATGTGTATAAAAAAGACAAAAGAAGCTACAATTAAATCCACATTTGGCATCGTGGCATCATAAGCCTGGACAGCCCTGAAGAGAGAGGGTACAGGAGACATCATGCTATACATGACTAGGGACTCCTGGGAACTGGGCTCAGGCAACCATTCATCACACACTTTTCCTTTCAACTTGGCCTACTCTGATGAGCACAGCATTCCAAGACAGTATAGCCACAAAACCTAAACCTTGCTGACACTGATGTCCTTGGAGACTAGATCACCAATATTTCATTTTCTTACCAGCAAAGATAGAAAAACACCCTTGCCAAGTAGAGCACTGCAAAATACTGTTAACTCATATTTAGCTTCCAGTGATTAAGACAGCAAATTAAGCTATGTAATGTCACTTCCTAAGTGAAATCTAGTTGTAAAAATAATAAACATGTAGAATTTCTTTCTGACCCCTGCATCTCCACTCTGGGGTAACCAGTTATTTGAGAGCTTCCAAGCATACCTTTACCACTAAATTCACGTTATTCATAAATATCTTAATATTCAGAAATTTTATTTTAGTGGCAAAACTTTAATTCTTTAGTGGCCAGTTATTTCTGTGAGTGACGAAGCAATAGGAATATTTCTCCCACAAAAGAACCTAAGTGAACCCTAAATAAGTATTAAACATAATGTTTGTGTATAAAATATAAGGTATATTAGAAAAATACATGAAATTCTGTGTTTCAAGGAATTATGTACTACTAAGACAACTTTTCAAACAAAGCAATATTTAATTCATTTGTTCACTCAAAAAACATTTATACACTTGCCCTAGGGCTATATGTTCCAGATACAACATTGAGTAAGACATGATTCCTGCTCCCAAGAAGTATCTAAGGCAGACAGGCAGTGTGCAATTTCAGCCTTCCTTTTAAAAATCAGTTGCATTAAAATGTCACTAAAGAATAGCTGGGTATGGTGGTGTGCGCCTGTAGTCCCAACTATTTGGGAGGCTGAAACAGAAGGATCACTGGAGACCAGGAGTTCAAGGCTGTGGTCCCCTATTATTGCACCTGTGAATCCACTGCACTCCAGCCTGAGCAACATAGCCAGATCCTGTCTCTAAAAAAACAATGTTACTGAAGGATAAAATACTATGTGTAATTCATATTCATATTCTGGAATAAAAAATTTTGCTTAACTCTTGAAGGCTGGGTGTGGTGTCTCCTGACTGTAAACCCAGCATTTTGTGAGGCCAAGGCAGGTGGATTGCTTGAGCTCAGGGAGTTTGAGACCAGGCTGGGCAACATGGTGAGACCCCCATCTCCACTAAAAATACAAAAAAATAGCTGGGTGTGCTGGTGCATGCCTGTGGTCCAGCTACTCGGGAGGCTGAGGTAGGAGGATCCCTGAGCCTGGGGGACGGAGGTTGCAGTGGGCTGAGATCGTGCCACTGCACTCCAGCCTGGGTGACAGAGCAAGTCCCTATCTCAGAAAAAAGAAAAAGTCTATTCTTCCTTCTATATTAGTATGTGGTTCATGGAGAAATATTCAAATTTCAAAATTCTTCCAAAGGATGGCAATGTATATCTCCATTCCTCAGTATTGTAACTAGGCACTCCAGAGCTAGAAATCAGAGTTTAGGCAATCAAGACCTAAATTATCTATAGTAACTAGATGTGACACAGTTTCTAGTAATACCACTGATCTGATAAAATTTCAACTGATAAACTGTAATGTTTTCTTCCCTATCCCCAACTAAAATGCATAGCTTTTAGTTCCTCCCTTAAATTCTTCCCAATTGGGCCTGAGGCAGTGGCTCAAGCCTGTAATCCCAGCACTTTGGGAGGCCAAGGCAGGCAGATCACTTGAGGTCAGGAGTTTGAGACCATCCTGACATGACCAGAGACATGGTGAAACCCTGTCTCTACCAAAAATACAAAAATTAGCCGGGCGTGGTAGTGCCCGCCTGTAATCCTAGCTACTCGGGAGGCTGAGGAAGGAGAATTGCTTGAACCCGGGGCGGGGGGTTGGGAGGGCCGGGTAGAGGTTGCAGTGAGCCAAGAGCTCATGCCACTGTACTCCAGCCTGGGCAACGGAGCAAGACTCCATTTCAAAAAAAAAAAAATTATTTTCAATATACCATAGTCAGAGCAAAAATCACCCGCCTAGAGTTCTTTACCTACCAGGCTAAGATGGAGGCTCCAGAGCTACTTTGAGAATTCCTCTATTGAATAAGCTCCAATACTCCTGGCCTCAGATGAATACAGCCTAGGATGACTTTGCTCACACCCTCACCTTCCTTTTCTAGCAAGAGACTCCTAGGTACTTCACAGCACTTAATTAAGTGGTAGGCATCTCAAACATGCCCTTTAGCAGCTATATCTTAGCATTCTTCTGTTTCCAAAATTTTTAGTCTTATGAAAAATCAGGGCCTGGCATGGTGGCTCACACCTGTAATCCCAGCACTTTGGGAGGCTGAGATGGATGGATCACTTGAGGCCAGAGTTCAAGATCAGCCTGGCCAACATGGTGAAACCCTGTCTCTACCAAAAATAAAAATTTGGTGGGCATAGTGGTACATGCCTTTAATCCCAGCTTCTTGGGTGGCTGATGCACAAGAATCACTTGAACCCAGGAGGCAGAGGTTGCAGTGAGCTGAGATTGTGCACTGCACTCCAGCCTGGGTAACAGAGCAAGACTCTGTCTCAAAGGGGGGAAAAAAAAGAGTTTGAAAAATCAAATCCCTTCAATTACAAAACAAATTTCAATGAATCAATTGAAAATAACATCAATACCATAGACAGTATCAAAATCACTCCTGATGCACTTGTTTTTTGAAATACTTTGTTTTGAAGGCTTCTAGTACCATTATATATCATTCCATCAAATGAGGAGGCCACAGGAGAACTAACAAAATTACTGAGAACAACTAAAGTTGAAGAAATATCCAGGAGGCAAACTGTGCATCTTGGCAGCGATAAGTTTAAAAAGAATACCACTTCCCCTTTGGGAATTTATTCCAGGTAGCTATCACTTCAGCTGGCACATTTCCCCTTGTGGCTACTGCTACAAGCTTCAAAATACCAAGGTCTTAATGTTGCACCTTAAAGACATGCTCACATAATTACTAGTATTAGCAGAAGGAATTTTAAAAAATGTGTTCACACATTTGTCTTCTTTAGAGTGTGTACTCTGAGGATAGAAACAGTTTTCCTATTCATTTTTGTATTTCTAATATCTAGCACAAATTTGGCACCCAATAAATGTTTGTAAAATGAAAATAAAAGAAATGCAATAAACTTGTTTTAAGAACATTAAATACCTACTGTGGTAATAGTACTATAGTAGAAAATACTGAGGGACTTCAAAGAATTACACAATATGATTCTTACTTTTAAGAATGTATAGGGGCAGGACGAGGTGGCTCACACCTGAAATCCTAACAATGGGAGGCCGAGGAGGGAGGATGGCTTGAGCCCAGGAGTTGTAGACCAGCCTAGTTCTAGACCAACATAGTGAAACCCTCTTTCTATAAAAAATAGAAAAAATTAACTGGGTGTGGTGGGTGCCTGTAGTCCCAGCTACTTGGGAGGTTGAGGTGGGAGAATCACTTAAGTCCAGAAGATACAGGCTGCAGTGAACTGTGATCGAGACACTGCACTCCAGGCTGGGTGACAGAGTGAGATCCTGTCTCAAAAATAAACCAAAATAAAATAAATTTGAAAGCATCTCAAAAAAAAATGCATAGGGAGAATGCCCTCAGGTTGGGAGGACAGACTGTACCAATTCATTCATTCACTCACTCATTAAAATATATATCGGCCATTCCTAGGCTACGGTATGAAAACAGAGATAAAGGACAGCTTCTGTCTTTAAGGACCTGCTAATCTTAAAAACAGATGAGTAAATTAATGAAGTATCGTATGTTGCCTGCTATGCTAGAGGAAGACACTGCTGGAGGAGCACAGCAGAAAGACAATTAACCCACTCAAGGAGAAAGGATCGGGAAGGCCATTGCAGAGAGGATGAAAACTTAATCTTTCGAAGGATGATAAAGCTGGTGGGGGGTGGGGGAGGAGTGTAGTGCAAGCAGAGAGAATAACACATACAAAGGCACAGAGACACAAAAGAATGTGGCATGGAGTGAAATTAAAAATAGTTCTGGATGACTGAGGCCTTAGCTGATGTGGGAAAGGGGCAAAAGATATTGAAGGGAAAAAAAGGCGGTCAGGCATGGTGGCTCACACCTGTAATCCCAGCACTTTGGGAGGCCAACGCAGGTGGATCATGAGGTCAGGAGTTTGAGACCAGCTTGGCCAACATGGTGAAACCCTGTCTCTACTAAAAAATACAAAAAAAAAATTAGCCAGGCGTGGTGGTGGGCACCTGTAGTCCCAGCTACTCAGGAGGCTGAGGCGGAGAATCGCTTGAACCCAGAAGGCAGAGGTTGCAGTGAGCTAAGATCATGCCACTGCACTCCAGCCTGGGTGACAGAGCAAGACTCTGTCTCAAAAAAAAAAAAAAAAAAAAAAAAAAAAGGCAGGAGGTGTATCATGAAAGGTCTTATATGCCTTCATGAGTTTGAAGTTTATCTTTGAGGACGTGTAGACCTCATCCTGAAGGCTATAGCAGATTAGTGACTCTGGTAGGAGAGAAGTATGATTAGATTTGGATTTTTGCTGCCAAAAGCTATGACAGCAGTAGAGAAGTAGAGGCAGGAAGAACAGTTGTAAAATGACTGTAGTGGCCATACGGATTAAGGGGAAAAGGACAGATCCTATAGACATTAGGAGGCAAAATGGACAAGACTTTGATATAAAGGTTTAAGGGAGTGCAAAGAATCAATAAAACACTTGTGGATGTCTGGCTTAGGTTGATTAGGTTTATGGTGGTATTTACCAAGACTGGGAACACAGAAAGGAGACAGGTTTAAAGGAGTGGGAAGAGAGATCATTTTAGACATCTGAATTTGAAATGTTTATCCACGTTGTCTAAAGGGTATAATGATCTGAAGAAAACACATCTGACTCAATGAATATATGAATGCTGAAACTGTGTATGAATTCAGTCACCCAGGGAAAGAATATAGTACTGAAAGAAAAGGAGGGTAGATGGCAGAGTTCTGAGGAATACCTACATACTTAGAAATATATAGGCATGCCAGGCGCGGCGGCTCATGCCTGTAATCCTAGCACTTTGGGAGGCCAAGGTGGGCGAATCATGAGGTCAGGAGTTTGAGACCAGCCTGGCCAACATAGTGAAACCCCATCTCTACTAAAAACACAAAAAATTAGCTGGGCGTGGTGGCAGGTGCCTGTAATCCCAGCTACTTGGGAGGCTGAAGCAAGAGAATTGCTTGAGCCCAGGAGGCGGAGGTTGCAGTAAACCAAGGTCACGCCATTGCACTCCAGCCCGGGTGACAATGTGAGACTCTGTCTCAAAAAAAAAAAAGGTTCATTTTTTAAATTTTTAGTAGAGATGAGGTCTCACTATATTGCCCAGGCTGGTCTGAAACTCCTGAGCTCAAGCAATCCTCCCAAAGTGCTGGGATTACAGGTGTTAGCCACCATGCATGGCCCTAAAAGTTTTAAAGAATGCAGCTCTGAAGAAAATAGATCATGAAGGTAATGAGCAATGGCTGATTAACAGTAACAGGGAGAGGCCAGGTGCAGTGGCTCACATCTATAATCCTAGCACTTTGGGGGCCTGAGGCAGTGGGATATTCCAGGAGTTTGAGATCAGCCTGGGCAACAAAGGGAGATGACTTGTCTAAAAAAAAATTAAAAATGTATTAAAAATGTAGCCAAGGCTGGGCACAGTGGCTCATGCCTGTAATCCTAGCACTTTGGGAGGCTGAAGCAGGCAGCTTGCTTGAGACAGCAGTTCAAGACCAGCCTGGGCAACAATGTGAAACCCCATCTCTACAAAGAAAAACACAAAAATTAGCTGGGTGTGGTGTAGTCTCAACTACTCAGAAGTCTGAGATGGGAGGATCACCAGAGCCCAGGAGGTCAAGGTTGCAGTGAGCCATGATTGCGCCACTGAACTCCAGCCTGGATAACAGAGTGAGACCCTGCCTCAAAAAAAAATAAATAAATAAAAATAAAAATAAAAATAAAAAAAAATAATAATAATAAGGGGCAGAGAGGGGGAAGAAAATCAGATGCAAGGATTGGAGGATTGGTAAAAACTGATTAGGCTGAAAAGGGGTAGCCAGAGTAGGGCCAAGATAGAAGACAAATGAAATAATCAGAACCTTGTTAATTCTTGTATGGTATGGTCAAAGCAAATGCAATGAATACAGACTGCTACCATTGGTTCTCAAATGTAGAGAAGGCATTAACTGTGAAGTTTATTCTGGAAATGGTATATATAATGAACTAGAGTAAGAAAGACTTAAAAAAGGGGGACCAGATAGCAGGCTACAGGCATAATTCAAATATGACTGTCACTCAATCATTCAATAAGTATTTATTGAGTATTGCCAGGTACTGTTTGACTCTCAAGATACATGTAAAGAACTAACAAAATTCCTGCCCCATGAAGCTACAATCTAATGGAGAGACAGAAAATAAACATATAACAAATAAATAAAAGACACTAGGGGCTGGGCATGGTGGCTCTCGCCTGTAATCCTAGCTACCAGGAAGGCTGAGGCAGGAGGTTCATGTGAGCCCAAGAGTTTGAGGCTGCAGTGAACTGACTGAGCCACTGCGCTCCAACCTGGGTGACAGAGTGAAACCCTGTCTCTAAGAAGAAAAAAGACACTAGGACAATAAGAATTGACAGGAGTGGGGGGTGGAGAGGTGTTAGCTGTGGGGTTATATTCGCTAGGGTAGACAGGAAAGGCTTCTCTAAGGCAATAGTTTACCGAAGACTGGAAAACTATGGGCCACAGGCCGAATTTGGCCCACCATCAATTGTTCTGCAAGTTAAAATTAAAAAAAAAAAAAATTAACCATTTTTTTAAAGTCAAAAGAATATTTTGTGTACATGAAAACTATATGAAATTCAAATTTCAGTGTTCATAAATAAAATTGTATTGGAACATGGCCACGTTCAGTTGTTAATGGACAGACAGTCCCTGACTTACAATGGTCTGACTTACAATTTTTGACTTTACGACGAGCTTGTAAGTGTATTAAACGTATCTTTGACTTATGACATTTTTGATGTATGGGTTTTTCAGGATGTAGCCCCTTCGTAAGTTGGGGAGCATCTGTATTGCCTATGGTTGCTTTTGCACTTACAACAACAGAGTGGAGTAGTTTCAACAGAGGCCATCTGGCCCTTTGCAGAAAAAAACTTGCCAAACCTGGTTAGGCCTAAATGAGAAAAAGTCAGACATATAAAGACCTTGGTGGAGTAGTGTTCTAGCCTGAGAGCAAGTGCAAAGGCCCCAAGACAGCAACAGGCACAGCATGCATGACAGACAGAAAAAGGCTAGTGTGGCTATATAGCAGAATGGATGAGATGAGAAGAGACAATGCTCGAGAAGTAGGCTTGACCAGAGGCCAGCTTACGTGTGGCTTTGTTGGCCATAGTAAGGAATCTGGATTTATCCTAGCAGTGTGGGGAGACACAGATAGGTTTAAAGTGAAGGAATAGGATTTGATACCAGAGTTTACTGTTGCTATGTGAGAAACAAACTTTAGTGAGGTAATAACATAAGCAACTCCAACCAAGAGACTATAATGGGAGAGTCTGAGGTTTTGGTAGCAAAGTTGTTGAGAGGTAGTTGAATTTAGGGCTTATTTTGGATGTAATACAGACAGAATTTGCTGATGGGATAGATGTGAGATGTGAATAAAAGAGATAAATCGACGATAAATCTTACATGTTAGGCCTGAGCAACTGGATTTTTGGTGGAATAATTAAGAAACAAAGAGACTGGGAATGGAAAAGGTTTGAGGAAGAAAGTCAAGACTTTTTAGATATGGTAAGTAAGAGATACCTATTAGGTATCCAAGTGCTTCAATGTATATGTGTTTCCTTGCCTATGAAATGGGAATACTAGTGATACTTCAGACAATGGTCATGAAGGTTAGGTGAGATAATTCATGTGAAGTGCTCAGAATATAGCCTGGCCCACAATAAACACTCAGTAAATATTAGCCAAATGGAAATATCAAATTGGCAGCAGGCTATACAAGCCTGGAACTCTGAGAAGTAGTCAGTGTTAGAGAAAAAGATTTCTTAGTTGTCAGCGTATAGATGAGGCCTGGATGAGATGACCTAGGAAGAGTGTGTAGACAGAGAAGGCAGTGAAAAGTAGACTCCTGGGAACCTTATTCAGGAGAGTTAAGCAGAGGAGGGAAGCCATACAGAATACTGAAAATTAACAGCCAATGAGTTAAGAAGAAAAACAGGTGAGTACAATGTTAAAAAAAAAAATCCAAGAAGGGAGTGGTCAGCTGGTTCAAAGGCTGCCAAAGGGTTTAACAAGATGAGAACTGAGAATTATCTATTCAATCTGGTAAAATAGAGCTCCTTGAGAACCTTGATAAGAGCTATTTCAGAGGCATCATGGGGATAAAAGCCCAACTGGAGTAGTTGAGGAAAGAATGAAAGGTGAGAAAGTAGAAATAGCAATTACACACAGCACTTTCAAGGAGTTTTGCTGTGAAAAGGGAGAAAAGAATCAGGTAGCAGCTAGAGGTGGACGTGGGGTCAAGCGTTTTTTTAAAGGATTATATTAAGGCAGATAGTTTTATATGGTGATGGGACCAATCTAGTTGTGAGAGAGAAATTACCTATGCAGCAGGAGAGATGAGATAACTGCAGGTACAACCCTGACTAGATGAGAGGAGATGGGATCCAGAGCTCAAATGGAGAGGTTGGCCTTAGATAGAAGGGGGCACTTCCGCCAGGCACAGTGGCTCACGCCTGCAATCCCAGCACTTTGGGAGGCCGAGGTGGGCAGATCACGAGGTCAGGAGTTCGAGACCAGCCTGGCCAATATGGTGAAACCCCATCTCTACTAAAAATACAAAAATTAGCAGGGCGTGGTGGTGGGCGCCTGTAATCCCAGCTACTTGGGAGGCTGAGGCAGAACAATCGCTTGAACCCAGGAGGCGGAGGTTGCTGTGAGCCGAGATGGCGCCACTGCACTCCAGCCTGGGCAGCAGAGTGAGACTCCATCTCAAAAAAAAAACAAGAAAGAAAAAAAAAAAGAAGGGGGCACTTCTTTGATGGTAGAAGGCAGCAGAGCATGTAGTCACATCTAAGTTCCATTTTAACAGGAGGGAAAAAGTTTTGTTTTTTGAGACAGGGTCTTATTCTGTCGCCCAGGCTGGAGTGCAGTGGTATGATCATACCTCACGGCAGCCTCCTATTCCTGGGCTTAAGTGATGCTCCCATCTCAGTCTCCTGAGGAGCTGGGACTACAGTGCTCACCACCATGCCTGGTTATTCTTATTCTGTTGTAGAGAAGGGGTCTCACTATGTTGTTCAGACTGTCTTGAACTCCTGAGCTCATGCGGTCCTTCCTCTTTGGCCTCCCAAAGTGCTGGCATTACAGGTGTGAGCCACCATGCCTGACTGAAAAAGCTATTACATACTTTGAGAACATTTAAAATCTCCTGATTCAGAGCCAGACGTAGTTGTGTGCACTATGGTCTCAGCTATTTTGGAGGCTGAGGGAGTAGAATCGCTTAAGCTCAGGATTTCAAGTCTGTAATACATGATGATTATGCCTGTGAACAGCCACTGCCCTCCAGCGCAGGTAACATAGTGAGACCTCGTCTCTTAAAAAAACAAAAAGCAAACAAAGAAAAACCCTCCTGATTCATGTATTACATTTGGTGTAAGACAACTGACTCAAGAATCACTAAATCCGTAAATGAAGAATAGCTGAATTGCTCCCAAGGACAATTCTGTTAACATTAGTTCTGAGAGCTTCAACCTTCAGATTATCAATTTCCAAAGTATCTTGCAAAGTATTAAAAATGTGAATACTTATATTCCTGCTACATTTTAAGCTGAGCTCATTAAAAAGAATGAGAGGCTGGGCATGGTGGGTCGCACCTATAATCCCAGCACTTTGAGAGGTCAAGGCAGGACGACTGCTTGAGCCTGGGAGTTCGAGACCAGCTACATAAGATGGTGAGACCCCATCTCTACAAAAAAAAAAAAAAAAATTCACTTTGGGAGGCCGAGGTGGGTGGATCACCTGAGGTCAGGAGTTCGAGACCAGCCTGGCTAACATGGTGAAACCCCGTCTCTACTAAAAACATAAAAAATTAGCCAGATGTGGTGGCATGTGCCTGTAGTCTCAGCTACTCAGGAGGCTGAGGCACGAGAATCACTTGAGCCCAGGAGGTGGAGGTTGCAATGAGCCGAAATTGCGCCACTGCACTCCAGCCTGGGTGACAGGGCAAGACTCTGTCTCAAAAGAGAACAGAAAAGAAAATTAAAAATTAGTAGGCATGGTGTTGTGAGCCTATGGTCCCAGCTACTCAGGAGGCTGAGGAAGGAGGATCCCTTGAGCCCAGGAGTTTGAGGCTGCAGTGAGCTGTGTTTGTGCCACTGCATCCCAGCCTGGGTGGAAGAGCAAAAACCTGTCTCTAAAAAAAAAAAAAAAAAAAAAGAATTAGATAGCAAGTTTCATGAGGGAAGGGACGTCTCCAATGGTAGAGCCCCAGTAGCTGGTCATCCACCTAGAGTATAAAAGATGTTCTTTGATAAATGAATTCGATTTTTCAATTTCTATTTCTTACTTTGTAATGCAATATTTATGATAGCCATTTTTAGGAAGATGAGCCTCTTTGCAGGTACTTTTTCATTATTTGTAGTAGAAAAAAAATGTAGTGACACCTGTAAATCATTTCCAAAAGCAGAATATAAAAATAATGCTGCTCAATCAGTAAGAAAAGTATAATATACCCAAGCACAGTCAAATACACAGACATCAAGGGGCAAACTTCTTAAGCCAAATAGTTAATGAAATTCAACCAGTCAAGAAATGTATGCTGTTATTGAACTGACATCATATTCTCTTGTGAACAGATTGTCAGGGGCAGGAACAAGGGCAGATTCTCTCTGGTTATTGGTGCATCAAGAGAACAATGATTATTTGAATGCATAACAGATAGGAAGAGATTGAAACTGTTTAAATATGATCTCTGCCTGATATTGAGAAATGTTAACACAAAAAGGTCACTTGGGATTAAAGAGCGCTAAGACAATAATTCTCTGTTCTTCAATAACAACAGAAGGTAAAAATTTCACCCACACAAGAATGAAGTCCAGTTTTCAAATATTTAATTCAATTCTACCTAGCAACTGTCACCTAAGAAACACAAATGCTACTCACTTTGTAACTAGAGAAATAGGTAGTACCCCTCATCCCCACTCCATGTCAACAAGAATAAGCAGCAAAGATGCTGAAAACAGCAAAGCAAATGAGACAGGTGACCTCCACCCACCCTGCTTCAGAAAAAGAGGTAGTCATAAAGTAGCTTATCTGTCTTAAAAACAAAAAAACAAAAAACAGCAAAATGAATGCACTACTTCAGATAGTAAACTATTCTGATTCCTGGCAATGTCCCAAATTATTCTGCAGAATCTTTAAAAAAAAAAACCAAAAACTCAAGAAAGGTGTATTTCCAGAATCCTCAGGTTCCAAGTCTGAACTGGTTTATCTACTTGCTAAAGCAGAAAAAATAAGCCCACTTAACTGATTCACTGTAGAAAATTAAGTTAAGCATCACAATCACAGGGTTTATTTTTCTCTAATAGGAAAGTACCATAAATGACCAGATTGATTTGAATAGGCTAGAAAAATTAAACAAACACCAACTTTATTTTCAGATATAGTTCTTTTTATTATAAGAAATTTTGGTCCCCCATATGACAAGTTTAAGTGGTTAACTTCATTTTGAGCTACATGCTCATTCAACTACAAACTTCTACTATAAAACTCAGTTTTTTTCTTCCGTTTGTTGTTCTTATTCTGGCGCAAAAGTCAGGTTACATCTTTCCTTCTGGGAAGATGGGCTGTTGAATGACCAATAGTAATGGGAGTAAGACTGAGGAATCCACAACTTCCTTCTTTCTAAAGGTAAACAGGGTTATCTCTCCATAAAGTCAGTTTGCTGAAGGAGCAGTGTAAAATTAGATGACAAAAGTGAACATTCTTCTTGGCAAAATAACACTGAAGCCTCCAAGTTGGCCAATGCAATTTTTTTTCTCTTTTTTTTTTTTTTTTTTGAGATGGAGTCTCACTCTGTTGCCCAGGCTGGAGTGCAGTGTCATGATCATGGCTCACTGCAGCCTCGACCCATTGGGCTCAAGCAATCCTCCCATCACAGCTTCCTGAGTAGCTGGGACTACAAGGCGCCAGGCCACCATGCTTGGCTAATTTTTTTTTTTTAATTTTTTAAATTTAAAATTTTTATTTTGTAGAGATCAGGTCTTACCAAGTTGCCCAGGCTAGTCTTGAACTCCTGGCCTTAAGCAATCCTCCCACCTCAGCCTCCCACAGTGCTGGTATTACAGTTGTGAGCCACTGTGCCCAGCCCACCAACACAATTTTGACTTATTATTTTTTAGGAATATTCAAATATATGAGTTGGGAAATTTTGTGTTCTTAATATTTTGTAAAACCAGTTGGTCTCTTTTGGCTCCCACATCATATTTGGAAGTTTGCCATCACATTCTGAGAAGCCCACATTAGGTGGCATTAACCTATTAAAAAAAAGAAAGTCCCTGGTATTTTTTATTACTCCAACACTTGAATCTCTCAAGTAGAACAAAGAATCGTAAGACAATTTGTCTTTGCTTTTATAATCCCGTTTTCTGAATTTATACAAGCAGTTTTATGAATTTTACATCTCTTGTTTTCTGAATGTATGACAAGAAATTAAAAGTTATAGGGAAAGTATGAATTTGTTCTACTTCCAATTCCCAGAGTTTCTCAAATGACATCCAACTTTATAATTAAGGAGTCAAACTGCCCTTCGCTTTGCCAACAATTGCAGAATTCCTGCAACAATCCAGCTTCACCTATGAACCCCAGGCATTTTATGAGACTGGTTAAAAGTAGAGACCATTCATTATATGCCACTTAAAAAATACTTAAGATGTATAACTAATCTTAAATAAATCTAGTATCAGTTCACTTGAAAGAAGGAATTCATACACAATTCCAGTAGGAAATTCAAAAGTCCTAAAGCTTCAATAACCCAATGAAGGTTTTGGAGTTAAGAGTTAGTAGGAAAACTGGCTGGTGGTAATATCAGCTCTGCCCAGACTTTTGGTAATCTATATGAATAATCCCAATTCAAGTTTTCATTCTGACTGTACAGGAAATGCTTTCTGCAACCCAACATATCTAAAAAGGTTTCATTCTGAGTGATGCAAGCCCTCTACACAGCCTCAAAAGCCAAGGGTCAGAGGCTTTTATAATACTAACTAACATGAAGCAAACTTCTATTAGTTTGGAAATGATTTATAAGCATTTGTTACAATGTATCCACAAGCAGTGACAGCCTTAACAAGAGCTATTCTGAACTATACCTCTTTAAATGACAACTGAAAATGGACATAAAAGCTACAAATACTTATTTGTTTCCTATATTGATACCACACCTACTGTTTTCCTTGGTTTCTCTTGATGTTTAAGATTTCTCTCTTAGCTCCACTTAAAAATTTGTATTCTCCTATAAAGCCACTACAAAAACCATTACTTCCTAAAGAAATATCTCTGGAAGCTTCCTACTGGAAAGTAATTATTGCTTCGAGGAGCTGAATAAGAATTTATTTACTGATTCACAGAAGGAAAAGGTAGCTTAAGAGGTCATTTTATACATATGTAGGCAGGACTGTACTTTTAAAATATACTTCCAGAGAAGATAATAAAATTATTTTGGTAACCTTTTTACCATGACTGTAATGACAACCATCATTACCAATAAGTTCTTTACACAACTACTCCTGATTTCGGTTTAAACCTATTTTCTCTTATTCTGCTGTCAGTGGAGCTGGGAAACCGCTGGTTACCATTCCTAATAATGGATCCATTCATGTTTTTTGAAGAGTTATTAAGTTGCCTCTTAACCTTTCATTCTCTCAACCTTTCCTCATAGGACTGACTTCCAATCATATAATCATCTTTTGAGTCTCCTCAGAACCGTCTCCAAGGTCTCCTCATCCCTTTTAAGTTGAGGAACCTAGAAATGGAAACAACACTCAAGTAAGGGGATGATCAGTGCTAAGTATTATCTACATAAAAGATAATGCCATCCCATCAGGATACCCTAACATCGCTTTCAAAACCCCAATCAATACCTTTACAAAAATGTCGCATCATGGCACCTGTGCTTTCCTTTGCCATACTTAAATTAGTATTTCTTAATGATTAGTCCAAATATTCTGTTCGTAGTCTTAAGTTCTCCTAGTTTATGTAATGTGTCCCAGCAAAGTATTCCTAAAAGTTGTATGGACATCAAATTTTCAATTCAACAAATACTATATAAAAAGTCACCATTATAAAAAACATAAAACATAAATGATGACTTAGAAATGGCCCGTGTCTTAAGGGAGTCACTATCTAATGGGACAAAGACAGACACATTTCAAAAGTACCACGACATAAGGTATACGGGGTTAAATTTTTTAAGGATAACATACAAAACACAAAAAGAAAACAGGAAAGAAGTTCAGTTTCAACTAGCAGTACAATCTGTGAAAACTTCATGGAAGAGTTAGGATCTGGGGATCTGAGTTGAACCATGGGAGACGAATAATAAGCCCAAGACAGGTCAAAATGGGAAAGACTTTAAGGCAAAGGAGAGGCTTTAGCAAAGGTACAAAGGCAGATAAACAAAGACTGTGGAGAACACCTAATAGTTCAGTAGTCCAATGTGGTTGAAGCAGTAACGATGTACATTCAGGAGACACGGTTCAAAATTTAGAAATACAGGCTAGCAAGATCATGCAGCGCTGAGAATCTGAAATTTTATTTCATATTCAGTGAGAAGCCAAAGAATTTTAGGAATAAAGTGACATACTCTGATCTGTATTTAAGAAAACTATCATATTGTGAAGCACTGTGTAGGGTGAAAAGATAGGTGGGAAGACCAATGAGAAGATTACCACAATAAACTATCCAAAAGTAATGGAAATTTAAACTAGGACAGCAGGAACAGAACAGCAGGGACAAATGAAAGAAACACTACAATAATATAATGGACAAGACTCAGAAATTGATTGGATGTGAGTGGGAAGAGAAAGGACTTAAAGACAGCACAGTGTAGAGAGCAAGAATCAACTTTCAAACAGATGTAGGTTCAGATTTAAATTCTAGCCCTGCCACTTACTAGCCATATAACTTAAGGAAAACTGTTTAACTTGTCTGTGCCTCAGTTTCTGAGGTGTATTGATGGTTTCTGATGGTGTACTGAGTATGTTAGCAAATCTTTTCTTTTCTTTTCTTTTCTTTCTTTTGAGACACAGTCTCACTCTATCCTCCAGGATGGAATGCAGTGGTGTGATCTCAGCTCACTGCAACCTCTGCCTCCCGGGTTCAAGCGATTCTCATGCCTCAGCCCCCCAAGTAGCTGGGATTGCAGGTGTGCACCACGACATGTAGCTAATTATTGTATTTTAAGTAGAGACAGGGTTCCACCATGTTGGCCAGGCTGGTCTCAAACTCCTGACCTCAAGTGATCTGCCTGCCTCGGCCTTCCAAAGTGTTGGGATTACAGGATTGAGCCACCCCACCCGGCCTGCAAATCTTTTTAAAGAGAGTACAGCAAAACTGTACTTTTCTTTTTTTCTTTCTTTTTTTTGGAGACAGAGTCTTGCTCTTTCGCCCAGGCTGGAGTGTAGTGGCGGAATCTCAGCTTACTGCAACCTCCACCTCCTGGGTTCAGGCGATTCTCCTGCCTCAGCCTCCCGAGTAGCTGGGGATACAGGTGCGCAACCACCACACCCAGCTAATTTTTGTATTTTTAGTAGAGACAGGGTTTCACCATGTTAGCCAGGCTGGTCTCGAACTCCTGACCTCAGGCAATCTTCCCGCCTTGGCCTCCCAAAGTGCTGGGATTATAGGCGTGAGCCACTGCGCCCAACCCAAAACTGTACTTTTCCTCCTTAAACACACTACTCTTTACTAGTTATTCTTAAACTCTAATCTGCTTTTGACCATTCTGCTCAAGTTCCAACCCCCAGAAATTGCAACCTACAATTCAGCATTTCTTCTATAATTAAATGGTTACTTGCATTGATCTCTGTAGACCAGCACTCATTCTCCTCAAGCTGACACTTAAGAACAAATGTCATCAAGTATAGACTAATGGGTCTGAACCTGGAGCCCAAGAACCCTGAAGAGCCTCAGAGCTGTTATAAGGAACGACCAAGTGCCTCCTCATAAAAATATCAGGAACACTAGTTATAGAGACAACAGGTAGCAACCCCATTATAGCTGCCTTGGCCTGATAATTAGCAACTCATGGAGGCACTGTGTTCCTCGGTATCTTACTTGCCTATTTACCATCTTGTTCTCTTTCTTCTTTTTTGCCTTATCTTTAATATGCTTTAGTTGGACACTAATGTTGTTACCAAGACGGGTGGCTGGCCTTCAATTTGGTTCCACCTAGTTTATAGAAGAACTTGACACTCAGACTAATATCAAGAACATTCTAAGATTATAGCACTCAAATAGGTGTATGTATGCATACATATACAGGTATAACTTAATGTAATAAAAACCAGTTATTTTGATGAAAAAAAAAGATTATAACCCTGCTCTCCTTTCAATCTCTTGGTTCTAACAATTAGGGCTTCCTATGTGCCAGGCAAAATGCTAAGTGCTTACATGCATGATCTCACTTAAGCCTCACAATGAGACTATGAAGCATGAGTACCTCTCAGTTACAAATGAAGAAACAGAGGTATGGAGAGGTTCAAAAACTTTTCTGGTTGGGTGCAGTGCCTCACATTTGTAATCCCAACACTTTGGGAGGCTGAGGTAGGGGGACCACTTGAGGCCAGGAGTTCAAGACCAACCTGGGCAACATGGTGAGACTCCCATCTCTACAACAAATAAAACAATTAGCTGAGTGTGGTGGTGCATGCCTGTAGTCCCAGCTACTTAGGAGGCTGAGACAAGAGGATTGCTTGAGCCCTGGAGGTTGAGGCTGAAATGAAATGTTTGTGCCATTACACTCTAGCCTAGGCAACAAAGCAAGATCCTGTCTCAAACAAACCAAACAAAACACAAAAAAAACTTTTTCAAGATGGCTGAGCTTAGATTTGAACTCAGGCAGTTTAAATCCAGAGCCCATGGTCTTAACAACTCTTAATTACTATGCTAAACGATCTCACACCACTACAGATTAGATTATGAGATTCTCCCTTTCTTCTGTAAAGGTATTTATATATGCACAAATAAAAAATCCTAGCCAAAGAGATTACAAAAGGATTTCCTCATTAGCTAAGCTTAAAGAGATGTTATCCACAAGGTTTTACTGCTTATAATTAAAGGCAATAATCTAGGGACAATGTTTGTGTTTGATCTAAAAAGTGGTCAATCCTCATGGATGGACAGAAGTTGAATATGGGCATGTGTAAATATTTCTTTCTCTAGGTGTAGGATATTTATTAGAGATAAGAATTAACTTTTCCCTAGTGTTTAGAACTGAGATAGTATAAAGGACAGCCTAAAGAAAAAACTATTCTCCAAAACCCTTCTCACAAGTAATATCACTCTCCTAATTCAAGACAGAAAGCTACCATTACCTTGATGCTGTAAAATAAGAATGAAACAATGATGCTTCAGCAAAGCATAGATAATACAAGTGGATCTCTCTAAAACAGTATGAATGTTAGAAAGATTCATATCTTTTGTTGCTGAAAG
Source organism: Homo sapiens (assembly GCF_000001405.40). Classification (NCBI taxonomy): domain Eukaryota; kingdom Metazoa; phylum Chordata; class Mammalia; order Primates; family Hominidae; genus Homo; species Homo sapiens. The sequence continues at coordinate 118,443,935 of NC_000011.10, read as the reverse complement.
ACATCAAAACATCTATACCCAAACATCCCAACAAAACACAAAACCAGAAATGCAAGAAAATGGATAAAACACTATATACGGAAGAAACTCCAGCTCCTGAAATAAATGCTACTGGACCGATGCTGCCCACTGGTACTTCACAGGGTACTGCTGCAGCAATAATTGAAGGTAAGATATCTGGGGAAATCCCTTCAGTCTATTTGTCAAATAGAAAAACAACTACTCATTTCAAGGGAAGGGGAATTTTCATACACTGCACACAAAACTGCCAACTAACTCTTATATCTTTGTTGTTTCCTTAAAACTAAAACTCATTAGGGCAATACATTCAATTCAACATCTAAAAGTTAAACCAAGCTTGGCCTCTTAGAAGTTTTGGACTAATCCTTCAAGGGGATTTATATCATCCACAACAATTACAAATCACGTAACAAAATTCTTCTTTCAAATGTCTTAAGTCTTTAGAAGCGAATGTTTGGCAGCAGCTACAGTCTCATGGTTGGCTTCCCCTGGTGTGTAACCTGACAAGGTAAAAAACTCATTGAAATATTTAACAGTGGTGGTATGGATTTCTTTGGATAGGTCAAGAAAAGCGGCTCATCATTTTAAAAACATAAAGAACCATTTTATGGGAAGTCATTCCCTCAGTCCAAGTGTCTCTGTATTTCCTCAGGGTTTTTGCAGAGACTTTATTGAGGGGCAAAATGAAAAGGCTAACAAAAGGACCCCTTTTTCCTCCCTATTCCCAGCATAATCTACCTCAGCCACAGGGCCAGTAGCATCCACACTGTCATAAATGCCAGCAATTAGAGAATTAGGCCATAAAACCACCCACTCAGGTATAAGAGTGCAGGCCTCCAGCTTTATTTAATGCATGCCATAAAAGATCCTGTACTTCCTTCTCCCAGGCCTTCTTCAACAACCAATGAAATGACAATAACAACAACAAAAATAGCCCTTTGTCTGCGTAACCTCATACTGATGTGATCAATGAAGCCATCTGGGTCCAGGTAAAGGACTTAAGATTCCTTTTTCTTAATAAAAGATAGCATTTTCTCTAGCATGCCACATGTAGATCTAGTAAAGAACATACTGTATTTTGAATACGAAGGTCCTGGAAACTAAAGTCAAACTACTTTTTCCAGAAAAGCTATTTTATCTTATTCTGAAAATACTCTAGAAGCCTAGACAATTCCTGAAAATCTCAAGAAATAGTGGAGCCTACAAGGGTATTCTTAATTAACTCAACAATTTCCAGAACCTCCTAAAGTCTTTCTAATCAAAAGTTAACTCAGATCTGAAAGCTAACTTTAATTCAGTCTGTGTCTCAAAGCCGATACAACTTAGGAGCAATCAATAATTTCATCTGATTGTCTTGTCTTCAACAACCTCAGAGTCCACAAAAATCACGAGTCTGAGATTTACTCCACGACAATATTTTACTCATCAAGTTTCATAAACCAGTCTAGATAAGATCCAAGGAAATACTTTGTAACAGTGAACTCTGTGGCATCCTCTTTCCTACTAGTGCCTACAGGGTTAAGAATCTGATTAAAATGTAGGTACATCATGCCAGACTCATTAGTAATTTAACCTTTCTTAATCCCTGAAAATAACATATGCAAACAAAGGAAGGTCCCATCCCAGCAATCCTCGAATAAATTCCTCCCAAAGTAGTGATAGTCACAAAGCTTCCCCCTTCTCAAAGGTCTATGCCACTGGGCTCTCCACCTTGGCAGAGGAAGAATGGAAAGAGACAAGATATTCACAAAAGGCCCGATTGAAGGCCTTCAGTTAAGTGCTAGAAGGAAGCTGAAGCTCTGTGCCAACACTAGTGGAATGTGGGCAGGCACAAAGAGATCTTAATTAGGAGACCTACAATTAAAACACAGCGAGTTTCCAAAAGAGAGAGGCACTGCAGTCTGTTATGCCTCTGAGCAAGCAAAGCACTGTTGCCACCCCCTCTAGCCACAGGGTAAGGGAGGCAATTGGTATAGAGTCTGCACAGCTGCCCCACGGAAGGACAGCTCTAAGGTGAGCAAAGAGATGAGAATTAAGTCAAGATGGGAATAGTTTCTCTCAACTTCCAATAAGAAGATGGATCACTATTGTGTGAATGATGATTTCCTCCAGGAGTATGTGCCTTAAGATAATTAAATGGAAGTGAAAGATGGGGACATGTCATCTGGTTTTCAGTCACAGAGGAAGAAAAGTTCTAAAGACTGAATTTCTAATGCTCAGTATAAACCATTTCAGAACATATTAATAACTACATCCTATGAAGTAGGTACTATCACTTCAGATTTATAAATACATTGATGTATTGGATTTTTCTTTTCATTCAAAATTCATACACCTACAGGAATATACCACCTAGACTGAAAATAACTTCTCTTTTGGATAGTCTGGAATTCACAACAATGACAACACATTTAGCCAAACAAGAGGGCCTCTAAACACCAGATAATGCCTGGGATTCTGTAGGTTCTCAGAACTATGTGTAAAAACTTTATCCTCATTTTTCTTATAAATGAAACTGGTCAACTTCCCCAAAGTCCTTATGTTTTTTCCACACAACGAAAACTTTCCAAGTTGAAATTTCTCCTCCTAATAATAATGCCAGTTATATAGGCAAATGTATAATCTGATATTAAAAATTACCAAACAGAATCCCAGCTACTCAGGAGGCTAAGGCAGGAGGATCAGGAGTTCAAGATGCACCTGGGCAACATAGTGAGACCCTGACTCAAAAAAAAAACAAAAATTATCAAATCGTCTCACTTGACTCTGACTTTTGAAATAAACTCAGAATAAGAAATTCTGATTTGACCAAAAGTTTAATACAACAGAAAGGAATCATAATACTGACACAGAACAGATTCATGAGCTATTTAGTCCAAACTTTTCATTTTACAGATCAGAAATTTAAGGTTAAAAGTGAATTTGCCCAGGGTCTCATAACTGTTCAGTAACGGAGATGAGAGCCCACATCCACTGACTTCTACTCGGAGGCTTCGTGCACTCCACTCTGCTTGTGTTCCCTCCTTCATTTACCTTCTGCCAATCTTAGGACTAGCTGTGAAGGCAACGAAGGAGCAACTCCCACTCTTGGTACATACATGACCAGTAAACATTAAAAAAAAAAAAAAAAAATCACGCTCTCCTACTACCTTTCAGCTGCAGGAGTACTATCTTTTCAAGTCCAATCCAAAAGCCTGTCTCAGTCCACATGAACTAAACTGCAATTTCAAGTGAAAATAAATACACACCAATGCTGTAACTCAGTTTCAATTTGTATCTAATTAAAGTTTGCTATGTTATGATCAGGATGGAAATTTTGCTTTTAATATTTTGTGAAGTAGTAGGGAAGGTAACTGGATTATGACATTAATAAACGAAGACTAGTTACTGATAAACACACTGTTTCAGGGGTTTATTATTACAACAGCCTAACTTCTAGTCAACAGAAAGGGTGCTGCTGTACTATGTTTATTTAGATGGCAAAGTACAGTAGTATGAACATTACCTGAGAGAATCCTTAGAAAAATGGGATACTGACACTACAGAGGGAAGGGGAAAGGCAAAAAATGGACCTCTGATTTCTTACAGTGCTCAATAAAACAAAACCTCAATTCTACTTCCTAATTGTCATACAAAGGAAGTTAGGAACCAACAGCAGTGAAGGACAAGTCTCCTATGGCTAAGGGAGTTCAAACAGCAAAGTCATCTGGAAGTTCTGTTACCTAGTTTTAGAAGTATTAACATAGGTGTTGTTACATAGGCAAGTTATAGTCATTATTCACTGAAGGCGAACCAGAGTTTAAAGAGGTTAGAATCATTTTGGATCATATAACCATTTCTTCATGAATCCAGATAAGACTTGATACAGAGCTATGAGTGAGTTCTGAGAAGCAGTCTTTAGAATTCTATGTCAGCCCAGGGTGAACCCTAAACTTCCCTTTTGGAACTTTATCATTGATTAGTAAGGCTATGTTAAAAAAAAAAAAAAAGTGCTTGCTTCTACACTGAAAACTACCAGCTCAGAGGTTTACCACTACTCAATGCATACCATCAACTCATACTGGATTGCCTCAAACACCACATAAAAAGCTTACCCATGGAACAGAGCTCATTCAAGTCCAATTCAGAAAAAATACTCAAGTTTAATGTAAGGAGTCAACCACTCTTCTCATAATGAAGCAGCAACTACTGTTCAGGAAAAAGTTTTAAAGACAAAAACCCCTTATAAATATGATCCTATTTGAAATAACTGCAATTCCTTGACAGGCTTTACATTATATACTAGTGTTAAGAAAAATAAAACAGTAGTTTACAATTATCTCATAATGCCAGTAGATAAGAAAACGTTTAGCCCCTGATTAAAACTTTAAAAGTGATTTGTCAAAGACCAACAGATAAAATATTCTGGTGCCCAGACATTAGGTCCCTGAATCCAGGTGGCTCTCTTTCTAACCAGTCTCTTGAAAAACTATGATTGGAAGCTGTCAGCATAAAACTTTGCTTTTGAATATGTGATAATATTTGGAATGTGAATGCTTAGTCCTTCTATACAAAATAAATAAGCATACTGAACAAGAAGAAAATGCTTCTTAGGATCCCCTTAAAATGGACTAACTTCTCCTAATAGAGACTTTCTTATTAAACTCAAATATACATGGGGCTAAAATGCTACATATAACCAGGCAAGTCTCAATTTTGAAAATAAGCAGGTAAATGAAATGTCAGTTTTTTCTTTTTTTTCTTTTTTTTTTTTTTTGCTGCTGTATCTTTTAAAAAAGCAAAATCAACTCACATTTAAGCACCAACTCCATGCAAGTAACCTGAACGGTTCAGTCTTTTTGTCATGTATGTGGCCTTTGGTTCTCCAACTACATGGGATCTGTGTTGTTAGCTTAAAAAATACAGAATTGGCCTTTCAAAAAAAAATAATAATCTACAGCAACCAATAAATAGTCTCAAACAACCCTGCTGACTGCAGCTGCCTTCTGAAGGCTGGGAAAAGGAGGTGGAGATAGAGCAGAAAGAGGCAGGGAAAGGGGACGCTGCAGCTAGCTACATAGCAAGGAACACGCCCCCATCATGTCCTCCTTGCTCTGTCAGAAGGCGGGTTGTTGTCAGTCTCCTGATCAGGCTGCCTTAGAAACGATTAAAAAAAAGGAGGCAGGAAGACTAACAACTAAAAAATGCCAGCTCCTTGAAAGGAGGGGCCAGGGTCCTTGGGATCTCCTCCCTCCCCTTCTTCCCAGGATCTTTCCGTAAATCTAAAGGGGTGCGGGGCACAATAGGGGACAAGGGGTTTGCCCAGGATATTTTGTGTGCACCAACGGCAGAGCACGCAGGAAACGGCTGGTTGTTATCTTTCCCTTTCTGTTTCAATCAAGAGCACTCCAGAGCAGCAACCCCCTACCCCCCTTCGCTTCAGCCCCTAGCAGCTGCTCTTCCTCCTCCTAGCATCCCCCATGCCATCCTCCCCCCTCTACAATTCGAACTCCCCCCTTCTGCATCCAATGGAAAACAAATGCGCAACGCCACTGGCTGAACCTGAACTCAACTTCCCTTCCTTGGGCAACTTTCCTTTTTGCTGAAGGGGGCCGAATAATGTTTATAGAAGCAACTCCGTTCTTGCCCCAGTACTAATGGGGAAGGGGCAACGCTCTGACCCTTCATCCACCTTGGGTCCCCTTACAAGAATCAGAGACAACCCCAAGTCCTTTCTAAGGAATAACTTTGCTTGATAATCCTTTTTCTCCCATCCCAAAGCAACCACCGCCACCACACTAAAGTATAACTGTCCCTTATCTACTCTCCTCACCCCAACCTGGCTTCCCCCACCCCTTCCAAGCCCCAGGATTGGCCTAGGAAAAGGTGGATCAATAATGAAATGACGAGAAGAGAAGGGCGGGAGGGAGCTCGGGTTGGAGACTGCGTGCTCTCAGGCGCAGTGGGTGGGGTAGGAGAGCAGCTGCTTCCCCTGGGAGGATGCTGCCTCAGTCCCCCAACAAACACCTCCCCTCACAGGGGCCCCCTTCCCCAGAGCTGGAGGGAAAGCCTGCCTCCTCTCCAAGGGGAGTGGTGGAAAGCTGCTCTTCTCTAAGCCTAGGGGACAGTGGACTATTTTCCCCTCCAAGATGCCACTAATCCTTCATTCTAAAGGAGGGAAAGGGTGGAGTGAAGGTAGAGTAATTCCCGGCTACCAATAGGCTAGAAACTGTAGCCCTGTAAGACGGGGCGGGGGGGGGAAGAGACTGCTGTATGAGGAATCACCGTTATCTTCAGAGGGAAAGGAGGTGAGACCAGGCAAGGTGCAGAGGAGAGATTTTCCCCGGTGGGGTAGGGCGGGATGGGGGAGGATCGGTCTGCTTGGGGTGGGGGTAGAGGGTGGAGGTGAAGGAAGGGGGAGTGGCTGGCAGTATAGGGACCTGGCCCGGGGATGGCGCGAGGGTTCATCGGGTTTTCGAAAGCAAGGTGCTGGAAGGGACACGATCCCCAAGGGCCAGGAGAACGTGGCCCTGGATGAGGCCATCACCCGAGAGACGCCCGAGAGGAAAACTGCCCTAGGAGTAACACATCTGCCCAGAGAGGGAGGCGGGGATGTGGCGGGATCAGGTCTCTAGGAGGGAGGGAGGGAGGAATCTTGCTCGGATGAGGTAATCTGTGAAAGGGAGGAGGGGTTCAGTCCCGGGATGGGAAACCCCGGCGAGGGGGTCTGTGCCAAGGGATTTGGGGAAGGGTCAGGGGGAGGAGAGCGGGGGGCAAACGCCCTCAGCCAGATGGGCCCAAACCCCGGGGTGGGGGCGCCTGGGGGTCTGCAGCCCTGCATGGGGGTCCCAAGATGGGAGAGCCATTCGCCCCGGGTCAGGGACCCCGAGATGGTCCCAGAATTGGGATGCTCCTCAATCCCGGATGGGGGAGGGGAGGGGGCTCCGCAGAGGGTCGAGACCCCGGACCTGGGGGTTCCTCGCCCCCTTACCTCTCCGCTGCCGCCTCCCCCGCCGCTCTCCCCAAACACGGCCCGGAACCGGCGCAGGTTGGTGCCGATGGCGGCCGAGACCTGCAGCGCCGCGTCGAAGCCCGGGCCCACCCGGAGCAGGGCCGGCCCTGAAGAGGCTGAGGACGATGACGAAGACGAAGACGAGGCGGACGACGAGGAGGCTGCTGAGGCGGCGGCCGCTCCCCCTGGAACCCCAGCCCCGCTGCTTCCCGCCGCCGCCGCCGCGGCCGCCACAGCCGGGGGGGAGGGGGGCGCCCCGGGGCCGCCACCGCCGACCGGGGGCCCGGGGGGAAGCAGCAGGGCCGGGACGCGTTGCCGCGGGGCGCCCCCTAGGCCCCGGCGCCCCCCGCCGCCGCCGCCCCCGGTGGTCCCGGGTCGGGCGGGGAAGCGCCACCGACAGCTGTGCGCCATGTTCGCCCCGTGAAGTGAAGCAGCGAGAGGGAGAGGCGACAACACAGGGGGGCGGGGAGGCGGAGGGGGGGGCACGGGGCCCCGGAACCTGCCTAACCAGCTCTGCGCCGCCCGGCCGCCTGCACCCTGCCGGCCGCTATGCAGAGCGCCGGGCCGCGCCCGCCAGCCCCGCAATCTGTATAGCGGCCTCGGGCCTCCGCCTCTGACGCCTGGGCGCTGCAACTCCATCCCGAGGCCCGGGCCGCCGCCTCCTGCCCGCCCGCCGGCCCCGCAACCTGGATAACTGCATGCCCCGCCCTCCGGGAGAGGCATTGCTCGGGAAAAGGAGGGGGGAAGGAAGCCCGGGAGCCCGGAGCAGAGCGCGGGTTCCGGAGAGAGGGGGAGGGGGCGAGGACTACGCGGAGGATGGAGGCGTAGGGAGCCGGGCCGCCTGCAGCCTTGAGCGCCGAGAGGCCGATTACACACGTTCCCGGGACGCGCTGGGAATCGAACAGCCCGGGAGAGCAGCTTCCAGTATAACGCGGCGGCTGGGTCGGGGAGCAGTGAGCCTTCTCCTCCGCCCCAGGGCACGGATACAAGATGGGTTAGCCCGAATTGAACGCTTCTAGAATAAAAGAGCCCTTATTGTACTACATGCAAAACAGAAGCGCTGCCCAGTTTACTATATGCAAAACAGAAAGGCCCTCAATGAACGCACTTTAAAAAATAAAAAAGGAGCCCCTCCCATTTTCATGCTGGAGCTCTTTCCAAAAAGCACACACCGAGTGGCAGGTCTCCTGCCACCTCCTCGCTCTACTGTGCACTCGTCTGGCTTTCGTGCCCTTCTGCAGGGAGTTGGGTTGTGTTTCTCCAGCCCGGGCACTGAGGCCACGGCGTGCTCCGCTAACGACGCGGTGTTACAACGAAGCTGAAGCTGGGTGGCTAACGGGGCCTGGAGGGAAGAGGCGGGCAAAAGCGCCCCCGCCCCTTCTTCCTCCGGTCTCTGCCTGCCGCTGCATGCAAAGCAGACCCTAATGTATGCACGCAGAGGGAGGGGGGCTCGCGAGCACGTTTCTGATTAAGAGAGGGGGAGGAGGAGAGCGTTGGGCATTATGATACACTGGGTGGAAGGGGCCCGCCGGCGGCGAGCTCTGTGCGCGGGGTTAGTAAGCTGAGGGGGGAGGGGGAAAGAAGGAGGCGAGTTAGGGAGGGGAATGAATATCCACCGGGTTTACTTTATTGCGGGAAAGAGGGGAGGGCGCCTCGAGCATAGCGTTAGACGCCTGCAAGGCTGGGAAAGCCGAGAGGGTAGGGAGGGGTTTGTGTCGGGAGAACTTGCGTTGGCTGAGGCTGGGGGATCGATACACAGCCTGCAGGCCCCGGGGCAGCCTCCATCCCCCAAGCCGAGGGGGAGTTCGCTGGAAGGTCATGCAGCCTTCCTGGACTCCCGCACCGGTACAGCGCACTGCATGTAATATTACAGCCTGGGGCGGCGAATTTGGGAAGGAGGGAGAGGGTCGTTGTGAGCAGGTTGCACTCAGCTCTGGCCCTCCGGAGGGTGCACTTCACGCCTCCAGAGAAGGTCCACAGCCTCCTGGTGCTGAAAACCTACGTCCCTCCACTGGCGAAACATTTGTGCAGAGCGGACGATGGGATGGGGGCTGGAGAGGAGCAATGAAAGGGAGGAGACACAGGCAAGCCTCAACTCCCCCAACTCGTCCCGAATCGATCTTCGTTCCAACCGCGCAGGATGGGGCCCAGATGGTTTGCAAAGCGCACACTCGCACAACGCAATACACAGAACAAGATTCCGTTGTTACAGCGCGTGGTTTACTAGATGCTAAAAGGGTGGGAGTAGCAGGAGGGTCTTAAACGGCAGCCCCAAGGCTCTGCTAAGGACAGAGACACCCCATTGTGGACGGTTTCTCCATTGCAATATATTTAGCGTTGGGCGCTGGGGTTTTTGCTTCAGTGTAGCTGCTCTGATCAGTTACAGATTGGCGACCACGTGGATTCCCTCAAGCATCCTGATTTGTTCGTTCTCTCTCTCTCTCTCTCTCTTTCTCTCTCTCTCTCGTCTCTCTTATTTTTCTTTTGTATTTGCCGCCCCCCCTTCTTTAATATGCATAACGGTCTGCAGAGGTAATAGGCAGGGGACTGAATGACAGGCTTTATATAACTGTGTCAACAGATTTCTTCCCGCCTTCTACCCTTGAGAAAACATGAACCGGGTGGGTTCTGAGTAACCTCACTTCAAGCATTCTTCATTTAACACAGGTGGGAGGTCTGCAGGTTGCAAGGCAGCAGAAAGAAGGAAGAATGTCTTCGAATATTGTGTGGAGTCCCCAGACTCAAGCCTCTGAGCAGAAAAACTCCTTGAGAAATCATATAGTTTGTCTCTTTGCCTCTAGACTAGTCCAAAAGGAGCCAGAGCAAGTCAGAATTTGGTTTATTGTTGGAGATTTTAGGGCGAAAATATTAATAATAACATTTTTCAGTGCTTTCTGTGAGCCTAAGTGCTTTATGTGCACTCAATTCTCTCCAATTCTATAAGTTTGATTTTACATATGGGGAAACTGAGGCTTAGAATAATGTCTAAAGTCACACAGCTAGTAAGTAGAAGTGCTAAAACTCACTGGGGTCTGACAGCAAATATCCGTTAACCATCCTGCTGATCATAAAAAGACATTACGACTCCTGTAATCCCAGCACTTTGGGAGGCCGAGGCAGGCGGATCATGAGGTCAGGAGATCGAGACCATTCTGGCTAACACTGAAACCCCGTCTCTACTAAAAATACAAAAAATTAGCTGGGCGAGGTGGCGGGCGCCTGTATTCCCAGCTTCTCGGGAGGCTGAGGCAGGAGAATGGCGTGAACCCCGGGGGGTGGAGCCTGCAGTGAGCCGAGATCGCGCCACTGCACTCCAGCCTGGGCGACAGCAAGACTCCGTCTCAAAAAAAAAAAAAAAAAAAAAAAGACATTCTGTGCCTTACACATTAGGTACCTTAAATTCGATGTGCTTTACTTATTTTTTATTTTAAATTTTCATTCAACATATTTTTCTTGAATACCTAATACATTCATATGGTTAAAAATTTAAGGCCGGGCACGGTGGCTCACGCCTGTAATCCCAGTACTTTGGGAGGCTGAGCTGGGCAGATCACCTGAGGTCAGGAGTTCAAGAACAGCCTAGCCAACATGGTGAAACCCCCGTCTCGACTAAAAATACAAAAATTAGCGGGTGTGGTGGCGGGTGCCTGTAATCAGCTACTCGGGAGGCTGAGGCAGGGGAATCACTTGAACCCGGGGGGCGGAGGTTGCAGTGAGCCGAAATCGCACCACTGCACTCCAGCCTGGGCGACAGAGTGAGACTCCATCTCTAAAAAAAAAAAATTAAAAAAAAAAATTTAAAAGGAGGCCGGGCGTGGTGGCTCACTCCGTAATTTGGGAGGCCAAAGCGGGCGAATCATGAGGTCAGGAGTTTGAAACCAGCCTGGCTAACATGGTGAAACCCCATCTCTATGAAAAATACAAAAATTAGCCGGGTGTGGTGGCAAGTGCCTGTAATCCCAGCTACTTGGGAGGTTGAAGCAGGAGAATCGCTTGAACCTGGGAGGCAGAGGTTGCAGGGAGCTTAGATCCCACCATTGCACTCCAGCCTGGGCGACAGAGCAAGACTCCATCTCAAAAAAAAAAAAAAAAAAAAAAAATTAAAGGAATTAAAGTCCTTAAAGTCCTCACTTTATTTTTGCTCTGAATCATCCTCTCCCCAACCTCAGTAATATTACTTACCCTTTAGTAGGAGTAACTGTTATCAGTCTATTGTATATTCTTCCATACATAGTCTATGCCTACAAAAGCATACACATATAGAAGTTTTTGCATAAATAAAAGCATATCAAACCAATTTCCTGAATCTTGCTTATTTCACTTATATCTTGGAAATATTACTATAAGTAGACAGTTTCCTCATTATTGGGGCTGTATGGAATAGAGATAGAGCTTACTTTAATCAGTTCTCTATCGGTGGGCACTTGAGTTGTTTCCAATCTGTTGCATGTATTTCACACAATGCTGCAGTGCATAACCTTTAATATACGTCATTTTGCAAATGTTCAAATGTATCTGTAGTATAGATTTCTAGAAGAGCAGTTGCTGAGTCAAAAGGTATGTACATTTGTAGTTTTAATAGACAGTGCCAAGTTGTCCCCGGTAAAGGTTATGCTAATTCATACTCCCACCAGCAATGTTCTAGAGTGCCTTTTGGCTGGGTGCAGTGGCTCATGACTGTAATTCCAACACTTCTGGGAGGCAGAGGTGGGCAAATCACCTGAGGTCAGGGGTTCGAGATCAACCTGGCCAACATGGCAAAACTCCGTCTCTACTAAAAATAGAAAAATTAGCCTGGCGTGGTGGCACACACCTGTAGTCCTAGCTACTCAGGAGGCTGAGGCACCAGAATCACTTGAACCGGGGAGGTGGAGGTTGCAATGAGCCAAAATCACCCCACTGCACTCTAACCTGGAAGACGGAGAAGAGTGTCTCAAAAAAAAAAAAAAAAAAGAAGAAGAAAAAAAGAGTGCCTCTTTCATAATTCCAGGACTTCGGGAGGCTGAGATGGGAGGATCTTGAGCTCAGGAGTTTGAGACCAGCCTGGGAAACTTGGCATGTGCCTGTAGTCCCAGCTGCTAGTGGAGCTGAGGTGGCTGAGGCTGCAGTGAGCTGAGATCAGGCCACTGCACTCTAGCCTGGGCAAGAGAGTGAGATGAGACCTTGTCTCAGAAAAAGAAAAAAAATAATTAATTAATAAAATAAAATAAAATAAAATAAATAATAGATAAATAAAAGTGCTCCTTTCTCCACAGCATTCCAAAAAGGGTTTTTTTTTTAACTTTTTTGATCTTTGTCAACCTAATGCACATATTTTAAATTTTTTCCAAGTGACAGAAGGAAACTTTTAAGAAGGGAACCCCAAATTTTGCCAATTTCTGCAAACGAATTAATTACTTCTGTTTAAGGGGACTTCTAGATATTTATTCCCTTTCCCCCTCACCTGGAAAGATTTATCTTGAGAACCAATATTGTGACAGAATTAACATCAGCTCAGAGTCACAAATCTGGGCTTGATTTGCATGTCCAATAATGTTAGCTATATGATCTTGAACCAGGCACCCAGCCTCAGTACGTCTTAGTTTCCTAATCTGCAAAAATAAGGATATTAATTATAGCTTCACAAGATTATCATGAAGATTGAATGAGTAAATAAGATGTCTTCTCTCTAATCCAGACAGAAACATTTTCTCCCCAGGGATTTCCTTAACCACTGGTGCGGCTGCCCCTCTGAAATTAGCAATTTTTTCTCCAAAGGGCCCCCAAGTGGACACATTGCATCAGTAGTCCCAAAGTCCTCCAACAAAGAACAGTGGCTGAGTTATTTAAGCTTGTCCAAAGGAAGGCTTGATCATCACTGAGCAGAGAACTGTTCAGAATCCTCAGGTGCTGCTTTTTTTCTGGGGAAAAAAGGGTACAGTCCATTACTCTTCCACAAAAACACTCTTCTAATTAAGGAAGCAATGGCTGCATTTTACCCTGAATCCGTGAATTTCCATTTCTGAGCTTTAAAAAAAAAAAATTATATATATTGGCCGGGCGTGGTGGCTCACGCCTGTAATCCCAGCACTTTGGGAGGCCAAGGTGGGTGGGTGACCTGAGGTTGGGAATTCGAAACCAGCCCGGCCAACATGGAGAAAACCCTGTCTCTACTAAAAATACAAAATTAGCTGGGCGTGGTGGCGCATGCCTGTAATCCCAGCTACTTGGGAGGCTGAGGCAGGAGAATCGCTTGAACCCGGGAGGCAGAGGTTGCGGTGAGTCGAGACTGCGTCATTGCACTCCAGCCTGGGCAACAAGAGCAAAACTTCATCTCAAAAAAATAAATTATATATAGCTATTCCTATGACTAAAAGGACTTTTTTGTTTGTTTGAGACAGAGTCTCACTCTCGTCCAGGCTGGGGTGCAGTGGTGCAAACTCGGCTCACTGCAACCTCCGCCCCAGAGTTCAAGCGATTCTCCAGCCTCAGCCTCCTGAGTAGCTGGGATTACAGGCGCCCACCACGACACCCGGCTAATTTTTGTACTTTTTTTTTTTTTTTTTTTTTTGAGACAGAGTCTCGCTCTGTCATCCAGGCTGGAGTGCAGTGGCGTGATCTCAGTTCACTGCAACCTCCACCTTCCGGGCTCAAGGAATTCTCCCACCTCAGCCTCCCTAGTAGCTGGGATTACAGGTGTGTGTCACCAAGCCCAGCTAATTTTTGTATTTTTAGTAGAGACAGGGTTTCACCATGTTGGCCAGGCTGGTCTTGAACTCCTGACCTCAAGTGATCCATCCATCCCAGCCTCCCAAAATGCTGGGATTACAGGTGTGAGCCACTGCACCCAGCCTTAATTTTTGTACTTTTAGTAGAGATAAGGTTTCGCCACCTTGACCAGGCTGGTCTCGAACTCCCGACCTTAAGTGCGGGTCAGGAGTTCGGCTTCGGCTTCCAAAGTGCTGGGATTATAAGCATAAGCCACCGTGCCCAGCCTAAAAGGACTTTAAATACAACCCTAGCATAGGCATCTGGCTTTCTGTAAAGAGGTCAGGAGTTCGAGACCAGCCTGGCCAACATGACAAAACCCTGTCTCTACTAAATATACAAAAATTAGCCAGGCATGGTGGCGAATGCCTGTAGTCCCAGCTACTCGGGAGGCCCAGGCAGGAGAATCGCTTGAACCTGGGAGGCAGAGGTTGCAGTGAGCTGCGATCACACCACTGCACTCTAGACTTGGCGACAGAGTGAGACTCCATTTCGAAAAAAAAGAAAAGAATTCAGTAGAGTTCTGCGCAAAGGCAAGGGCTAGATGCTTCTTGGACCATGAGCTCTTTGAGGACAGGAAACCGTGTATTACTTATCATTTTATCCCCTGTGCTGAACGGTGTCTATACCACCCAATTAATGTTTGCAAAATAAATGACTCTTCCCAGATGCACTCTTGGACCTTGGGATTTATACCCAAAGGGTCATGTTTTGTCAGGATTTTGGCAGTTACATGTCATGTCCTGGGCTGTTTGGGTTTTTGTGTGTGTGTGTGTGTTTTTAAGAAACATTTTATTTCAAATCACTTAAGCAGTCCCCATTTGAAATTGTACCAATGACAAAAGTTCATATTTTTCAAAGAGACTAATTACAGGAGTAATTATTATTTGATTATGATTGTTTCACCTTGTAGAAGCTTGAAGGAAATGTTACACTAAAGCATTTTCTTTCCTTCTCTTCCTGATTACTCCAAATTGTACTCTCATAGTAGTCTTCTGGTCAGTGTCCTTACTTTCAACCTTTGTGCTTTCTGATTTTCTTTTGTCCTTTTATTTATTCAACAAGCATTTGTTGAGCACCTACTTTGTACCAGGTACTACGTTAGAGCTGGAGATACAAAGGTGCTACGTCATAAAACTTTCACAGAAGCAGGAAAAGGCATGGGGTTTTTGAGAAACAAAGAGTACTTCGGTATTATTTAAACATAAGATATGTGGCGGGGCGCAGTGGCTCACGACGGTAATCCCAGCACTTTAGGAGGCCGAGGCGGGCAGATCACCTGAGGCTAGAGTTCGAGACCAGCCTGGCCAAAATGGCGAAACCATGTCTCTACTAAAAATAAAAAAATTAGCTGAGTGTGGTGGTGCACGCCTGTAATTCCAGCTCCACGACAATTGCTTGAACCTAGGAGGCGGAGGTTGCAGTTAGCTGAGGTTGAGATTCTGCCTCAACAACAACAAAAAAGATATATGTGGGTGGCTGGGCAGGTGGCTCATGCCTGTAATCCCAGCACTTTGGGAGGCTGAGTCAGGCGGATCGCTTGAGCCTAGGAGTTCAAAAGCAGCCTGGGAAACACAGTGAGACCTCGTTTCTACAAAAAATAAATGAAAAAATTAGCCGGATGTGATGTTATGTGCCTCTAGTCCTAGCTACTTGGGAGGCTGAGGTGGGAAGATCCCTTGAGCCTGGAAAGTTGAGGCTGCAGTGAGCCGTGACCACACCATTGCACTCCAGCCTGGGAGACTGAGTGAGACTTTGTCTGGGAAAAAAAAAAAAAAAAAAAAGATACATGTGGGAAAGTGTCAGAAGATGACTGGCCAGAGCATATTAAAGAGTTTGAATTTTATTCTATAAAGGTTAGGAAACATTTGAAAAATTTTGAGCAGGAACCGACATGATAGAATTTGTACCACATCCCTCGGCAGCTGAGTATAAGGCTGGTAGTGATAATAGAGGCAGAAAATGTAGTTAGGATATTTCTGGTCTCTTCCTAGGGGTTCAGACTCATATATCCATATGCAGTAGTCCAGATCATTGGTAATGAATGCAGTGACAGTGAAGATGTAGGAATGAAGACAGATTGCTGAGATATTTAGCAAATAGAATCACTTTTGTTGTCCATTTAGATACAGGAAATAAAGAAAAAGGGCTTTTCTCAGGTTGCTAGATGGGGTCAATAGGGCAGATGGTGGTACCACGAAGTAAGTTAAAGAGAACAAGAGGAAGCAGATGTTTTTAATTAGAGATGATGACTTTGGTTTTGGAACAGTTGAGTTGAGATGTCTGTGAGATCTGCAGGTGGAGCTGTCTAACAAGCAGGTTGGTACACTGGACAGGGGCTCAGGAAAAAATGCTAAAAATACAGATCTGGGACTTGGAAGCATGGAGATGGTAGTTGAAACTATGGGCATGGACCACACAAAAGAGTATGTGTAGCACACAGAGGCAAAGGCATTAAGACTGGAACCAGAAGAAACCCAGGTCTGTGTGATGGGCTATAAAAAGTAGCCAATGAAAGGAGACTGAGAAAGCAGCTCAGGAAGGTAAAAGGGGGCAAGAAGGAAAGCAAAGGAGAATGTTTCAGAGGAGCTGTAAACAATGTCAAATGTGGCAGAGAGGTCAAGAAGCAAGAGGACTGCAAGTGTTCGTTATAGTCAGAGGGAAGTCACAGGTGTTCCCAGGAAGAGTAGGCGTAGGGGAAAGGTGAAGTCTAAATCAGATGGCATTTGGTTAAGAAGAAAATGGGGAAGGCAAGGAGGAACATGTGTAGGAAACTGTTTCAGGAAGCTCAGCTGCAAAAAGAAGGAGAAGGGGCTTTAGCTGGAGTCCCTTAACACATGGTTAAGAGTTGATTTTGGGCCGAGGTGGGTGGATCACCTGAGTTCAGGAGTTTGAGACCAGCCTGGCCAACATGGTGAAACCCCATCTCCACTAAAAAGACAAAAATTAGCCGGGTGTGGTGGCGGGCACCTGTAATCCCAGCTACTTGGGAGGCTGAGGCAGGAGAATCGTTTGAACCTGGGAGGCAGAGGTTGCAGTGAGCCAAGATCACACCACTGCACTCCAGCCTAGGTGACAAAAGTGGGACTCCATCTCAAAAAAAAAAAATGTTGATTTTTGTAAGCTAATTTTTGGTTACTATAAAAGTAGGATATGCAAGAAGTTACAAATACTATGGAAAAATACAAGACAGAAAATCTAGGCTGGGTGCAGTGGCTCATACCTATAATCCCAGCCGAGGAAGCCGAGGCGGGCGGATCTCTTGGGCTCAGGAGTTCGAGACCAGCCTGAGCAACATGGTGAAAACCCGTCTCTACTAAAAATACAAAAATTAGCCAGGCATGGTGGTGGGCGCTTGTAGTCCCAGTTACTTGAGAGGCTGAGGCAGGAGAATCGCTTGAACCTGGGAGGCGGAGGTTGCAGTGAGCTGAGATCGCACCACTGCACTCCAGCCTGGGTGACAGAGGGAGACTCCTTCTCAAAAACTAAATAAAATGAAATAAAAAGTCTAAATATCCCTTCCTTCTCTTCAACTGTAGTCTAACTCCTACAAGGTAATCACTGTTAACTTTGTTGTCTGATATTTCAGACTATAAATAAGTATGTATGTATACATATCTATATATGTGTATGTATGCATATACACATAAGCACACACACATATATATCTTTTTAGTCAATGTGATTATACCACACAAGCTACTATGCCGAGTAATTTAATCTTTTCAGTTAGCAGCACGTCTTGGAAACCTTTCATAGCTTTCTGAAAGCTTACCTCCTGCCTCTCTCCCCCTAGTTCGTCCTATCCCTTTTTGCTTTGACCTCCTTGGAGTTCCTGGAACACGTCAGGCACACTTATACCTTAAGGCCTTTGCACTTACTGTTCCTTCTGCCTGGAATGTTCTTCCTCCAGATAACCTCTTGGCTCAGTCTCTCTTTTCCTTCAGATCTCTGTTTAAATGTCACTTCCTCAGAGGTCACCACTTATCATTCACGATACCTTATACTACTTCATTTTTCTTCACAGCACTTATTACCGTAGATTTGTTTACTTGTTTAATGTCGGTCTCCCCTACAAGGATATAAGCTCCATGAAGGGAGGGGGCTTTGCTTCACTGCTGTATACCCATAGCCCAGAACAGCACATGACCCTTAAGAGGGTCAAGAAAATATGAAGAAGCATGGAGAGTGGGCAGAGTGTGGTCTTATGGATAACAATGTAACGATTAAGAGCAAGCTCAAATTGCTTGCGTTCAAAGCTTTCTTTTGTTTTTTTTTTTTTTGAGATGAAGTATCGCTCCGTCACCCAGGCTGGAGTGCAGTGGTGCGATCTCAGCTCACTGCAACCTCTGCCTTCCAGGTTCAAGTGATTCTCCTGCCTCAGACTCCGGAGTAGCTGGGATTACAGGCACCCGCCAACATGCCCAGGTAATTTTTGTATTTTTATTTGTTTGTTTATTTATTTATTTATTTATTTATCTTTTGAGACAGAGTCTTGCTCTGTCACCCAGGCTGGAGGGCAGGGGCGTGATCTTGGCTCACTGCAACCTCTACCTACTGGGTTCAAGTGATTCTCTTGCCTCAGCCTCCTGAGTAGCTGGGATTATAGGCAAGCACCACCATGCCTGGCTAATTTTTTTTTTTTTGTATTTTTAGTAGAGATGGGTTTTCACCATGTTGGCCAGGCTGGTCTCCAACTCCTGACCTCAAGTGATCCACCCGCCGTGGACTCCCAAAGTGCTGGGATTACAGGCATGAGACACCCTGACTGGCCCAAATCTTTATTTCTTATTAGGTGTGTGCACTTGGGTGAGTGAATCAGTTTCCTCATCTGTATAATGAGGTTATACTAGTGCCTAACTCCTGGGGTTGTTGTGAGGCTTCATGTGTGAAAATATGGAACATGCTTACAACAGTAACTGACGGGTAGAGAATTGTTAGTAAATGTCCACTGCCATGATTATTGGTAGTATTCGATAAAGGCAATCTAGGAGCTCCGCCATCTGGGGACCTACTGGTCCAGCTCTTCTTCCCCTCTTTGATTATTCTGTCTCAGCCTCCTTTCTTTGTCCTTCGCCTCTTAAACACTGGTGTCTCCTGAGTGTTTCTCATTTCTCACATTCTCTTAGAGTGAACTCATAGTTTTAACTATCACCCAGGCTGAAAAGTGCCATAACTGCCACCCAAACCACATGGTTCCCCAGGGCCTCAGCCTGTGGCATCCAACTGCTTTGAGTATTTCCATTCTAATTACTTGTTAGGTTATATGACTCACTGAGGTGTGGGTTCCTCAAGGGCAGGAATAGTTTCCTGGCTATCTTTTTTTTTTTTTTTTTTAACGGAGTCTCGCTCTGTCACCAGGCTGGAGTGCAGTGGCGCGATCTCGGCTCACTGCAACCTCCACCTCCCGGGTTCAAGTGATTCTCCTGCCTCAGCCTCCCAAGTAGCTGGGACTACAGGTACGTGCCACCACACCTGGCTAATTTTTGTATTTTTAGTAGAGATGGGGTTTCACCATGTTGGCCAGTATGGGCTCAATCTCTTGATCTCGTGATCCGCCTGCCTCAGCCTCACAAAGTGCTGGGATTACAGGCGTGAGCCACCGCGCCTGGCCTCTGGCTATCTTTATCTCTGCTCCTTTAGGCGAGGTGCTCTTGGTAGGTATGCTTTGTGGGTGCTCACAGTATAGTGAAGGGAACCAGACAATAAATAAATAACTAGGACAAGCCAGGTGGTGAGTAGTGCGATATAAGCAGGATAGAAAGTAGAGACTTAGGAGCGGCTGAGGTACAATAGTTTATAAAATGTGGCCAGACTTTGGGTTAAGGGGCTATTTGAACAGAGTGTTGAAGGAAATGTGAATAAACCAAATGATGTCTGAGGGAAAAGCATTCCAAGCATAAAACAGCAAATGCAGAAGCCCCGAGGTGAAGTGTGTTTGGAGGTGACGAGGCCAGTGTGGCTGGAGGAAGAGTGGTAGGAAACTAGACGAGGGACGTCTGTGGTGGTGATGGTTTCAGAGCATACGAGAACGCAAAATGATAGGAGAAGCTATTGGAAGTTTCTGAAGACCGACAAAATATGACTTAATATTTGAAAGGATCACTCTGTCTGCTGGTTTAAGAATAAACAATAGGCCGGGCGCGGTGGCTCACGCCTGTAATCCCAGCACTTTGGGAGGCCAAGGCAGGTGGATCACAAGGTCAGGAGTTCGAGACCAGCCTGACCAACATGGTGAAACCCCGTCTCTACTAAAAATATAAAAATTAGCCGGGCGTGGTGGCATGCCTGTAATCCCAGCTACTCAGGAGGTTGCGGCAGGAGAATCGCTTGAACCCAGGAGGCAGAGTTTGCAGTGAGCTGAGATCATGCCACTGCACTCTAGCCTGGACAACAGAGTGAGACTCTGACTCAACAACAACAAAACAAGAATAAACAATAGAAAGGCAAGGGTGAAAGTGGGGAGACCAGTCAGAAGGCTATTGCAGTGGTCTGGGTGAGAGAAGATGGTGTCTGGGCCTTGGGTGGTAGTGTTGAGGTGATGGAAAATTGTCAGATTCAGGATACATTTTGAAGATAGATGGTACAATAGCTGTAGGCTCTAAAAAAAGAAAAAAATGAAAAAAAAAAGGGTAAGGATTTGCTGA
This sequence comes from Homo sapiens, assembly GCF_000001405.40. Taxonomy (NCBI): domain Eukaryota; kingdom Metazoa; phylum Chordata; class Mammalia; order Primates; family Hominidae; genus Homo; species Homo sapiens. Next base: position 118,423,529 of record NC_000011.10, on the reverse strand, counting down.
TTTGCTGATTGTATTAAATGTAGGGTGTGAAAGAGAAGGCAAGGAGGCAGAGATAAGTAATGAATGATTAGGTCAGAATATAAATAGTTGGGAAACATTAGGAGAACCAACAGAAGAAAGAGGATTCAAAATACGCTCACATACCCTACCATTCACTTATAGGGAAGAGTAATGAAAGATAAGTCAGTAGCTTGAGAATGAAGTAAAGGGAAGACTTTTTTTTTTTTTTTTGAGACATAGTCTCATTCTGTCGCCCGGGCTGGAGTGCAGTGGCACGATCTCGGCTAACTGCAACATCCACTTCCCAGTTCAAGTGATTCTCCTGTCTCAGCCTCCAGAGTAGCTGGGATTACAGGCCCCGCCACCTCGCCCAGCTAATTTTTTTTTTTTTATTTTTAGTAGAGATGGGTTTTGCTGGTCTTGAACTCCTGACCTCAGGTGATCTGCCAACGTCGGCCTCCCAAAGTGCTGGGATTACAGGCATGAGCCACCATGCCCGGCCAATGTTTTTTAAAAATTTAAATATTGGGGCTGGGCATGGCAGCTCATGACTATAATCCCAGTACTTTAGGAGGCTGAGGTGAGCGGAACACCTGAAGTCAGGATTTCAAGACTAGCCTGTCAACGTGGTGAAACCCGGTCCCTACTAAAAATACAAAAATTAGGCTGGGCACGGTGGCTCACGCCTGTAATCCCAACACTTCGGGAGGCCAAGGCAGGTGGATTGCCTGAGGTCAGGAGTTCGAGACTAGCCTGGCCAACTTGGTGAAACCCTGTCTCTACTAAAAATACAAAAATTAGCCGGGCGTGGTGGTGGCGGGCACCTGTAATCCCAGCTACTTGGGAGGCTGAGTCAGGAGAATTGCTTGAACGGAGGCAGAGTTTGCAGTGAACTGAGATCGTGCCACTGCACTCCAGCCTGGACGACAGAGCAAGACTCCGTCTCAAAAAAACAAAAAACAAACAAACAAAAAAAAACAAAAATTAGCCAGGCATGGTGGCTGGCACATGCCTACAGTCTCAGGTACTCGGGAGGCTAAGGCAGGAGAATTGCTTGAACCCGGGAAGTGGAGGTTGCAGTGATCTGAGATTGCACCATTGTGCTCCAGCCTGGGCGACAGAGCGAGACTCCATTGCAAAAAAAAAAAAAAAAAATATATATATATATATATGTTTCATATTTAATATAAAAAATAGGTTAGGCGTGGTGGCTCACACCTTTAATCCCAGCACTTTGGGAGGCTGAAGCAGGCAGGTCACCTGAGGTCGGGAGTTTGAGATCAGCCTGACCAACATGGAGAAACCCCGTCTCTACTAAAAATACAAAATTAGCTGGGCGTGGTGGCACATGCCTGTAATCCCAGCTACTCAGGTGGCTGAGGCAGGAGAATCACTTGAACCTGGGAGGCAGAGGTTGCAGTGAGCCGAGATCTCGCCATTGCACTCTAGCCTGGGTGACAGAGCGAGACTCCATCTCACACACACACACAAAAAACAGCCACATTTCTGAAAAGAGTCACCTACATTCACAGTCTCCATTCCTTGCCATGTTCCATGTACCTTTTTTTTTTTTTTTGAGATGGAGTCTCACTCTGTCGCCCAGGCTGGAGTGCAGTGACATGATCTTGGCCCCATATAGTCTTTAGGCCCATATCATCTGACTGCCATCTCCGTTGAAACTACTGTCACAAAAAAACACCAATGGCTATTTGCCAAAATTAATGGACACTTTTTTTTTTTGAGACGGAGTTTCGCTCTTGTCACCCAGGCTAGAGTCTGGAACTCCTGACCTCAGGTGATCTGCCTGCCTCGGCCTCCCAAAGTGCTAGGGTTACAGGCATGAGCCACCACGCCCTGCCAGTTCCCAGTCTTCTCCTCTGATATGTGATTGAATTTCCTAAAATGCAAATCTGACCATATTACTTCCATCCTTAATATATTTTAATAATTCCTTATCACCTTCGAGATTCTTTATTATCTGGTGTAACTCTCCCTTACCCCTTGTCTTCAAAACACATCTATTATTTGTGTTCTTTCCTTAGTGAACTAATTTTATTTGAATTCTCTTGTGTGATCATGTTTTGGTGCATGTTTCCTTTGTTTAAATGCCTTTCCCCTCTTGTCCTCTTGGTTAAGCTCCAGACCCAGCTCTGCTACATGCACAACCAGAGCATCATGTGTAGACTTTTATCGTTGCTCTTTAAATACTGTATCACAGTATCACAGTTGAATGATTTGTAGTTGTTTTACTACCTCTTCCACTAGACTGTGAGCCCCTCGAAGGTAGGAAACATGTCTTTTAAAATTTCAGAAGCACAATCTGATGCATAACAAGAATATAATAAATGTTTGCTGAACAAATAAATAAATGGACAAATGAAAATGAGGAATAAATAGGGAGAGACCACTGAAGAGTGAAATGGAAGAGAATCAAGAGCAAACATAGAAAGACAGTTTTGGAAAGAATGTCCTGTTTTCCTCTGGGATAGGAGAAAGAAGGGAAGGGACAGCAGAAAGAGGGTGTAATCAGAAGTAGATCCGTTCAGGCCAGGTGCAGTGGCTCACACCTGTAATCCCAGCACTTTGGGAGGCTGAGGTGGGTGGATCACCTGAGGTCAGGAGTTCGAGACCAGCCTGGCCAACATGGTGAAAACCCTGTCTCTACTAAAAATACAAAAATTAGCCAGGCATGGTGAAACATGCCTGTAATCCCTGCTACTTGGGAGGCTGAGACAGGAGAACCACTTGGACCTGGGAGGTTGAGGTGGCAGTGAGCTGAGATCATGCCACTGCACTCCAGCCTGGATGACAGAATAAGACTCTGTTTCAAAAAAAAAAAAAAAAAAAAAAAGTACATCAGTTCGAAGTGAAAGGGAGAAAACTGAAGGAGTTCATGCTGGATGGTTTCTATTTTCTCTTTAACGTAATAGGTAAGGCATTCCTCTTTTTTGGAAGACACTGCATGTCAGTGAAGTTACGTAACAGCTTCTTTAAATCTCAACTTTCATACCAGCAAAATTCTTGATTCTACTCTTTGACCCATATCTCTTGTAAAGTTGTGAGAACCAACAAGATCATATAGGATAGGGCTTTGAGCTCTTTAGGTAAGCAGCAATGGACCTACTGATCATCACTTAAATCTAACTTTAAATCCATGCAGTTGAAAGCAGCTAAATTCCAAAGTCCCTCCCATTTTATCATTCCTTTTATTTCTGTGTATTATCAATGCTGCAGCTCCCAGAATTGTAAACATTTTGTTTGCCTCCAAATTACTTTGAAAAAATTCACTAAGCCTAGTATTACTGTTTTTCTTTTTTGAGACAGAGTCTCACTCTGTTGCCCAGGCTGGAGTGCAATGGCACAATCTTGGCTCACTGCAGCCTCCACCTCCTGGGTTCAAGCACTTCTCCTGCCTCAGCTAGGATTGCAAGTATACATCACCATGCCTGGCTAATTGTATTTTTAGTAGAGATGGGATTTCACCATGTTGGCTGGTCTCGAACTGCCGACCTCGCCTCGCCTCTGCCTGCCTCGGCCTCCCAAAGTGCTGGGATTACAAGCGTGAGCCACCGAACCTGGCCTTTCTTTCTTTTTTTGACATAGGTCTCACTCTGTCACCAGGCTGGAGTACAGTAGCACGATTATAGCTCACTGCAGCCATGAACTTCTGGGCTCAAGCAATCATCCTGCCTCAGCCTTCTGAGCAGCTGGGACTACAGGTGTGCACCATCACCCTTGGCTAAGTTTTTAATTTAGTTTTTATTTATTATTTTTTGAGACTGGGTCTTGCTCTGTTGCCCATGCTGGAGTGCAGTGGTGCGATCATGGCTCACTGCAGCCTGTACCTCCCAGGCTCAAGCAATCCTCTAGCTTCAGCCTCTTGTGGAGTTGGAACTACAGGTGCACACCACCATGCCTGGCTAATTTTGGTATTTTTTTTGTAGAGACAGGCTTTTGCCATATTGCCCAGGCTGGTCTCAAACTCCTGAGCTCAAGGGATCCACCCGCCTCAGCCTCCCAAAGTGTTGGGATTACAGGCATGAGGCACACCTGGCTTTATTTTTAATTTTCTGTACAGACGAAGTCTCGCTGTGTTGACCAGGCTGGTCGTGAACTCCTGGCCTCAAGCGATCCTCCCATCTCAGCCTCCCAAAGTGTTGGGATTACAGGTATAAACCACTATCAACTATTAGTCTTCCCACAGCTTCAATTGCTCTCGTTATTCTAATCCTACTGACCATTCTCAAAGTCCTCCCAAGTTTTTTTTTTTTTTTAATGAGGGAAAATGGATAAAACTGAGCAATATTATCTCTCCACTGAGATGTCTAGCTTTTTTTGAGTCATGCTTAAAGTCTAACTATATGGTCTAAAATTGGTTTAGGATTCCTTTCGGCCACCAGTGCCAACTTATCTTAGGCTAAAAGGAATAGAGTTCAGTTGATCTAATTTAGAACAAATTTGTATCCATAGATGGGACGGAAATCTAGGTGAGGATTAAGGTCATGGCCAAGGTACAAGAGGAGGAGGAAGTCTGAGTTAATTATAACCTAGGTTATGCAGTCTTAATTCCAGGAAGCTGTGCCTCAGCTAGGTAGACAACTTGTTGATTGAGGAGTATTCTCAGAGGAACTGGAAGCTATCCATTTCTGAATTCCGAGCTGAATTTCTACGTCATCTGAGATGAAGGTGAAGGTGTCAGTATCCAAAGACTGGAAATTCTAAGAGAAATATGTCGCTTGGAGAAAGCCCTTTAGTAAGTATTTGCTTATTTTCTTTCCAGCAGTCATGACTGGCCTGGAAGATTTCCCAAAGGTTATCTTTTTCAAGGCTAGTTGGGTAAGCCTGTTTTGATATGTTTTTGAATATACATTATAATGCATTCATTGTGTTTATTTGTTTATTCCTAGATTTAAAAAAAACAGTATATATTTTGCTAATAGTTACAGTAAAAACAGATAAAACCAAGAGAACATGGCCATCATTGTTCAAGGCCTCATACTCTCTGATGCAAAAAGGTAAGCCTGAATTAAAAGCTACATTTCTTAATGTCTCTCATATGAAAAGCTATATAAGCTCCTGGTGTCGAGTTTAAAAACTGAGAACTTATTTGTAAACATTATGGGTAGAGATTAGGGAGTTAAATGATCACTTTTTAAAATGTTTAGGATTAGGTATTAACACCTATTTGCCTTATTCTCTTCTTTAGTAAGAGCTCTCTCTGTCAATATATAGCCAATAGTCTTGCTTAAGGCCCAGGAAAAGTCACTGTCTCCAAGGCAAATTATATGTTACGAATCTTCACTTACTCCTGCTAAAGTTAAAATGGAGTGTCTTACATGCGGGTTAGAGTTCAGATGCAAGTTTCTGAATAAAAACATAAAAAGTCAACCATCTCCCTTACCTATTCCTGCTCCTCACAGTACAATAAACAACTTAAATATCGCAGAATAGAGGGAATGTGGTTAGAGTTAGGACACCGAGGAATCAAGTCCTGCATTCCAGTCCCCTACCCCTGACTCATTCACCTCAGGCAAATGGTTCCACTTCATTTCATTTTGTACTGAAAAGTGAGGAGAGTAACATTTTGTTTCAAATTTTCTTAGGTGAGTGGGTTGGACTAACCTGTAAGGCTTTTGCTGAAGTTGAGATGAACAAATAAGGAAAATATGCAACTATAGATTGTTTTAAGAGAGGTGGGAAAAAACCCAACGGATTTTGTTGCTGATTTGTGTCCTTAGGACTTTCCACAAATAACTTTGAGAGATTTACTACTTAGTCCTTAGAGGCAGCTTCCTTCTGGGATGGGTGGATATGAGGCGTGCGGTGGGGTCAGATGGTGATGGGAGAGCAAAGGAACACAAAGGTCCCAAATCAAGGCCCATTTGGCTTCAGTGTTTACCCTCAGTGCAGTGGGGGTGAAATTTGGAGCCTAGGGTGAGGTAGAAATTAGTTTCCCTGTTGCAGTAGTAACTTGGGTATCAGATAATAAAGTATATTTCTGCCAGCATATTCTAAAGGCAGATGAAACTATACAGGGGTTTAAGGTAAAGCTATAATGAGCAAAATATCACCCCTGACTTTTTAAAATTTCATTTTACGTTCCAGGGTACATGTGCAGGATGTGCAGGTTTGTTACATAGGTGAACGTGTGCCATGGTGGTTTGCTGCACCTATCAACCCATCACCTAGGTAATAAGCCCAGCATGCATTAGTTGTATTTCCTGATGTTCTCCCTCCCTCTGCCCTCCCCTTGACAGGCTCCATTGGGTGTTGTTCCCCTCCTTGTGTCCATGTGTTGACATTGTTCACCCTCACTTGTAAGTGAGAACATGTGGTGTTTGATTTTCTGTTCCTGTGTTAGTTTGCTGAGGATAATGGCTTCCAGCTCCATCCCCAACCCTGCAAAGGACATGATCTCATTCTTTTTTATGGCTGCATAGTATTCCATGGTGTATATGTACCACATTTTCTTTATCCAGTCTATCACTGATGGGCATTTGGGTTGATTCCATGTCTTTGCTATTGTGAATAGTGCTGCAATATGTATGTATCTTTATATGTACCTAGTACATCCACTTTCAAAACAACTTAATCACCTTTTTGGAGAAGTTTTTTTCTGATTTTCCCAAACTGCTTCCCTTTACCCTCCTGTTGATGCTTCTTGTAGCACACATCATTGTATAATAGAATGATTTATATAATTTATAATGATATAACAGAATGATTTATGTTAGAATGATTCATATTCTATAGAATAGAATAGAATAGAATGATTTATATTCCTTTGGGTATATACCCAGTACTAGGACTGCTGGTTCCAATGGTATTTCTGGTTCTAGGTCTTTGAGGAATCGCCACACTGTCTTCCACATCACCCCTGACTTAATGTTTACTTGGTCATTATTACTTTCATTTTTTCCCCAATCTGGGGCTTACATGACTTCCTTTCCATTGTTCTACCTGGAGGTCACTAAAATTGGTAACCACTCTTCCACCATCACCTTATAATTCACTGTCTTAGAACTACATTTATTCAGTTGTTCTATTAGGTTCCCCACTCTCTTGAGACCCAGAGTCAGATGACATCAGGTAAAAATGCAGGCTGTCCTTAGGGGAAACAGTAGCTATTTTAACAAGCAGGCTATAATTCAAAACCACACAACAGTATTTAATTGCTTTTGGATTTGACAACACTGGAATGCATTAAAACTTGGAGCCTCTGAAGATAACCTTCCTAACTTCATGCAAGAAGTCCAAGGTATAGTTCTTATAAAAATCCATCCATAGGTTGCATATGTAAAATCCTCTGAGGAAAATGGTGGTGCTATAAACCTTTACATGATGAGCTTCTTTCAGCTGTAACAAGGATATAAATCAGGAAATGCGGGCTTGGCAAAGAAAGAGTTAAGATGATCAATTTCTAAGGAATTTCAGGGATTTTCAGATTTCAGGCTTGGTCTTTTATAAAGGATCTTCTGCTGCCTACCTCCTGGTTCTCCCCTGCTAGACCTTACATATGCAAAGGTAGCTTTGCATTAGCTAGCACAGTAGAGAAGGCTAATCAGAGATCCACATCTCTGTTTCAGAGTTGGAGGTTGAGATGCAAGAGTGACTCAGCTGGCATCAGCTCTGTAGCAGTCTCAGCCTGCAGGCCTTCAGGAAGTAAGTCCTCCAGGCCTGCATCTCCCTCTGTGGCAAATTGCCACTAAACTCTGCTGTTTATCAACCCAGTACCAAACACAGTAGGATGAGTCTGCTGTTTCACTGTTTTCAACAAACCCAAAAACACAGAAGCCAGATTACATGATGGGATAGTATTACAACAGTGTATTAGATACAGTATCTCCCTTAAGAAGCTTACAGTTTAGTAAGGAAATAAATGTAAATATAGCATTAGAGTGCAATGATGTGTGCTACAAGAAGCATCGACAGGAGGGTAAAGGGAAGCAATTCGGGAAAATCAGAAAAAAACTTCTCTGAAAAGGTGATGAAGTGGTTTTGAAAGTGGATGTGCTAGGTAGAAAGTGCCAGGAATGAAGGCAGAGGGGAAAACATTTATATAGATTAATTAATGGATACATTCACTTTATTCATCACATTTGCATTGAGTGACTTCTGTGTGCTTGCAGCATGTGATACGAACCATATAGTACAGGCAAGGTGGTGTATATATATAGGTGGAGATATGGTAAGATGAGATAATGATGTTGTGGGAGTAACTGGAAGTTCTCCAATTGCTTAAATTTTCTCAGTCAAGTAGGAAGTAAGGTCGTCTGTTGAAGGATGTAATTGCGGTCTGAAGAAACATAATATGATTGGCTGGTAGTATTAAGTGCTCTCTTAAGGTTCTGACCATCATGAATATAAAGTGAGACTACTTTTTTTTTTTTTTTTTTTGAGACAGAGTCTCGCTGTGTCGCCAAAACAGGAAGGAGTGTAGTGGTGCAATCTCGGCTAATTGCAACCTCTGCCTCCCAGGTTCAAGCGATTCTTATGCCTCAGCCTCCCAAGTAGCTGGGACTACAGGTGCGTGCCACCATGCTCAGCTAAATTTTGTATTTTTAGTAGAGAGCGGGTTTCACCATGTTGGCCAGGCTGGTCTCAAACTCCTGGCCTCAAGGGATCCACCCAAAGTGTTGGGATTACAGGCGTGAGCCACTGCACCTGGCCAGACTAGTTACTTTGTTTTCTCCAACTTCATTTGGCTGCATAGGTGCAGAGCAGGTAGACAGCTGAATTAAGCCAAGGAGGTGGTTTTGGTAAGTGAGTACAACGAAGTGAGTGAGAGGCAAGGAAGTTGAAGGTGTATTCAAGAGAATGCTTATGATTGATCATGGAACCTAAGTTGTAACAGGAGAGAAAAGCTGAAATCAAGGGGGTGAGGGAGATGGTAGGATCAATTTATTGATGGTCATGAAAACTCTGAATTTGTGTAGTTATTTGACAGAATGGGCTAGGAAGGTCATAGGTGGTCAGAGAGAGGGATGCATGAAATTGAAACTAAGATGGTTGATGTTTTTGGTAAAAAGATGGGAATCAGTATTTAAGGAAGGTGAAAGGTATTAACTGTTAAGTTTTTAGGGAATCAAAAGGCCAGGTTGGTTGAAGGATCATTTATGTTAATAGTTCTCAAACTTTAGCATGCATTAGACTTATATATGGAAAGATAATTAAAACACAGATTGTGCTAGGTGCAATGACGTATGCCTGTAGTCCTAGCTACTTGGGAGGCTGAGGGAAGAAGATTGCTTGAGCTCAGGGGTTTGAGACCAGTCCAGGTAACACAGTGAGACCATCTCTAAAAAAATGCAAAACAACACAACAAAAAAAATACAGATTGCAAGATCTCACTCCTAGTTTCTGGGGTAGAGCCTGGTAATTTTCATTTCTAAATTCCCTGGTGATGCTGATGCTGCTGTGGTCCAGGGACTGTACTTTGGAAACTACTGACCCATGTGTATGTTGAAATTGCAATTGTCAAGAATTAAGATAGAAGTAGTGTTATAAAGTGACAGTGAGCCAGGACACAAAATTGGCAAGAAATAAAGGGGACCAGCTGCGGTGGCTCACGCTTGTAATCCCAGCACTTTGGGAGGCCAAGGTGGGGGATTCTTTCAGCCTAGGAGTTTGAGACCAGCTTGGGCAATGTGGCTACCCTGTCTCTACAAAAAAATAGCCGTGTGTGGTGGCATGCGCCTGTAGTTCCAGCTATTTGGGAAGCTGAGATGGGAGGATCTTGATTGAGCCTGGGAGGTTGAGACTGCAGTAAGCTGTGATCATGCCACTATACTCCAGCCCAGGCGACAGAGCGAGACCCTGTCTCAAAAGACAAAAAGAAAGAAAGGGGAATGAACTGATTAGTGGAAAATTGCAACAATCAGGGACAGTGGATACACACTCTAATAACATGATATTTAAAGCTAGGTTTTATGGGGATTGGTTAGAAATGGTGGCTGAAACAATGGTTGGCAGCTAAGTGAGATTAAGATGAGGCAGAAGGGAGATTGCCAAGGGCTTTGCATGTTAGTATTTTATTATATCAGGGCCTTTTGTTTGGTAAACAGGTCTAGTGTAAGTTCCCTGCTAAGGGATTACCTCTGGTGGAACTGTTACTGAATTCATCACAAGGGTGATCACAATCTTATGTCCTAGTAGAAACAAAAACCACACTAATTAGGAAATAGTAAGTCCTACTAAACTACCTATCACTTTACATAAGATTAGGGAGGTTGATATCTAATGAGACAAGAAATCTTAAATAACTTAATAGTAGGGCAAAGCAGGACCAAGAATATATAATACAGAATGGAACTGTGGAAATACAAAGCAGGATCCACAAGCTGGTCACAGGTAGAGTCAGGGCACAGACTACAACACAGGATCATGACCTGGGCCCAGCTTATGCTGCCACCACTTATTGCTCTTGGGATCCTAGCCAAATTGTTTTATGTTTTCTGCTCAGTTCCTCTCTTGTTAAATGGTATATCATTTATGGCACGTGCTTCAGAGGAAAGTTGAGGGCTAAATGAGATAGTTGGTGCAAGTGCTTTGAAAAGGTAAAGTGTTATACAAATATGAAATATTTAAAAAGAAAGTATTGAGCTATCCTTAGAAATCAGGGTAGAATACTTAGGTATGTAAGAGATGAATGGAAAAGAGGAGAAACTGTTAATCTAAGAACAATGCTGAGATGTATAAAACAAAGGATGAGGCCGGGCGTGGTGGCTCACTCCTGTAATTCCAGCACTTCGGGAGGCTGAGGCGGGCAGATCACGAGGTCAAGAGATCGAGACCATCCTGGCCAACATGGTGAAACCCTGACTCTACTAAAAATACAAAAAATGAGCTGGACATGCTGGTGCGCGCCTGTAGTCCCAGCTACTTGGGAGGCTGAGGCAAGAGAATCTCTTGAACCCAGGAGGTAGAGGTTACAGTGAGCCGAGATGGCACCACTGCACTCCAGCCTGGCGACAGAGTGAGACTCCGTCTCAAAAAAAAAAAAAAAAAAGGATGGAATATGCAATGTGGACAGTTTCACATTAGTTTTTTTTTTTTTTTTTTTTTTTGAGACCAAGTTTCGCTCTTGTTGCCCAGGCTGGAGTGCAATGGCATGATCTTGGCTCACTGCAACCTCCGCCTCCCAGGTTCAAGAGATTCTCCTGCCTCAGCTTCCCAAGTAGCTGGGATTACAGGCATGTGCCACGACGCCCGACTAATTTTGTATTTTTAGAAGAGATGGGGTTTCACTATGTTGGTCAGGCTGGTCTCCAACTCCTGACCTCAGGTGATCCGCCAGCCTTGGCCTCTCAAAGTGCTGGGATTACAGGTGTGAGCCACCGCACCCGGCCTCACATTAGCTTTTTTTTTTTTTTGAGACGGAGTCTCGCTCTGTGCCAGGCTGGAGTGCAGTGGTGCCATCTCGGCTCACTGCAACCTCTGCCTCCTGGATTCAAGCGATTCTCCTGCCTCAGCCTCCCAAGTAGCTGGGACTACAGGCATGTGCCACCACGCCCAGCTAATTTTTGTATTCTTATTAGAGATGGGGTTTCACCATGTTGGCCAGGATGGTCTTGATCTCTTGACCTCGTGATCCGCCCACCTCGGCCTCCCAAAGTGCTGGGATTATAGGCGTGAGCCACCGCACTTGGCCACATTAGTTTTGAAATGATGAAAGCCTCAACAAAAAGCCTCATTTACTTATATATAGATAGCAGTTTCCTTAGGAATAAACCTTTGGACCACAGTGACAAATATTTGCATAACTGGCTTTGACTTAACCATTATGTTCTCTCTCCTCGTGATGCCTACTACTAAATGAGTACTTCTACTTTTACATACTGAGAAAATTGTAGGACCACATGCACTGTTATATGAACCCTATGCAAGTTTGCAGGTTTCTATTCTGGCTTTTGTTACATGGAATTGAAATTACCTGCTGATGTTAGACTACCCAAGTTACTTCAGGGCAGGACTGTGCCTTGTCAAAATCTTTCAATGGCTTTCTATTCAATGTCCTTAAAGAAGTCCAAGCCTTAACAGGCATAAAATACAATCTGGTCCCCACCATCTCTGGCTTTACCTCTCAGTGCTCTCCTCTGCCTGGCAATTTGGCCACACTTACACTCTCAGACCCTCAATGTACTACACTTTTTCTGACAGTAGCTTTTGCACAGGTTGTTTCACTTGGCCAGCATACCTTGCTCCATTCTTCTTGGCTAATGTACTTTCCTTGTTTATATAGCTACTATTTTCTCTGACAACCTCCCTTGAACGTCCTTCTCGTCTGGGTTAGCTTTTCTTTTTTCTTTTTTTTTTTTTTGAGACAGAGTCTCCCTCTGTCGCCCAGGCTGGAGTGCAGTGGTGTGATCTCGGCTCACTGCAACCTCCACCTCCCAGGTTCAAGTGATTCTACTGCCTCAGCCTCCCGAGTAGCTGGGACTACAGGTGTGTGCCACCACGCCTGGCTAATTTTTGTGTTTTTAGTAGAGACAGGGTTTCACTATATTGGCCAGGCTGGTCTCAAACTCCTGACCTCATGATCTGCCCGCCTTGGCCTCCCAAAGTGCTGGGATTACAGGTGTGAGCCACTGCACCCTGCCCTGGGTTAGCCTTTCAAGTATACCTTCCCCTTCCCTCATTATAGTACTTCTCACATCTTATTACAGTAATTGCATGCCTAATTACCTGTCTTACCAGATCAAACTCTGTGAAACAGGTAACAGTCTTGTTCATGAATGTTTCTGCCATTTTAATTGTGCCTAGAACTTAGGAGGTGCACAATAAACACCGAGTTTGCCAATGCCAAACACTTGGCAGCACACATTCATTGAAAGCCTCAACAGTTCTGTTAGAAGATATTTGGGGTTGATGAGGACAAAAAAAAAAAAAAAAAAAAAGAGAAACAAGCCTGGTGAAGTCAAGTGGCCACTTCAAGGAGCTCACTGCTATTTTAACCTAAGAAAATTCCGTACATGCACTATTAGCCACAGGGGAGACCAGAGGTGTTGTGTATGGCAAAGCAGGAGGAAGTTGCAGTGAAGTGAGTAGTAAATGTTTATTTTGAGGACCTTCTGGTGTGACCGTGGCGTTAAAAACAATCACATTACATATCATTAATCAACTAGGTGTCTGTAGGTTTTAACTAGTACTAGCTGATCTCCTACCTTGTTTTTTTCTGGTTAATTTGAATAATCATGCACTGTATGAAAAAGAAACTGATTGCCTTTCTCATATCAGTCTTTTTGAGTACTTTTTGAAAAGAGGTCATTTCAGTTTTGACCACCTGTTTATTGCAGGAGTAAGTTAGGCATTACTTCACATTTTAGCAGCGTGGCAGTCTCTATGGAGACTTTCTTGCCTATCACTTAGATAAGCTGTGACGTTTATTAGGCTAAAATAGCAGTGTTCTAAATGCAGTGGGTAAATTTGGGATTGACCGGATAAAGGTTCAACACTATTAAAGGATTAATACTGTATTGTGAGCCATAATGCTTTTGTAATAAATATGCAACCACCTTTTGGTTATCATCAGTTGGTATTGCATGTTTTGCTGTGGCTGCAAGAATAACAGTGGATTTAGGAAAGTACCAATGAGTCAATTAAGGATTCTAAGATCCCGGGGAAAAGCTAAGGAATGATCAATCTCTCCTATATACCCAATAAAATCGCTCCAGAAGACAGACTATAGCAATCATTTCATTTATTTCAGGATATAATATACTATTTAGATCCAGGGAAGATGCTAAATTATAACCTTGTTTAAATATCTTTGGGGTATTTTGTTTTTGCAAAGGTAGTAAAACCAGACAAACGAATAACACACATAAAAATCAGATTTCACATGTATGGCTCTGTCCTACTGCTAAAGATGTTACAAAGAAACATACTTAGAATACCACCCTGTTCTCTCTTGGGGAGGCTATATTCAAGATGACAAGTACTCTAACATTTTTACAGACATAGATGTTGTCAATAGGGTCTTTCTGTGATTTTAGCAAAGAAAACAGTTGAAATGTTATTCTAACTACTGACATGATTCATCTCTATCACTTTGGCATATGGTACTACTATTTCTTCTACTTTGGCAAGTTATAGTTTTCCCAAGACCTAACCCTCACTGTTCTGGAAATAAAGCTTAAATATATATATTCCAAACCTTCAAATTAAAATGTTATCCCCATATATTCATGTACCAGGTTAATATTGCCACATATATCCTTTCCAATTGCGGGCTAAACAGACGTGTATTTAGGGTTGTTTAAAGACAACCCAGCTTAATATCAAGAGAAATTGTGACCTTTCATGGAGTATCTGATGGAGAAAACACTGAGTTTTGACAAATCTTATTTTATTCAGATAGCAGTCTGATCACACATGGTCCAACAACACTCAAATAATAAATCAAATATAATCAGATGTTAAAGATTGGTCTTCAAACATCATAGCCAATGATGCCCCGCTTGCCTATAATCTCTCCGACATAAAACCACATCAACACCTCAGTGGCCACCAAACCATTCAGCACAGCTTCCTGAAAAAAGAAGCATACATTTTAAGGTACCTTTTATATATATATATAATTATATATATATATATATATTTGAAACTATTCTTTTCCAGAATTAAGGAGACAAAGAACATAAAAGATGCTATTCAAACTAGAAGGCAGTTTTAGTCAAAGTTGAGAATTACTAACATTACTTCTCTTCAACTGCTGAGAACCCTTGAACTTTCAATTTTGTAAGGTAAGTAGTCAAAGCTTATATAAATTCTTTCAAAGCATTCTTTAAAGACCTGAACTGACTTAACCCTTTCATTATAAGTTTATGAGACACTTTATGAGCCCTAAAACAATCCACATCCTGGATATAGCTGGCGCATTTAGATAGGATGGCTATAGGAAGGCCGAGTCTCTGAATAGACATTTTTGTCTGGCAAAAGAAAATCTGCTGAAAGATGAAGTGCTGTCTTCCCCTTTAGACCTCATTTTTATTCATTCAGTATTTGACTTAACTCTGACTAAGTATCTGGTATTCATATCAACATTTTGTTGTCCCAAAGAGAAATATGCACATATGGCTCAGGAAAGCACTGTTATTAATACATGGAGCAATAATATGGATCTTGAAATTCTAGTTGAAAAAATAACTTTCCATAACAAAACTGGACCTTTTCCTTTTAGCACTTCTGGAAGTGAATTTTCCCCATCAAATTAGACCAGAAATTTATGGAAGTCTTCTGAAAAACAACCACACTTCCCAGGATGTAGGCTCTAAAACTAGCAATTGTTTAGGCTTTTTGTACTCTGTGCTTGGATCATGCAAATAAAATCCAAGTTCCAGTTCTTTTCTTTCCTTTTTCTTTTTTTTGAGATGGAGTCTCGCTCTGTCACCCAGGCTGGAGTGCAGTGGCGCGATCTCGGCTCACTGCAAGCTCCGCCTCCCAGGTTCTTGCCATTCTCCTGCCTCAGCCTCCCAAGTAGCTGGGACTACAGGCTTCCGCCACCACGCCCGGCTAAGTTTTTGTATTTTTAGTAGAGATGGGGTTTCACCGTGTTAGCCAGGATGGTCTTGATCTCCTGACCTCGTGATCTGCCCGCCTCGGCCTCCCAAAGTGCTGGGATTACAGGCGTGAGCCACTGCGCCCAGCCTTTTTTCCTTTTTTTAAGAGATAGGGTCTTACTCTGTCACCCAGGCAGTGACACAATCAGAGCTCACTGCCTCCTCTAACTCCTGGGCTCAAGCGATCCTCTCGCCTCAGCCTCCCAAGTAGTTGGGACTACAGGTACATGCCACCACACCTGGCAATTTTTTTTCACTTTTTTGGATAGAGATAGGGCCTTGCTATGTTGTCCAGGCTGGTCTTGAACTTCTGGCCTCAAGCGATCCTCCTACTTTGGCCTCCCAAAGTACTGGGATTACAGGCAGGAAGTGACTGCGTATGGCTGCAAGTTCTAATTCTTACAGTTTTTAGATTTTATCTTCACACAATTCAATAACCCAGTTTGGTATTTTTATCTTATATATAAGAAGTGTTAGCTTCCTGACTGTGACATAGTTCAAGAGATGTTTTGGCTGAATTGGGGACAATCTCAGGACTCCAGATGAAAAAAGTACAGACTCAGCAAAGCAAGCCATCATATTTTAGTATACTATCTAATATAGGAAAGGAAAAAAAATTTCCCAATAAAAATGGTCACTTTTTTGCTAGGTTTAAGACTCTTAGGAAACTAAGACATAAAATGGGCTAATTATTTCTACCCAGGTGACAAAATTAGAAAAGTAAGTATCTTCCTCAGCAGTCAAAATTTTTTTCCTCATTATGCTGGATTCAGCCTCATTGGAAACATATATATTAATCAAAACAATCAGAAAAATCCCAAGGGAAGACATTTTCTGTTATGCACATCCGTTTTCATTTAGCCCGTGGTTACCTTAACTGTGAGCTGTTTGAAGCTACCAGTCTGAGCACTATTGACTATTTTTTTCAGGCTCTGAATAGCTCTAGGGATCTCAGCAGGGGTGGGAGGAACCAGCTCAACCTTGGCGTAGTACCAAAATGTGGCCAATCGAGGCTTCGAGTAAGTCACAGCAGCTGGAAAACAAAACAAAACAAAACAAAAAACCAGGATGAACTCACTAGAGACCGAAAGAAGCAGATGTGTGGGCTGGACACAAATATTTATTCATGCATCACCTTCATTCACTGCTTGTACCAAATGTGCACCCGGTGTGAAAAGTCAAAGCTGCTCCCTGGTAACAAGAGGCTTTTAAAGATGCAGAACACCTGTGCCACAGGGATGTTCAATCAGGCAGGATGCTATAAGCACATTCAATTATGCCAGTACTTCACTAGTGGCCAGCTAGTACTGTACTTCATTTATGAATGGCAAATCTAGCTAACTGTAAAGATGCTAGGAATTGGATTTAAAAACAAGAGAACAGTCAATTTATTCATATTTTCTTGGAGAGAGACCAGCAAATTTGAAGAAAGAGGTGAAGAAAGGGATGAAGGATTTAGAATGGCACTCTTAAGAACAAGATGAAAAGTTATCATAATATTATCCACAAATCCAGATGGAATTAAAACAACTGGTACCCATTTTGGTATCCTCATCAATATGTGCTGGATTAAATGTTTCTCTGACAAAAGCACAGCTGCTCCTCTTTTAAAGGCACCACAAATAATAAAAGTAAAATCTACATGTATAGTTAAGAAGAGCCAAAACTAGAATCTATTACCAAGCTGGAATTCCTCAAGGTATTTACTATTTCAAGAGAAGAGATCATTAACAACCAGGGTAGTTGTGAGACTGCAGTAGTGATTTCAGAAAGAGGAAGACATTTTTTATTTAAAAAATTATAAGAGAGGCTAAGTGCAGTGGTCATGCCTGTAAACCCAGCACTTTGGGAGGCTGAGGCGGGCAGATCACTTGTGGCCAGGAATTTGAGACCAGCCTGCCCAGCATGGTGAAACCCTGTCTCTACTAAAACTACAAAAATTAGCTGGGCATGGTGGTGTGTGCCGGTAGTCCCAGCTACTCGGGAGGCCGAGGCACAAGAATTGCTTGAACACGGGAGCCAGAGGTTGCAGTGAGCCAAGATCTCACCATGACATTCCAGTCTGGGGGACAGAATGAGACTCTGTTTCAAAAATTACAAGAGAAACGTAATAAAAATAGCATGAAAGCCCATAAAGTGTCTACTGTTCAAAGACAGATTACCCAAGGCTCTTGGTGTTTTCCTCATATTAACGGCCTCCATTTGAGTATTTCTGAATTACTATCTCCCTCATCTTCTGTGTTTGGGGATATGGGCATACCTTTAAGCAGACACAAAGCTCTAAGAGATAGTTCCAAACAGAACTGCCAATGCCTGAAAGATGGGACAATAAAAAAAAAGCACAATCTTGTATAAGTCAATCAATTGTCAATATTATCTCCAACACACAGACATTTCATCCTTAAAAAAAAAATGAATCAGTATACTGTACATAAACAATATTTTAGGTGGTAAATTTGTTTCTTAGGGGATACAGGTTAGAGTTTGAAACTGCTTTACATGTATACAAGAGATAAAACATAATGAATGGTAGATAATGGGAGCTAGATTTCTCAGTGGAGGTTGAGTGATGTTACAGGTAAACAAGAAAAGCAGCAAGAATAAATCCCACAGTACTGGGTTAGAGTTGGACTCAGGTTTAGCTTAATATATACACAGACTGACAGACACAGAAATAATTATATATACATATATGCATGTATATACATGGCTTAGTATGCATGTATATACACATACACACATCTATACTGATACATATCTATATTCCTGTCAAATGAGAGGACCTAGAAGTAGTGATATTCTGGTAGCAAGGAACATAAACAGCACCCAGACCTTAGTTTCTCAATTCTATTGTCCAATAAAAGGAACTAAGGTTCCTTGGAGAAATGGCTGATTCTAGGGCTGGGACAGGGAAAATACAATATAAATCTGAAGCATCTTGTAGTATCAGAAAGGGAGGCGGTATGTCAAAGGGACAGAGGTGCTAACCTGAAAGAGCTCCCAAATAGCCAAGGCTGAAATAATTTGAGCAATAATACAGTATTTGATACAGAAAGTATGAAATCAATGTACAAGTCCATACAATAAGTGACTGGATAAATAAATGGAGAAGAGACAAATCTTTCTCACAGAAAAATTCTATTTATGTAGATATTCCCTCCTACAGGGGATGGAATCCCCCCACTGTAATCACACCTTGCCTTTATGGGATAGGCTTAGTTATTTGCTTCTATAGAATAGAACACGGAGAGAAAAACAGTAACTTTACAGTAGAGGAACCTATAACCAAGTGATGAAAGCTTGTATCACCAGAGATGTCACAGGAATATCATATACCTCCTGACATGTGATTAGGGCATCTCTTCACTGTGGTATTTCCTCAAAATCCATAGTGCCAAACTAAGCATGAGAAAAACACCAGACAAATCCAGATTGAGGAAATTCTTCAGGATACCTAGACAGATACTTTGACAAGACAGATACCTAGACAGACAAGATACCTAGATACCTTAAAACTGTCAAGGTCAGGAAAGATGAGGGAAGACTGGGAAACTGTCCCAGACCAGAGGAGATTGGGAAGACATAGAAACTAAATGCAATGTGGTACACTGGATTGGATCCCGGAACTGAAAGATTATTGGAAAAACTATTGAAATACAAATAAAGTCTACAGTTAAGGGAAAAAAAAATCAGATTCTATGATCTTCCTAGGCAAACCTGATGATAAATTTACTTATTTCCATAAGCTTTTTTGACCCCCAGGGGAATTAACAGATATAGTCAGTAATTTTTATTAAATATTTAACATTCACATTTAATACACTAGCCTATGTATGTTATAAAGCAAAATGTATTTCCACGTTAACATTCCAGCCCAGTTGAGTCCTCCTTTCTAAGTACTTTTGGAAGAATAACAAGTTATCTTTCAATTATTTACAACGGAGGGAAGGGTTCATATTATATATTTCATAACAAAAAAATTACCTTGGTGTTACTTTTCTTTTTAGATCACAAAAATTAGTTTGCAATTCCTTAATATGCGCCACCTAAAAAATGTGAAAGCCACACCAGAAAAAAAATCCACTTGAAATATTAAGAATTGTGCCTTAAATCACCCACAAAGTCCAGAGTGAAGCCTCTAATCCTTTTTTCTCTTTAGTTTTTTTTTTTTTTTTTTTTAGACGGAGTCTCGCTCTGTCGCCAGGCTGGAGTGCAGTGGCGCAATCTTGGCTCACTGCAACCTCCGCCTCCTGGGTTAAAGAGATTTTCCTGCCTCAGCTTCCCGAGTAGCTGGGATTATAGGCGCCTGCCACCATGCCCGGCTAATTTCTGTTTTAGTAGAGACGAGGTTTCACCATATTAGTGAGGCTGGTGTCTAACTCCTGACCTCAGGTAATCCACCTGCCTTGGCCTCCCAAAGTGCTGGGATTACAGGCGTGAGCCACAGTGTCCAGCATTATTATTTTTTTTTTTTGAGACCTAGCCTCGCTTCGTCGCCCAGGCTGGAATGCAGTGGTGCAATCCTGACTCACTGCAACCTCCGCCTCCGGGGTTCAAGCGATTCTCCTGCCTCAGCCTCCCAAGTAGCTGCGATTACAGACATGCACCACCAAGCCTGCCTAATTTTTGTATTTTTTGTAGAGATGGGGTTTCACTATGTTGGCCAGGCTGGTCTCGAACTCCTGCCCTCAAGTGATCTGCCCGCCTTGGCCTCCCAAAGTGCTGAGATTACAGGCGTAAGCTACCGCCGCAGGGCCATCTCTTTTGATTTATATAAAATTGTAGAGCTCTATGACAGGTATCTTAACAATCTTAGTAAAGTAAAAGATTTTCTTGCAAGCTTATGAAATTATTTGGGAAAATGTGTAAAATGTTTCACTAGTAGGCTGTGAGGTTCTGCAGGACAGCCTTCAATAACTCATAGTTTGGCTGGTGATGGAGGGAAGGGAGGAGAGAATGGATAAATTACCCGGCTGGCGCTGTGGCTCACACCTGTAACTCTGGCACTTTAGGAGACCGAGGCGGGAGGATCCCTTGAGCCCAGGAGTTAAGAGACTAGCCTGGGCAACATGGTGAAATCCCGTCTCTTAAAACATACAAAAATTAGCTGGGTGTGGTGGTGCGTGCCTGTGATCCCAGCTACTCAGGAGGCTGAGGTGGGAGGATCGCTTGAGCCTAGGAGGTGGAGGCTGCAGTGAGCTGTGATCTGCACTGCACTCCAGCCTGGGCGACAGAGTGAGTCCCTGTCTTCTAGGAAAAAAAAAAAAAAAAAAGAAAGAAAGAAAAAGAAAATACCCAAACCAAACTCAAACACAGCAAAATAGGCTAGAAAGTATTACATTTTTTTTGAAGTTCTGCTTTCTATTCACATTTCATAAACGTAGGCAAAAGTTAAGAGATCCGACCTTCAGTCACTTACTGGAATACAGCACATCTAGGAAAAACTTACGTCAATTTAGCTTATCTCACTTCAGGAATAAAATGAATAGCTTGCCACTGAGAAGACAACTGAAATATTTACTGGCCAAATAAACTAGTACTCAGAGGCTGTGATTATTCAGGGTTGTTGTGAAATACAGCGGTCTACCAGTGAGGCTCTTCAAGCTGAAAAAATTCCACGAATGCTAAGCTTCGTAACAAAGATTATTGTTTATACGGATCCCGTCCTATGCTTCTCGGGGCATGGATACTCATCCATGAAGTCCATTTCCACCTAAAATTTCCCTCGGATTAAAGCGGAAGTATCTTAGAATCCGTCTAGGACAGAAAGCAAAGTCAACGTTCAAAAAAGCTCACCCATCCTTAAACATTTCTGTTGACTTCCAAATACTCCACTGAGAACAACACCACATGTAATGAGGCCGAATTGATTTACTTTCACGTTTCTGCCCTTCCTTTTCTTAGCTCTCCTAACAGAACCATCCCCTCTAGATCCCTGCTCTTAGCGATCTCAGGGGGCGTAATGGTTGCAGCTGCCGGGCAACGCCGGGCTTCCTTCACACTACCTCTCTTCCCAGTCGTGGTTAGAATTCAGGAACTTCTAGGTTGTGTAGAGAACCCAATCTGCAGGTCAGACGAGTGGAAGGCTAGAAAAGAGTCGCCAACCTGCTTCCTGCTCCCTCCACCTGCAGGCCATCCCGCCCCGGCACCCGCAGGCCCCTCGGGTCTTCGCAGCCCGCTTCTTCCTCTCAGGCCATCGCAGGCCTCCCTGCCGCCCGTGTGCCCGCCTCGGCGGTCTCACATCGCGCTCACCGTTCACCAGCGCCGGGGTCTTCTCCACAAGGTTACGGACAAATTGGGCCATGGTTCTGGAATGGAGAGTCCGTCGCCCCGAACCGCCGGCTGAATGTCACCCGCCGGAAGGACCCGCTGCAGGACCCCGTCCCACTTCCAAGGTCAGGCCGCCTCTTTTCGCGCCGGTCGAAGATACTTAAATGTCCAAAGATCTTTGCAGAATCCAGCCTGTCAATTTAATTTTTCAACATGGAAGAGAAAGTGGATATGAAAAGATGGTATTAGAGAGCATGTGAAGAACAGTAGGATTCCGCAGAGAAGCAGGCATTTTGTGGGGCAGCCACTCGTAGAGGTCCGGAAAACCGGCAAGGAGCGGAAATGCGCATGCGCCCTGAACCTGCAGTGCTTTTCTTGGCGCCGACCTCCGCTATTTTGCGTAGGGTGCTTTCGCCGCGATTCTGAGAACCTTTGAAGTCAGTACTGGAGAAGGATTCGCTGAGATTCTTCTAGTCCAACACGATCGTTGTACAGAGGTAGAGAGGGTCCAAGGCCAAACATATAAAGTTAGGGGCCGAGCAATCACCACACAGGCTGTCACCAGGCTCAACCCATAGCCCTTTTTATTTGAGACAGTCTCGCTCTGTCGCCCAGGCTGAAGTGCAGTGGCACGACTTCGGCTCACTGCAACCTCTGTCCCCCGGGTTCCAGCGATTGTTGTGCCTCAGTCTCCCTAGTAGATGGGACTACAGGCGCCCGCCACCACGCCTGGCTAATTTTTGTACTTTTAGTAGAGACGGTGTTTCACCATGTTGGCCAGGCTGGTCTCGAACTCCTAGCTTCAAGTGATCCACCCGCCTTGGTGCTGGGATTACAGGCGTGAATCACCGCGCCTGGCCCCATAGCCCTTTTAAAGTTGATTTTTTGTAATCCCAATCTCCCCAAAGTGCTGTATCACGATTGGAATCCATTTCCCCTAATTCCCTAGTTAACCACAAGGAGCTGTGCAGATGTGAGGAAAAAATCACCTGTATTGAACGCCCACACTATGCCAGGCATTTTGGAATTTAAAGAAAGCCTGTAAGGCATTGTCCCCATTGAGACTGGGCTTGAAAAATGGCCACACAGTTTGGAAGTGGCAGAGTTGAGATCTGAAGTTGCAATGTATACTCAGAGAGGGGGCATTCCATCAGATTAGGCATGGTGCTGATTTCAGCATACTTCCTAGAAAAGATCCTTGAGCCGATGTGTAAGAGAACAGCTGTATACTACAGAGGGCTGAAACTTCATAGTTTAATATGAGGAGGAAAAGATGTATGTAGGGAAGTGGCATTTGATGAGAGGAACAGAACTATAAGTAATGTAACCTGGGGAAGTCTGAGCAGAAGTAAATCTCCGATTTTTGGAATGGTTAGAGAGATGGAAAGAAAAATTAGAAGTGTAATCAAGGAACTAAGAACTTTTCAATGAAGGAGTGATTCTGCTGCCCTAGATACTGCAGAAAAGTCAAATTAAGGATGGGAAAGTTAATTTAGCAATATGGCAATCTTTAACTAACTAGCGCCTTTTCAAAAAATTAGGATAGAATCCAGGGTGAATGGTGAAGAAATATGGCTGTAAAGGATTACAAGTCAGAAAACCAAAGGGGGATGTGGAACTCAGGGGAGAAATTGAAGACAGAGAAGAGGCAGTCATTTATTTATTTAGAGATGGGGTCTTGCCACATTGCCCAGGCTGGCCTGAAACTCCTGGCCTCAAGAGATCATCCCACTTCAGCCTCTTGCTTAGCTCTGGGATTACAGGCACAGGCCATCCTGCCTGATAAAAAGGGATATTGACAAGAGCCCTGATGAGGCAGGAAAAGAGAACTAGCCAGGGATCTATGGGGCCTTTTCCACAGATGTGATTATGGGAGAGAGGTCTGAAAGTCTTCAAAGTCTCTGAAGTCTTTATCTTCCCAGCAAAATGAAGGCAAAGTCATCGGACTGTGAGGGGTCAATGGGAGGGGGGTATGAGAAGGAATTTGAGGAAGGAGGCCAAAGTTTGGAATAGCTGAAGGACACACAGAAGGGTTGTTGGGCAACGTTAGAGATAAGTTTGTGGTTGTACCATTCTAAAAATTGTGTTTTTCCTCCAACAATGGTCTGCAGTTTGGATATTACAGCAGAGGGGAATGGCTGAGTTAATCTAGGCTGACATCTTGCATGGCAGGGGTATGGAAACAAGGAGCAAGAAAGGGGAAGATAACAGCAAATGATTACAAAGACCTGGGGTTCAGGCCAGATAAAGAAAAACAGTGAAGCCAAAAGAGAGCTGGTTAGGAAAACCATACTGTGAGATTCATCTCCTGAGGGTAACCCCAGGGTCCCCTCCAGAGGCCTGGTAAGGCAGGCTGGGTCAGCCAGGTCACACATATTTGATGTTACTTACCTAAAAAAAAAGTGAAACGTCAGAATCCTCTAAGTTTTCAGGGGGATTTCTGAAACTGCCACTAGCTTTTAATACTGGAATAAAGTGATAACAAAGGTTGTAAGTCAGATGTTCATTTATTAAATACAAGTTTTGAACAAACACTGCCAGGCAAGTTTGACAAGAAGTAACCTTCCTGGAATGTTTCAAAATACAGTCGCGTTGATCAAGTTTTATTTCAATCAACCTTTTCATTTTCTGTTTCTAGGTTCATTTCCTGTTGAGCAGTTAGAGCATGTGCATTATTTCCTCACATGACATCAACAGTGCAGCATCAGCCTCTGGCATGTAAAGGCACCCAGTAGACTTATGCTCTGTGCAATGGCTGCTTAGCAACCACCATCAAATAAAGTAATGAAGCTTTTGTAGAGTGTGATATCAAATAGCAACTGGCACCTTCACTTGCACCATTAAAAAACCTTTAACATTTCCTTCAGTTTTCACATATCCATTAAAAAGTATATTAAAAAACAAAACCCAGACTGCTTGATAAAACATACTTAAACAATTTTCCAAGTTTAGTATTAGCCTCTTGGTAAGTTATGAGCAATACCAGAGCTGAGTAAAAGAGTCTTCATTTTGCTATCATACTCCAGCAAAGCCAATACACAAAACTAGGTATGTTAGAAAGTCTGCTCTACTAGATTTAGAGCTGCTTCTAAGTTCCAGACAAAACACCTTTTTAAGCTTCCAAGTGTATATACACACGGTGTTGTACCAAGATAACTTTTTAAAGTCTAATTTTTTTGGATATTCTTAAATTACTTCACAGAAAGAAAAAAGGCACAGAGGACACTTGGTTTCCTTACCAGTAGTGGCCTTAAGCTACACACTTGCTTGTGCAGAGTTTAAAGATATTCAGCAGCATTAATGGTGCCATAGCCATTCATAAAAAGTTTCAGGAAAAGAGTTTAAAAAAAGAAGAAAAGCTTGCCAGAAAAGGCTTACAATCTGAAGGTTAAATACAGAAGAATACAGACAAAGACTGGAGGCAGCATGGGGGTTGTTAACTAGGAAGCTGCTGGGAATAGCTGCCTTCTGAGTTTTTGTGCCCATTTTCCTCCAGTTTTCTCCTGAAAAACTCTGGTCTTTTCCCCTCGTTTTTAAAATGAGAACATCCTACTAGATTGGGTTTGGAAGATAAATGCAAATAGGCAGAAGCTTATTTTATACATAGTTCATTCTCAGAGAGGGAAAGGAGGATGATAAATATTGAATGAAGCTAATTTTAGAAAATAAACAAATCCTGTCAACCCATGCCATAAAGGCCCAGGGAGCACACTGAATGAATCTTACATTCTGGCATTTGCAAAAGTGTCCTCAATTTCCTTTTTCATTTTATAAGCACAGCAATAGGCAACACCTATTTTATATCTAGGATGGGAAGCCCTCTTAGATTTGAGGCTTTCCAGCTGATGCAATCAAAAACCCATCAAGGACTGCTTATAGCAACTTGTGTTGAAATATAAAACTACTATTTATTTGAAAGAGACCATAGTTAATAACATGTTCCAAATGAAGCAGTGACACCCATTTCTTGATCCTATCACTTTTCTTGTCACTTATGACATCTCTGGGCTTAGAAAGACAGTGATATAAAGATAATCCATAGGGGAATGTCCCTAGTCAGCATATTAAGCTGCACAATTGAGTAGTGAGCTCAAGTTCACTTATGAAAGTGGTGTCCACCTACCAACTACACAGGGCTAAGTGGATATTTAAAATGGCTGTGGACAAGGTTGTGCTCAACTTCCTACTTTGTTAATTGAAGACCTAAGGCTGTGTTAGAAGTAGCTCTTAGAAGTCAGGTCACAAGCTCAAACAAATATTAACTATATACATTTTATAATCTCAGAATTTTGTGAAGAATGAGTATGTTAGTAAACATGGCCACATACTGCATACATCTCACTATGGAAGAGAAAATATAAAGTGGTACTCAGTTTACACTAAACCAACAAAAAAGCACATGGGGTGTATGTGTATTTATATATCTCACACACTGAGATATACTGTTGATATTAGTGTCTTAAAATGACATTTTTCATGGATATGATACCCGTTGCCTAAATCTACTTAGGCCTAGTCCTTGTAGAAACAGATTTTCATAAGAGAATAAGGGCCCAACAGTCTCCTCACCCCCATCAATTGGTAGGATTGCCCTACCAATCCTCATTAAAAAGACTGTATAACAAAATTAAGAGCTATCAACAGAAGTTGCACAAGATTCCTTTAAATTCCTTTTTTAAAAAAAATTCTCGTCTATCATCTTATTCAGAAGTCTACACAAACTTAAAGGTATCTGCTTTTATGTGAAGTTACTCTGTAACACAGAAAAGGGGTTAAGTCTAGATCATGAGGACTAGTAAATACACAGGATAACAGGATTTTTCTGATAACATCAGCTGTCACTGAAATATGTGACATCACATATTTATAAAAGCAGCACTCACCAAAAATGTTTGAACAGTAATTGGAAGAGAAATAGCAGGGTGGCGGGAAGTTTTAGTAGTTGAAATAATATAATTTCATTTAGGAAAAGGAAGAAGAATATGAAGAGACAACAGAGGGTGAAAATTAGTGATGATTTCTAAACTTGGTGATGCTATAATAAGTATAATTTCCTGCAAGCCAGGGGAGCATTGTCAAGTTCTTAGGAATCTTAACTATCATAATTTCAGCAAGAGCAGTTCTCTAATTTAGTAAAAAAAAAAAAAAAAAAGAAAAAGAAAAGAAGAAAGAAAAGGAACAGAACCAGAAAGAGAGAAACCACAAACAATTGTTTATCTGCACTCTGGGGTTGGTTTTGGTTTGGTTAGTTCACAGTATCTATTCAAGTTGCTCCTTTTGTTGTTTCCTCTCTGCAAGCCACCGTTGGATTTTTTCTTTTAGTTCTGTGTTTGGCCGGATCTGGTCCATGGTGAGGGGACTACGGTTAAAGGGATCTGTTTGGTCACTGGGACAAAGAGAGAAAGGGAAATAGGGTTATTTCCATAAGTTCTAACATTCTAAGCCAAAAACAGAACACCTGGGCGTCGCATCTTAAGAATGAAGCCAGAGTGCATTATAACTTTGAGTCAAATGCCGAGTTGGGGTTAGAAAGAGTGAGAACAAGATGATTCAGGAGTTTTTGTAGCTACTTTGTCTATTTCTTTCTTTCTTTTTTTTTTTTTTTTGGAGACAGTCTTGCCCTGTCGCCCAGGCTGGTGCAGTGGCACCCAGGATGGAGTGCAGTGGCGTTATCTCTGCTCACTGCAACCTCTGCCTCCTGGGTGAAAGCTATTCTCTGACCTCAGCCTCCCAAGTAGCTGGGATTACAGGCCTGCACCATGACACTCAGCTAATTTTTGTATTTTCAGTAGAAACAGAGTTTCACCATGTTGGCCAGGCTGCTCTCAAACTCCTGGCCTCAAGTGATCCACCAGCCTTGGCCTCCCAAAGTGCGCTGGGATTACAGGCGTGAGCCACCCACCTGGCCTCTATTTCTTAATAAACTTTGTCTCAACACTGCTGTTCAGATGATATTTAATTACAGTGGCTTAAAAAATGCTATGCTTCTGTCACCTTTAGATTTCTCTAAGGCAGAGACACTATACATTCATGTCAGTGTAAAGAACTATTTGTAATTATAGTGACAGATTCTTAGAACAGTATGAGATGTTAAGGAATAAAGCCTTGTAGACCAACATTTGATTTAGTCAGCTGATTGTTATGCAAGTACATGCAGATTATGGTTTCTTGAAACATAAGAAGGTTTATGACAGATGTCAATCTTTTGGCTTCCCAGGCCACATTGGAAGAACTGTCTTGGCCTATACATAAGTTCTTGTAATGTTTTAAGAAACGTTATGAATTTTTGTTGGGCCACATTTCGAGCGATATAGTGAATGCTTAATACCAAATACCAAGAGGTAGAAAATTCTTTTTTTTTTTTTTTTCTGAGATGGAGTCTTGTTCTGTTGCCCTGGCTGGAGTTGCAGTGGCGTGATCTTGGCTGACTGCAACCTTTGCCTCCCAGGATCAAGGGATTCTCCTGCCTCAGCCTCCCGAGTAGCTGGGACTACAGGCACGTGCTATCATGCCCAGCTAATTTTTGTATTTTTAGTAGAGATGGGGTTTCACCATGTTGACCAGGCTGGTCTTAAACTCCTGACCTCAGGGTGATCCACCTGCCTTGGCCTCCCAAAGTGCTGGGATTACAGGCGTAAGCCACTGCACCTGGCCAAAAATTCATCTTTTTAATATTTAAAAATTTCCTTAACTTTGGGTCAAAGTATACCACATGTATCTATCTGTTTATTTAGAGACGGTGTCTTGCTCTGCTGCCCAGGCAGGAGTGCAGTGCTGCCATCATAACTCAGTGCAGCCTTGAATTCCTGTGCTCAAGCGATCTGCCTCAGCCTCCTGAGTAGCTAGGACTACAGGCATGTGCCATTATACTTGGCTAATTAAAAATAATTTTTTGTAGAGATATAACTTAATTTTTTTTTTTTTTTTGAGACGAGTCTCGCTCTGTCACCCAGACTGGAGTGCGGTGGTGTGATCTTGGCTCACTGCAACCTCTGCCTCCCAGGTTCCAGTGATTCTCCTGCCTCAGCCTCCCAAATAGCTGGGATTACAACAGGCATGTGTCACCACTCCCGGCTAATTTTTGTATTTTTAGTAGAGACGGGGTTTCACCATGTTGGCCAGGCTGGTCTCGAACTCCTGATCTCAAGTGATCCACCTGCTTCAGCCTCCCAAAGTGCTGGGATTACAGACGTGAGCCACTGTGCCTGGCTCGATATAACTTAATTTTAAATATGGAGAGGCCAAACAAGGTGGCTATGCCTGTAATCCCAGCACTTTGGGAGGCTGATGTGAGTGGACTGCTTGAGCCCAGGAGTTTGAGACTGGCCTGGGTAACATGGAGAGACCCCTTCTCTACAAAAAATACAAAAATAAATAAGCCAGGAACAGTGGTGCATGGCCTGTGGTCCCAGTTACTTGGTGAGGCTGAGATGGGAGGGTTGCTTGAGCCTGGGAGGGTGAGGCCACAGTAAGCTGAGATCATGCCACTGCACTCCAGCCTGGTGACAGAGCAAGACCCTGTCTCAAAAAAATAGATAAATAAATATATAAATAGGCAGAGTCTCTCAGTACTCATTTCTTTCTAATGCCGGACTAAAAAAAGTTAAGGGGCCCATTAAGCAGCTAATAAGCTACCATTTATTGCTTCATTCCTGTCTTTTCTATAGTTATAATGGGGCAGACTGTCCGAAGAATAGGCAGGCTGGGGAAAGTTCATGGTTACCACAGCTGATACAACAACAGCAACAGAACGTGAGTTAATCCACATGGTGAATATAGTGTAAAACCTGAATTAGAAAAAGCAGGCTGGGTGAGGTGGCTCATGCCTATAATCCCAGCACTTTGGGAGGCTGAGGTGGGAGGATCACTTGAAATCAGGAGTTTAAGACCAGCCTGGCCAATATGGTGAAACCTCATCTCTATTACAAATACAAAAATTAGCCAGATGTGGTGGTGCTCACCTGTAGTCTCAGCTATTCGGGAGGCTGAGGCTGAAGAATCACTTGATCCTGGGAGGCGGAGCTTGCAGTGAGCTGAGATCGCGCCACTGCACTCTAGCCTTGGTGACAGAGCGAGACTCTGTCGCAAAAATAAAAAAACAGGCCAGGCACAGTGGCTCACACCCGTAATCCCAGTACTTTGGGAGGCTGAGGCGGTTGGATCGCTTGAACCCAGGAGTTCAAGACCAGCCTGGGCAACATGGTGAAACCCTGTCTCTACAAAAAATACAAAAATTAGTTGGGCGTGTTAGTGCATGCCTGTAGTCCCAGTTACTCCAGAGGCTGAGGTAGGAGGATCACCTGAGCCCAGGCTGGAGTGCAGTGGTGCGATCTCGGCTCATTGCAACCTCTGCCTCCTGGGTTCAAGCAATTCTTCTGCCTCAGCCTCCTGAGTAGCTCAGACTACATGTGCGCACCACCATGCCCCTCTAATTTTTTGTATTTTAGTAGAGACGGGGTTTTACCATGTTGGCCAGGCTGGTCTCAAACTCCTGACCTCAAGTGATCCACCTGCCTCGGCCTCCCAAAGTGCTGGGATTACAGGCATGAGCCACTGCACCCGGCCAGAAATTATTTTCTTAAGGCAGGAAGAGGTGAGGTTAGAGTTAGCATTTCTCAACAGAATGTTTTGTTTTGAAATGTTTATATCCTAGCAATTGAAACCAAAATGTCTTCCAACATATCAGTAAATCAATAATATGTGGTATGTGTTGGGTGCAAAGTACTGTCTTAGGTGCCTGGGAGAAAAAGATAGCAAACTAATATATATATATGCTCTTGAGTCTGTTTTTGGGACTGGCCTACCTGAGCAAATGTCTTGCAATGGTGGATCTATCCACAGTGACTCTGGAAGATGGCAGCACCACAGGGTCACACATCAGTGTGCTCATAATGGGATCCAGGAACTCATCACAGGCATCTGCATAGGTTTCCTCTTCCTGTTGTTGGAGGTCTGCAAGAGACTGAGTATACAACATCTGGTAGTTAAAGTGAATTCACAGTGTAGCTGAATTCAGCGTGCTCAATGACAGAGCAAGACTCCATCTCAAAAATAAAAAAACAGGTCATTAATAACCCTTGACAGTGACAGTGACACACGTGAGCTTCATTTTCTCAAAAACAAGCCAAGATATTCTAAGAACAAATTAAGCATTGAGCCCCAACTCTGGACCTTTAGGTTGGCTCAGCTGCTGGCAGTCATACTGGAAATGGGTTTAAATGTTAGGAGGAAAAGAAATACATCAGATATAACATCCATCTGGCAACAGTTCTGTTGTAAATGCCATAATTCAAAAGTGGATGGAGAAGGGAGAATGGAGGAGGGTATTATTTGCATAATTAGAGTCACTCATGCAGCCTGCGTATGAAAAGCAGTTTTTGATTTTTGATACAAACAGGTATAGGAATTTTAAAGTCATTTTGACATTTAATTCCTTCACAACTTGAGTTCCTCAGGGATCCACCTGGCTAAGCTCTAAACAAAGATGAAGTCCAACTCAATAAAAAAGAAACTCAATAGAGGGAAGACTGACAGCAATAAGGAAGGTTTTCTATTAGACTTTTGTGCCATGATCTTCCTTCTTCTTACCTGCTAATAGAGCTCTGTCATACTCTAACCAAAGGGATTTAGCTAAATACAATATAGTATTTTAATCTTTAAAATGTATGCATATTCCAATAAAAGCCAACTACCAACTACAAACATAGAGACAATCCAAATAAAAATTAATGACTGAAAACTACTCATCTTTTTTTTTTTCTAAAAAGTTATTCTGCATTAACACCCTAGCTTTTAAAATCTATTGGTAACACTGTGCATAAACGTTTTCATAAAAACATCTTACATAAATGTGCACATTCTTCTCTTCTAGTTGAGGTTTCTTAAATTTTTTTTTTTTTCTTTTTTGAGATGGAGTCTCGCTCTTTTGCCCAGGCGGGAGTGCAGTGGCACTATCTTGGCTCACTGCAAGCTCTGCTTCCTGGGTTCACGCCATTCTCCTGCCTCAGTCTCCTGAGTAGCTGGGACTACAGGTGCCTGCCACCACGCCCGGCTAATTTTTTGTATTTTTAGTAGAGATGGGGTTTCACCGTGTTAGCCAGGATGGTCGCTATCTCCTGACCTTGTGATCTGCCCGCCTCGACCTCCCAAAGTGCTAGGATTACAGGCGTGAGCCACCGCGCCTGGCCCTTAAATTTCTTTTTTCTTTTTTTTTTTTTGAGATGGAATCTCGCTCTGTTGCCCAGGCTGGAGTGCAGTGGTTGCGATCACTGCAACCTCCGCCTCCCAGGTTCAAGCGATTCTCCTGCCTCAGCCTCCCGAGTAGCTGGGATTACAGGCGCCTGCCACCACACCCAGCTAATTTTTGTATTTTTAGTAGAGACAGGGTTTCACCATGCTGGCCAGGCTGGTGTTGAACTCCTGACCTCAAGTGATCTGCCCACCCTGGCTTCCCAAAATGCTGGGATTACAAGCATGAGCCACTACTGTACCCAGCCGATTTCTTAAATTTCTATTCTCACTCTCATGTTGACAAGAATAAAACTAAGAATATTGTAGTTCTAAGTGACTGTCCAAAAAGAACCATCTGTTTATATTTTCTCTTGGTAATGCTCTTTTTCTCCCTGAAATAGAGTAAAAATCAGCACAGCTGAGGTGACAATCTGATTTTTTTTGCATGGATTTTTAGGAGATGGGGTCTTGCTATCTTGCCAAGGCTGGAGTGTAGTGGCTATCCACAGGCATGATCATAGCACACTGCAGCTTCAAACTCCTGGGCTTAAGTGATCCTCTAGCCTTAGGCTCTTAAGTAGCTGGGACTACAGGCTTGAGCCATCATGCCTGGCTGACAACGTGGTTCTTAATGAAATCAGCAAACAATTCCTCCTCTTCCTCACCTTGATTCTCTCTGCCAAGTTGCTGAAAGCCATAATCATATTCCCAGGCTTATTTATTTTCTTCAAGACTCGAACTGTCTGTGCAAAGAGAGTTGGGGAATAGGAACGTCCATCCTTGGGCACAGTGGCACAGAAATTCTCCTCATCCCTGGAACATTAGCATCAGAAAAAAACTGATCACCAGAGGGTTGGTCAATGGAAGAGACAATAGGTAGGCTGCAGAACAAGCATTCTCACCACTTAAAAGCCATGAACATTCTTTTGATATAGAAAGACTTATTTCAATATATATTATTTATAATATATAAATATTATTTTATTATTTATTATTTATAATAATAAAATATAATATATATTTTATTATAATTATATAAAATTATATTATATAAAATATAATAATAAATTATAAATAATATATATTAAATATATTATATATTTAATATATATACTTTTTGATACAGAAAGACTTTCTAGGAAGTCTATCAAGTATCATGTGACCTTAAAAGAATGCTACTTTTCTAAACAGTGGTACAACCAGTAAAGTTTCTCTTTGCACAGATCAAAGCAGAATACTGGAAATCTCAATGTCCCATGGGTCACACAAAATCTTACTAGTTTTTAGAGACAGAGTCCTGCTGTGTTGCCCAGGCTGGTCTCAAACTCCTGGCCTTAAGCAATCCTCCCACTTCAGCCTCCCAAGTAGCTTGGACCACAGGCACACGACACCTTGCCCAGATAAAATCTCCTTATTTAAAACTACAGAAGATTCCTTCATCAAGCAACTAGGAATTAACCATTTCTTTTCTATTTTCACATAATTACCAACCAGTCATTCTACTATCAAAACCCTAAATCAAAACAGCATCCCCTCTGGCTTGACAGATTTCAATCTCAGGTACCCAAGATTTAAGTAGATAGTGCAGATATCTGATACAAGCTGCTGGGGTTTGAAGTCAAATTCGCTGAAGTCCTTGACTTTTAAGGCACCCATCTTGGGGCCAACCAGGTGTTGCAGGAAGTAGTTCAACATGGAGATGATGCGCTCAGCCAGGAAGGGATGCACAAAGAGTGACTTGATCTCTGGAAAAGAATCCAAAGTCTCTGAAAACTCAATCCATTAGCACTCTTTTCCTTATTAGGTATAGTTTATTTGGAGACCTCTGGGAACTACTGTTATTTTATTTCTAAACATTTTGAAGGAACTACTTTTTTAAAAAACTAAGTAATTCATTTTCACTGCAGAAAATATAGACAAGCAAAAAACCAAAACCAAACAAAAAACAGAAAAGACAAAAACTACCATCCAGAGATAAACACTGTTAACATCTTGCTAATTTAACATTTTGTCCTTCTAGCTTTTCTGTCCTTATTTACACACACACAGACATTTTTTAAACAAAAATGATCATATTTTACATATTCTGAAACTTACTGTTTTCAGTAACTATATTGCAAATACTTTATCATTTTAGTAAGTGTATGTCCCTGTGCTATCCAACATAGTAGCCACTGGCCATATGTGGCTATTAAAATAAAAAATAAAAAATCCATTCCTCAGTCACACTAGCCACATGTGGCTAGTTAAGTATGGTTCTGGACAGCCCAGATTTATAGGACATTTTCACCATCACAGAAAGTTCTATAGAATAGGGGTGATTCACATAATCTTTTTAAAAAATGAGATGGGGTCTCACTATATTGCCCAGGCTGGTCTCAAACTCCTGGGCTCAAAGTGATCCTCCTGCCTCGGCTTCCAAAGGGTTAGAGGATTACAGGCGTGAGCCACTGTGCCCAGCTGTTTTACATCATTTTTTAAAAAAATTATTTTTTATTTTTTTGAGACAGGGTCTTGCTGGTGCCTAGGCTGCAGTGCAGTGGCACGATCATGGTTCAAGGCAGTCTCAACTTCCTGGGCTCAAGTGATCCTCCTGCCTTGGCCTCCCAAAGTGCTGAGATTACAGGTGTGAGCCACTGTACCCAGTCTGTTTTACATCAT
This sequence comes from Homo sapiens, assembly GCF_000001405.40. Classification (NCBI taxonomy): domain Eukaryota; kingdom Metazoa; phylum Chordata; class Mammalia; order Primates; family Hominidae; genus Homo; species Homo sapiens. The sequence goes on along the minus strand of NC_000011.10, from coordinate 118,388,808 downwards.
TTTTAATGGCTGACTTTTCCAGTTGTAACTGCACCATAAGTTATTTATTTAATGTCTTTACTGGTGGACATTTTTACTATTTTCAGTTTTTTCCTACACTTATCAATGAACTTCATTGTGGATACATCTTGTAGACTCATCGCTTCTTTTTTTTTTTTTTGAGATAGAGTCTCATTCTGTTGCCTAGGCTGGAGCGCAGTGGCGTGATCTCTGCTCACTGCAACCTCCGCCTCCTAAGTTCAAGTGATTCTCCTACCTCAGTCTCTCAAGCAGCTGGGACTACAGGCACATGCCACCACACCTGGCTAATTTCTGTAATTTTAGTATAGACGGGGTTTCACTATGTTGGCCAGGCTGGTCTCGAACTCCTGACCTTGTGATCTGCTTGCCTCGACCTCCCAAAGTGCTGGGATTACAGGCGTGAGCCACCGTGCCTGGCCTATCGCTTCTTCTTAACAAATCTGTAAGGAACTGCTATGTTATAGGGCATGAATTCCAAAAATTAAAAAAAATTTATACATGCCAAATTTAACAAGTCAGACAGTATCATAATGCTATGTTTGGTTGGTACTGATAGTTCTTGATTTTTCAGTTTTAGTCATTATCACAGATGCCCTCAATATATAGTCAAATTTTTGCTTAAATAATTTAGTTTGTTATTAAGATTATGTAAATATTATTCACAGCAGAGCCATGTGCTGTCCTAATGAGTATATAGTTCCTTTTTAGTATAACTTTTTGCTTATTTGCTTATTTTCAGAGCCTCTTATCACTAAATCCTTTCCAAACTCTCCATTGGAATTTAAAACTCTCAACATGGTCATTTCCAGCTGCTGATTAATTTTTGGAAACATTCTTTCTGGATGTTTCCATCCTTTGCTCCAACCTGGACTGCTTGCTCTACAGGCCTGCTATGTAGTGGCCACACAAGCTCCTTTCACCGTCATCCTGGGAATCTCCTTTGCGTCTCCCTTGTGTTGAATTCCACCTTCCTCCTCCTAGGTTTACTTTCCCTCAGAAATGTGTCTCAGCTTCAAATGACACTGTTGGAAGTGCAAAGCCATTTTGATACTTAAACTATGGTAACATTACCTGACTTCTCTGGGCTATTTTAGGGTCTTGTTTTTACCATGATTTCCTAAAATTTCACAATGTCATACCTCACTGTGGGTTTTAAAAAATTCTCTGTGCAGGGGCCTTGGCAAGCCCTTTCAATTTAGAGGCTGTCTTTGAGTCTTGGGGATTTTTTGGTATCTTTGATAACTTCCTCCCCTCCATTTTTCGCTTTTGAGACTTCCTAGATCCATCCTTTTGTTTTCTTATCCTTTCTCTTCTAATTTCCATCTTTTTCCTTCTGTTCTACGTTCATAGAAGAGTTCCTTGAATTTATATCTTCTAACTCCTTTACTGAATATTTAACATTTCCGAGGTAAAAATTTCAATATCCAAGGGCTCTTTCTTATTCTTCAAATAATCTCTTTCATTGCCTCTTTGTTCTTGTTTTGTGGCTGCTGTATCTTCTCTTATCCCTCTGAGATTAAAAAGTTTTTTTAAAAAGTTTTTACAAAGTTTTCACCTATTTGTTTTTCACATTAGAGGATTTCCTCAAATGTCTGGTGATTACTGATTGTCATATCACATTTAGCTGAGACATTAAAAATGATAATTTCAGTATGTAATCAGTATAAAAATGGACAGATTTCACATTTTAACACTAAGTCTTGTACTTATAGCACATCTCAATTCAGACCAGCTACATTTTAAATCCTTGAAAGCCACACGTTGCAAGTGGCTACTGAATTGGACAGTGGAGCTATAGAAGGAGTAGAGATAAATTTCTGTTAGATCCACCATATTTAACCAGGATTCAAGCGTATTTCTCAGATTAACAAACATATATGTATATATGTGTGTGTACAGACACACATATATTTATATGGCTAACTTGTCCTCAAGAAAGATTTTACCACCTTATGCTCTCTGGCAGCTGTGTGAGGGTGACCATTTCCTCACTTCCATGTCAACAATGGGCATCATCATTCTTTTTGAAGCTTCTCAAGTGATTCGTTTCCCTTCCAGATGTGGAGGATACTGTCACCAGGGTCTGAATTCTTAGTTTCAGCTGGGCTGATCCCCCAAGTGAAGCTGATCTTGGCCATTACTTTTTTGGGGGGAAGCAGTACTTCATGTCCTTACCTGATGTGAGAAAGGCAAGGGTACCGATTGTTTCATTGGACATGATGTTATGGAAACGTGCCAGCTGTCCAAACATCTGTAGGCCAGCCTCCTTTTCTCGGCGGGCTTCTGGAGTCAGACTATCCCATTCACCTCGATCCTTCTCAATTTGCTGAATCTTTATCTTGCTCAAATACTGCAGAAACCAGAGATGGGATATATCAGAGAAGAAAGGTGCAGTTGAAGGGACGTGACATTTAAGAGGTCCTATTCAAAATCCAGTCAACTAAGCTGGGAAAACGAGGGACCATGTAAAAGACATGAGCCTTTATTTCTCAGCATAAGGCTGAAGCTCAAAAGAACTTTCAGGAAAAAAAGAAATTGTGGCTTCATACAGATTTGTTTCAGCTTGGGTAGATTCACAGGTAATTCCCCTAGAAATAGTATAGCATTGTGAAATGCAAAGAAGGATGAATAGTTTAATATATGAAACCCAGGCCAAGAAACAAAAAACTAAAAAACCCCACACTATAGTGAAAAAACAATGAATCCTTCCTGAAAGATGAAAACAAATCCCCCCTGCCAAATTGCTTACAAAAAAATCAAAGCTCTATCACATATGCAAGATGCGTGGAAGAACCATAATTATTTAAAACTCTCTACCTCACGTCATCCTTCCTGTTGTAGCAAACAACTTGTTAAACTTACAGTCTCATGAAAATACCATCTGCTTCATGCTTTGTGTCACACACCTCTTGCTTAAAAGGGCCTGTTTGTAACAGGACCTATTCTCGCTTTTGAAGAAAACCTATCTTAAATCCTAAAGCGTAGGATTATGAAGAAATCAGATCAAACCTTTCTCACAAATTAAACACAAGCTACTCAGGGGATTGCTGATCATAAGGAGGAGCTCATGACTGTCTAAAGGCTACCCTCAGGATTTACCTGCTTCATCTCCCTTTAGGTCAGTGCCTTGTCCATCCTATACCCATCACAGGTAAGGGAAGTTTTGCTCTACAGACAGCCAAGTTTTTATGGGAGAAGTAAGCAGTTCCACCAGGGAAGGTTAAGGAAATAATACACTGAAGGAGCTGAGAGGCACCCAGCTGCATTTTATACTTTGTGAAACCTTTGTTTCACCATATAGCTAAGAATTTAGAAGGCAGTGGAAATATGAGAAGTATTGACAACTTGGAGCCTTTATATGAAAAAATAACCCAAATCAGAGATTTTCTTTCAAGTAGTGGTGCAAAAATCAGAATCTTTTAGGAAAGTGGGTTAAAAATCACTGTCTTAGTGAGATATTTTACTGACATGTTGGGATTAAAAGGGTTGAAAGTCACTGACCAAAAGCAAGCTCCTCTGATTTCTTTCTGTAGTGCTGGCCTGATGAATTACTCCTGCCAGTACAACTTAGTTTGGCTTCACCATATGGTATTTTTGACTCTGCCAAAATGTCCATCTCATGATGCTTCAATGACCCTTGATCTTGGTCTCTAATGGAATGAACTAGAAAGCTCTATAATGACAAGCTTGGTGGTACACTACTAATCACAAATTTTTGGTGTTCAAGTCTGGTACTAGGGGCATAAGGACTGCTCTATTATGATTAAAAGGTAAAATGTATGTACTGCTGATGATTTGATGGTATGGAGAAGTTAAATCTTTTTTTTTTTTTTTTTTTTTACCTGTATGGCTTCATCCAAAAGGAAGATGGCATCATTCATTAGCAGGTTAAGAAAGCGGAGGAAAAGTGGGGGATTCATGGCTTCTAAATTCTTAGAGGCATAGTCAGCCAAATCCTGTAAGTCCCAGCCCACAAGAAAACCATTTTAGTACTGAATTACAACTCATTAGGGCTTATATAAAGCAACAGGTTTCATCAAAAACTCTCTCACCTTAATGCTCTCCCGATAGGTATCTGTCCCCCACATGTATCTTAGGATAGGATACATGGGACGGCGGTAATTAAACTTCTGTTCAAATTGATGGGGGTCTCCTGGAGTAAGGCAAGAGCGAAATATCAGCAAAGGCGGTGCCATAAGAGGAAGAGTTTATGCTTATGTGTAGCCATTTGCTTTGTAGTCA